>NC_000004.12:153769865-154072896 GCF_000001405.40 Homo sapiens | reverse complement strand
GAGGTTCCAGATATTGGAACTTAGACATCTTTGGGGATGAGGAGGCATCATTCAGCCTGCCATAGCCCCATTTGGTTCATACCACACAAAGGCCAGAATTACAGTGGCTCTCCATTCCTCCACTTCCTGGAGGCCTTATCTCTTTGCAGGACCATGAGATAACGAGGACCTATCTCACCTGTCTCCCCCTGCCCCAAAAGCTCACCCAGATATTTCTTGGAGTCTCCAGGGATATCTTTCATTTCTTACCGCCTATTCCTCTTCTTGGATGAAGGGCAAAGGTGGAGTGTGGAGGGTAGCTCTCTAAGAACAACACAGCTAGTGTCTTCTTGGAGAACACTGATTTACTATTGCTCTCATTTTGAATTGGATTAGAAGAGATGGCATTTAAATCAGTTATTCTCAAATTGCAATTATAGAAACCACTTCCAACAGGATCACCTAGAAATTTGTTAAGCTGAACATTCCTGGCTATACTCTCAACCCAAGAATGAGATTCTGAGGTAACGTGTTCATGAGGTTTGAAATTCTTTGGCTTAACAAATAGTATTAGCTTTATAGAGAAAAGCAAAACATCCTCCTCCTTTTGTCTCCTGATAAGAATGTTTCATCTTCATCTTCCTAAACGTGTTTTTTCCCCCCCTCTGGGTGACCCTTTCCCGGGGCACACCCTGAAGCCTAAATTAAGGTAAAAGCTCTAAATCTGGTCATCACTACCACTATCTCTCTATGCGAGATACTCCCAAACTATTATTATTATTTGGCTTGAAAACGTTTCTCCCTAAAAGCACTCTAGGACATGTATTTATTCTTCCAATAAATTAAATAAAGTTATTTTTAAAATGTACAACTCTAAGGCAACTGGAGATAGTGTGGAATGTTATAAAACCAAGACAGGTAATCACCAGTTTATGCAATGTACTCAAGACTGAGAACAAGTTTGTGTAAAGATAAATAAGGAATCAACAGCAGGGTTGCAAACCTAATTAATCACTGCCCTGACACCGAGTTTGTTCAATTATGGGCATATCGGAAAAAGCCAAAATATGGAGTCCTTGGATTGTCCCTGATTTAGCTGATTACTTATCTGCATTGCCCCAAAAGAAACTTGAGAGTTATGGTTCTGCCACCCAAAGCACTGAAGACAATGTCTTTGGGGAAAGAGCCAAAAAAGGTGTGAGTCCTTTTTACTGGTGCAACACTGCCTACAGCTGGTTCCATGTAACTCATACAGGCACAAAGGATTCAATGCTTTGGGCCCTTTAAATTGTGCAGCTGGGTCACCACATGCTTAATCCTGGGAAAAGATGAAGTAAATAGTTATGATATGACCCAAAATACAAGTGGCCTATAGCCAATATTTTGAACCGCTAAAGACATAGCCATGATTTGATCTCCAAGTTAAAACACAGAAACAAACAAACAAACAAACAAACTACTTAAGCCCCTTCAATTGATTTGTTCTACCTTTCCAGGAATCAAGCTTTTGTGTAGGAGGTAGGCAGGACTGGGATGCACTCCAGTGTCACTTTTATAAATGACCCTCCTTCACACCATTCCTATAAGGGAGCCCCACCTCCAAATTACCAGGCCATCACTTTGGGCAATTTTGCTGTTTTTCAAGAGCTTGCAAGAAAGAAAATTGTGCTTGTCAGTGAATAGGTCCTTGTTATGGAGGGGAGGCTTTGTGCATTGAAAGGCTTGCCTTCAGAATATTCAAAATGATGGCAAATTTAGCCAAATTGGGCAAAAGTGAATCAGGTTTCACAAATTTAGGAATGTTTATTTAAATCTTTAAAACATATGTTGCCACAGCTGTGTTTACCATAGAATGATGATGAAAATAATCCTAATGAAAATGACGATGTATTTATATAATGTCTTTCATCCAACAAGCACCAAACCCGCTGCACAACTGATCTCATTAGGCCTGACTAAATCCCTTTGAGCTACAACATAAATATTAGTTCCAATTTGCAGATGAAGAAACTGGGACATGGGCAAGGTTATTTGCAGCTAAGGAGATGAAGTTACAACCTGACTCTCCCACCTGTGTAGTGAGCAGCCCTTTGAGCAGACTCTGGAAGGGGGATCCCTTCCTCCACACTTCCCCACTTGGATTGCCTTGTCCTAGCCATGGGAGAAAGAAAGAAGGGATGAAAAGCAAAATACCATTGATTTTTATGCACTATTTTTTCTTGGAATTAACTGTCTGGATATATGGGCAGATAATCATCTTCTCAAAACATGCCATTGAAGGTGAGAGTTGAGAAGGTAGCAGAAAGTTTTGTATCATGGGTTTCACTGGTTTCACTGATGGGAAACCCAAGACATAAAAAGGAAGGAGCTAATTTACAGCCCCCCTCCGCAAGCGCCGAGAGTCAGCCTTGTGTCCTACCCTGCTCTCCTTACCAGTGCAACTCAACTTTCTGTCTTTTTAGTGTGTTGGGGAATGGGAAGAACTTTTTAACAAAACACCCATTGTAGACTCAAATGCTTCAGTTTAGCCTATAAAATTCTGTCTTTTCCTAAATCTAGATTCTCTTGAAGTAATAGTTAACTCAAGCATTCAAGCATATTGAAGTTCAGTTCCTAAAAGAGTTCCCATGGTTCCACCAGCTAATGTTTAGTTTCTGCATGTCTCCCCCTTCTACAATTAGTACATTTTTAAGGCAGCTGTGAGATCATTACCTTAAAATGTGTGGTTCAAATACCTAATGTAAGAACCTGCATAGCACCTGAACCCTAGAGACTTTACCAAAGCACTGATTTTGACTCCACTCTCAACAGCACATTTTGAATTAAAGTTTTAAAGTAGAAAAGAAAGTTTTGCCTAATCTCTTGCGATCAGTATCGATGTTAAGTATATGCTTTCCAAATTCAATAAAAAATTGCTTTCCTTCCATTCAGAAAAAAATTTCATGCAGGCATTTTTGCCAGAACCTGAATTTAAGTCTGCCCAAGAAAAGATATTCTCTAGAAATAGCAGAGAAAAACAAACCCTTTTGAATATCTTATAGACTTTATCTAAATTTGAATTCTCAGAGTCCCACAATATATTTAATTTTAGTAAAAATGTATTTACCTATGCATGGAATATGGCTTTTATTGCCAGACTTATTTTCCCAATGAGAGTGATGGAAACAGTGGGGTGGGCTGCAGATAATCTAGGCATTTCCTACAGATAGCCTTGAGCTGTTACCCTGCCTTGCTTATTTATTCACTAGGGACCTAGGGAAGGCCACTCAACTTTTCTGAATCTCAGTTTTCTCATTTGTAAAATGGAAATAAAAATGAATACCTCACCAGTTGTGAAAATTAAACTTTAATCCAGAGCTTTTCCAGAGGAGACTCTAAACAAATTAAGATTTCTTTCACTACCACCTTTCTAGCCACTCTCCTCCAAATCTGTAAAGGTTACCAAAAGTAGTGTACGTTTTATATACAATGTGTGTGTGGACTAGATACACCAAAATATCAACATCAGTTATCTCTGAGAAGTAGAATAATGAACAATTTTTTTTCTCTTTGCGCTTTTCTGATTTTCCAAATTTGCTATCATTTATAATGAAGACATTGTATTCTTTTTTTTTTGAGATGGAGTCTCACTCTGTCACTGAGGCTGGAGTTCAGTGGTGCCATCTCGGCTCGCTGCAACCTCCACCTCCCAGGTTCAAGCAATTCTCCTGCCTCAGCCTGCTGAGTAGCTGGGACTACAGGTGCACCACCACGCCCGGCTAATTTTTTGTATTTTTAATAGAGACAGGGTTTCACCATGTTAGCTAGGATGGTTTTGATCTCCTGACCTCATGATCCACCTGCCTTGGCCTCCCAAAGTGCTGGGATTACAGGCGTGAGCCACTGCGCCTGGCTGACACTGTATTTTTAAGAGCTGATTTTTAGAAAATCACCATTGGAAAAACAAAATCAAGTCACACATATTTAGTATTGTGACAAAGAACAGAAATGGCTAATCAAAAATCTTCTAATTTTACATAAAAGAAAATCAAGGCCCAGAGAGAATTTCATCCAAAGCCTCCTAGCTGAACTGAGGCTGGAAGTAACTTCCTAGTGTAACCAAATTGCCCAGAGCTCTCCAGCCCATGAGAATAAAGGAGGTGGCAGTTTGACCCTAAGTGTACTGCTCAATGCTCCTCCCATCTCCCACTTGGAAGGTATCACCTTCCCTCCTTTTCTTTTTATGGACCCAACTGCTAGATGTTTGCCCTGCTCATAGATTCCACTCATTTGCAGTTTTGTACAGATAAAGCTAACTGATCTCCACATTATAGAGGCTACTAAATAATGTGGCATATAGCCTATATTAAGGGCCTTGCCCTTAATGCCATTACCACTTTTGTCTGGCACCTAAGGGTCCCAAAGATGGGGGCTGAGAATCAGGGCCAGGACTAGGGTAAGGTCAATGAGGCACTCACCACAGAAACCAAATTTAAGGGGATCCAGAAAGCTCAGTAATCAAGATAAATAATATTTGTTTTTTTTTTTTTTCTTTTGCAGTGGCATCAGCAAGATGGCTGACTAGAGATGCCTGGAATTTGCCCTTCTTACAAGAAAGAACCAAGGCACAGAACAAACAGCTAATATTTGAAACGAGAGTGCTAGAGTGCAACAGGAAAGTGAAGATGCAACTGTGGTGACTGGAAGTCCAGGAAAGCAGCAGGGAGGGGCCAAGCCTCTGCAGCCCTGTCTCCCCAACCTAGATTGAATCTGCTCAGAGACAGGAGGGACTTTCTGTTGCAGGGGAAAGGTAAGAGAAGATCCCCACCAGCTCCTATTGCCACCACAAACACCTAAGGTTCTTACTACAGGAGAATCCCACAGTCCTCACAATCCCTGAGCCCAGTTTGGAGAGATGCCAGGAATTCATGCAGCTTCATTGCCCCAGGTTAGAAACACAAGTTGTGCACTCCCCACCCACCCCCTGGGAGACAAGCTGTTATGGCACAGCACCATCTTGAGACCAGAGCCACCTCTTGAGTCCTCCCTACTCTGGGGACCAGCAGTCACTGCACCTCTTCAGCACTGGGACTCCATTTTTATTTCACCAAGCCCACATGAGTGGCTAAATGTCACACCCCTAGCTCTGCAGAGTTGAACCCAGTATCTGCTGTGACTTCAGTCCTGCACAGCAGAGAAACCAATTCCTGCCTCCATACTTTCAGATGGAGGAATAGTCTTCCAGCTCTGCCCAGTTCAAATCTGCCCTTGAATTGGCCAAACTACTGAGATCGCCCCCAAATGGAAGAGGCCCCTGAGCTTCCAAGCAGCTGATACAACCCCGGGCCAACAGAGAGGCTATGGACCTGGGCTCAGGACCTGAGAAACAGCCCCACAGTACCCTGCCCCTCTGCAGACACCCCTGGCCTTCCCAATGTCCCTCCACCCATAAGGGCCTGCAAAACAATCCCATAAGCTGCCTCTGATAAGCATAGTCCAAGGCTGGCTGAACAGCCAACAGCCCATGTATCAGACCTGAAAACAGCCCTGTGGGCCACTCCTGCGGAACATATCCCAGACAAGTCAAGCAGCCATGTGCCTGCATATTGGGCCTGAGAAACAGCCCTTCAGGCTGCCCCTCGTGGGCATGCCTCTGAACTGGCTGAACAGCCTCACACCTGCATTCCAGACCTGAAAAAAAATGTAGGCTGCCCCTAGCAGACATGCACCCAAGCAAGCTTGAGAAGCTATGTACCCACATCCCAGGCTCAAGAAACAGGCCTGAGAAACAAATCTGTAGGTAGCACCTCTGGTGGGCACACCACCAGACTGAAAAAGTGGACCTGTACCTGTGTCCCAGGCCTACAAAGCAGCTCCATGGACTACCACCTACAGAAATGTCCCCAAGCCAGCCAAACAGTCTTGAACCCACATCTTGAGCCTGAGAAGCAGCCCCATGGGCCGCCCCCAGCAGACACACCCCCAGGCTGGCTGAGCAGCAGTGTGCCCATGTCCAAGATGGTGAAACAGTCCCCTGGGCCACCCTCAGTGTACTTGCATCCAAGCCAGCTGAGAAGCCATCTTATTACATCTTAGACCTGAAAAATAGCCATGTGCTCTGCCCTTAGAAAACACACCATTAGAAAAACTGAGCAGTGTAAGCAGTGTCCTGGGCCTGAGAAACAGTGCTGCACACTGCTCCTGGCAGGCATAACTCCAAGCTGGCCAAGCAACTGTATGTCCATGCTCCTGGCCAGATAGCCCATGGCCTCAATCCCAGAGAGACAGACCCCAAGCTAGCTGACTCAACCCCAGCTAGAGAAATAGCCAGACAAGCCCGCCTTTGGCTAAGCTACACCACCATCACCACAGATTCTCTCAGCCTAGGCCACTGAGAAACTCACAAATACCACTAATGTGGATTATGGCTGAAGAAACTACACAGAGACTATATACTGCATCCACCTAGAGCCAAGATCAATGTACCCCATCAGACCAATACCGCAAGACCTATTCATATAAATAAGTCCCTACAAAGCCTATTCCATAAAATTACAAGAGGTGACTTTTCCCCCAGATGAATAGGAATCAATGTAGAAACATATCAACCATGAAAAAGTAAGTACATATGTTACCTCCAAAGGAGGTAACAGATCCCAATCATAAGACAATATGTGAAATACCAGAAATAGAATTCAAAATAATAATCTTAAGGAAATTCAGTGAGATACAAGAGAATACAGATACACAATTCAATGAAACAAGGAAAATAATTCCTGATTTGAATGAGAAATATAGCAAAGAGCTAGATATCATAAAATAGAACCAAACAGAAATCCTAGAGCTGAAAAATTCAATGAATGAAATTTAAAAATACAGTCATGACCTTCAACAACAGACTAGATCAGGCAGGAAAAAAAAATTTCTGAACTTGAAAACAGCTCTTTTGAAATAATACAAGCGGCAAGAAAAAGGAAAAGAGAATAAAAAATAATAAAGAAAGCCTATAGGATTTATGGAATACCATTAAACTAACGAATATTCATATTATGGGCCTTCCAGACGGAGAAGAGAAGGGAAAAGGTGAGGAAAACACATTTAATGAAATAATAGTAGAAAACTTTCCAAATCTTGGGAGAGAGACGTACATCCAGGTCCAGTAAGCTTAAAGAACCTCAAATAGATTCAATTTAGATAGGTCCTCTCTGAGGCATGTTATAGTGAAATTGTCAAAAGTCAAAGACAAAGCAAGGAAAAAGCATAAAGTAACATGTAAGAGAATTTCCATTAGATTAAAAGTGGATTTCTAGGCAGAAACCAAAAGAATAAAATTGTATGTTCAAATTTCTTAAAAGAAGAAACTGCCAGCCAAAAATGCTATATCCAGCAAAGCTATCCTTCAGAGAAATAAAAATCTTGCACAGATAAGCAAACACTAAGGAAATTGATCACCACTAGAACAGGTTTACAAGAAATGCTCAAGAGAATCTTACATCTAGAAGTGAAAAGACAATAACCATCTTATGAAAACATATGAAACCATAAAATTCCCTGTGTTAGGCCATTCTTGCATTGCTATAAAGAAATACCTGAAACTGGGTAATTTATAAAGAAAAGAGGCTTAATGGGCTCATGGTGTTTCAGGTTTTATAGGAAGCATGGTGCTTTCGTCTGCTTGGCTTCTGGTGAAGCCTCAAGAAGTTTCAATCATGGGAGAAGGTAAAAAAGGAACAGGCACATCACACAGTGAAAGCAGAGGTAAGCAAGAGAAGGGATGCAGGTGTCACACACAAACAACCAGATCGTGCAAGGCACTCACTATTGCAAAGATAGCACTAAGCCATGAGAGATCTTCCCTCATGACTAAAACACTTCCAACCAAGCCCACCTCCAACACTGGGGATTATAATTCAACATGAGATTTGAGTGGGGACAAATATCCAAGCTATATCATTCTGTCCCTGGCCTCCCCAAATGTCATGTCCTTCTCACACTGCAGAATACAATCATGCCTTTACAACACTCTTCCAAGTGTTACCAAGTGGTAACTCATTCCAGTGGTAACTCAAAAGTCCAAAGTCCCATCTGAGACAAGGCAAGTCCCTTCCACCTGCAAACCTTTAAAATCAGAAACAAGTTATTTACTTCCAAGATACAATAGGGGTATATACATATATCCCCATTCTAAAAGGGGAAAATTGGCCAAAAAAAAAAAAAAAAAAAAAAAAGGACCTGCAGGCCCCAAGCCAGTTCAACACCCAGCAGGGCAATCACTAAATCTCAAAGCTTCAAAGTAATTTTCGTTGACTCTGTCTCCCACAATTCAGGGCACACTGGTGTGAGGAGGGGGCTCCCAAAGAGGAGCAGGGATGCAGGAAGCAGTGTCTTGAGGCTGTGCAGGGCAGCAGAACCTTGGGCATGTCCCATGAAACTGTTTAATCCTCCTAGGCTTCAGGAGGGAGGGGGCCTTCCCTGTGATGGGAGGGGCTGCCTCAAAGGTCTCTGAAATGCCTCTAAGGCCTTTTCCTTGTTAGTCTTGGATATTAGCATTTGGCTCCCTTTTAGTTATGCAAATATCTCTAACAAGTGGTTGCTCCACAGCCTGCTTGAATTCCTCTCCTGAAAAAGCTTTTTCTTTCTTTGCCACAAGGCTAGGCTGCAAATTTTTCAAAATTTTATGCCCTATTTCCTGTTTAAATATAAATTCCAACTTTAAGTCATTTCTTTGCTCCCACATCTGAGTATAGGTTGTTAGAAGCAACCAGTCAACTTCTTGAAAACTTTGCTACTAAAAGATTTCTTCCACCAGATCCCCTAGGTCATCACTCTCAAGTTTAAATTTCTGCAGATCTCTAGGTCATGGACACAATACAGCCAAGTTCTTTGCTAAGGCATGGCAAGAGTGACCTTTGCTTCAGTTCCCAAAAACTTCTTCATTTCCATATGAGACCTCAGCAGCCTGGACTCAATTGTCTTTATCACCTTCAGAATTTTGGTCTCAACCATTAACCAGTCTCTGAAGTTCCAAACTTTCCCTCATCTTCCTGTCTTCTTGTGAGCCTTCCAAACTCTTGCAACTTCTGCCCAGTACCCAGTTCTAAAGTCGCCTCCACATTTTCAGGTATCTTCATAGTGTCACGCAAGTACATGTGAAGAGAGTCCACCAACAGGCTTTGTGTGAGCAGCAAGGCTGTTTATTTCACTTGGGTGCAAGTGGGCTGAGTCCATAAAGAGAGTCAGCAAAGGGAGATAGAGGTGAGGCAGTTTTATAGGATTTGGGTAGGTAGTGGAAAATTACAGTTAAACGTGGTTATCTCTTGCAGGGCAGGCAGGGGCGGTGGTCACAAGGTGCAGGATGGGGGGATCATGAGACTCATTGTCCAGGGGAGGAATGTTACAAGGTCGATTGATTAGTTGGAGTGGGGCAGGAACAAATCACAATGGTGGAATATCATCTTTTGTGGTTCTTCAGTTGCTCCAGGCCCTCTGGATGTATACATGCAGGTCAGAGGGGTTATGATGGCTTAGCTTGGGCTGAGAGGCCTGACATTCCTGTCTTCTTATATTAGTAAGAAAAACAAAACAAAATAGTGGTGAAGTGCTGGGGCAGCAAAAAATTTTGGGGGTGGTATGGAGAGATAATGGGTGATGTTTCTCAGGGCTGCTTCAAGTAGGATTAGGGGCAATGTGGGAACTTGAGTGGGAGAGATTAAACTGAAGAAAGACTTTGCGGTAAGGGGTGATATTGTGGGGTTGTTAGAAGGAGCATTTGTCATATAGAATGATTGGTGATGGCCTGGATGCAGTTTTGTATGAATTGAGAAACTAAATGGAAGATACAAGGTCTGAATAAAAGAAGGAGAAAAACAGGTATTATAGGACTAAGAATTGGGAGGACCCAGAACAACCAATTAGAGAGTATCCAAGGGTGTTCAGCATAATTATTTGCTTGGTTGGCGAGTTTTGGGGCTCTATCCTTGAGTTTGTTTTTTTTTTTTTTTATGTTTTTCTATACCAGGCCAGATTGATTTAGGTAAAAACAACATTCTTCATTTAAAAATATACAGAGTCCTCTTTTTTTTTTTTTTAGCAGTGAGTAAGTTGAGGCCTCAGTGGTTTTGGAGGAAAGAGAAATGCAAAGCCAGCAATTGTTTGTTAAAGAAGGATTAGAAACAGCTAGGAGAGAGTGAGTGAGATTGATAGTGTGGTGGAGATAGCTGGGGAGAGGTAGAGGGTGGCATAAGAACGGGAACGAGAATAAGAGTGAGTATACAAGTAAAGAATAGGACTTCATCAGGGTGAAAGTATTGGAGGGTGCCCTGTCAGCAAAGATCACCTACCCACTCCAAGAGGGAGTCAAGAATGGCAGTTTGAGGTAAAACTAGGAGATATCAGTTATGATGGTTTAGAGAAAAAGTGTAAACTGGCAGTGTAAACAAGGGCAGGGCATTTATGAGTAGTTGGGAATGGTGAATAGGAGTATGACTAGACAGAAGATAGTAGGGATGACAAGTTTTTAGGGTGCGGTCCAAGTAGTGGGGGTGACTATGTAAAGCCCTGTTGCAAAAAGTAGGGTAAGGATGAATAGACGTAATAGAATGAAGAGATGTATTAGGCTCATAAGTGTTATTACTGTTCTTCAGAAATGAAACTGAGTTCAAGGGAAGTAGGGGTGAGTACTTGCGACTTCCAGGAGGAAGAGGAGAGATCAGGCTGGCTGGCTGACAGATACAGCTTTATTCTGGAACAGTGATATGGAGGGGGGCAATCACTAGAACAGGAATGGAGAGGGTCCTGCAGGCCTGCAGTTGGGGTATATAGATGACTAAGCAGGGTCCGGTCCATTGAGGTTGTAGAGTTTGAGGGGTCAGATTCTTAACAAGAACTGATCGTTCAGCTAGGGTGTCTTCATATGGCTGAGAATCTGGAGTAGGCAAGAGAAGACTAGCAGCCTGGTGAATTTCCTGTCTCATCTGCTGGAGGACTGGAAGATAGTCATCTAGAGAGCTGGTGTCTGGGACGAGGTTGGGGCTGAGCAAGAAAGTGCGTCCATATAAAAGTTCAAGTGGACTGTACCCTGTAGCATCTCGAGGACAGACTAATTCTGAGAAGGGCAAGAGGTAAAAGTACTGTCCAGTCCTTTTTAAGTTGGTCACTGAGCTTGGTGAGGTGTGTCTTTAAAAGACCATTAGTCTGTTCTACCTTTCCTGAAGATTGAGGATGCTAAGGGGTATGAAGGTTCCACTGAATACCAAGAGCCTGAGAAATTGCTTGGGTGATTTGACTAATAAAGGCCAGTCCATTATTGAACTGTATAGAGGTGGGAAGGCCAAACTGAGGAATTATGTCTGATAGAAGGGAAAAAATGACAATGGTGGTCTTCTCAGATGCTGTAGGAAAGACCTCTACCTATCCAGTGAAAGTATCTACCCAGACCAAGAGGTATTTTAGTTTCCTGACTTGGAGCAGGAAACTCCAAGTTTCCTGGAGTTTCCCAGGAGTAAAGTCAATTTCCCAGTCCTGGGCAGGGGCAAACCCCTGAGCTTGATGTGTAGGGAAAGGAGGGGGCCTGAACAATCCCTGAGGAGTAGTAGAATAGCAGATGGAACACTGAGAAGTGATTTCCTCGAGGATAGATTTCCATGATGGAAAGGAAATGAGAGGTTCTGAGAGATGGGCTAGTGGCTTGTAACCTACATGGAAGAGGTTATGAAAGGATGACAGAATAGAATGGGCCTCTGAGGCTGGACGGAGATATTTTCCTTGGTCCAAGAACCATTTGCCTTGAGTGGGGAGGGATTGATAGGTGGAAACTTCAGTGGGAGAGTAAGTAGGAATGACTGATGAGAAAGAGAAAAACCGGCCGTGAGTGAAAGAAGTAGGAATACTGGCTGCTTCTTTTGCTGTCTTATCAGCATAATTGTTGCCTTGAGCAATGGGGTCTGAGGCCATTTGATGGCCTTTGCAGTGAAGGACTCCAGCTTCCTTTGGAAGTAAAGCAGGCTTGTGAAGAGTTTTCGTTAAAGAGGCATTAATGATGGAGGACCCTTGCGTAGTGAGAAAACCTCTTTCAGCCCATATAACAGCATGGTGGTGCAGGATATGGAAGGCATATATAAAGTCAGTATAAATATTGACATGCAGTCATTTTGCAAGAGTGAGGGCTTCAGTTAAGTCTAGGAGTTTGGTTTGCTGAGAGGTAGTGGAGTGGGGCAGAGTGGTAGCCTCAATGATAGATGTGGAAGATACTATAGCATAGCCTGCCTTTGCTGGTGAATTGTGATTAGGCCTGGTGGTACTGCCATCAATAAACCAAGTGTGATCAGGGTGAGGAACAGGAAAGAAGGAAATATGGGTAATGGAGTGAATGTCAGGTGGATCAGAGAGATACAGTCATAGGGATCAGGTGTGGTATCAGGAATAATGTGGGAGGCTGGATTGAAGTCCGGGCCAGGAACAATGGTAATTGTAGGAGACTCAACAAAGAGTGAGTATAGCTGAAGGAGCTGGGGGGCAGAAAGTATATGCGTCACATGTGAGGAAGAAAATAGTTTTTGAAAGTTATGAGAACTGTAGAGAGTGAGTTGAGCATAGTTTGTGATTTTGAGGGCCTCTAAAAGTATTAGAGCAGCAGCAGCTGCTGCATGCAGACATGAGAGCCAGCCTAAAACAGTAAGGTCAAGTTGTTTGGACAAAAAGGCTACAGGGCGTGGTCCCGATCCTTGTGTAAGAATTCCGACTGCACAGCCCTGCACTTTGGTTGTGTGTAATGAAAAAGGTTGGGATGAGTCAGGGAGAGCTAGTGTGGGAGGAGTCTCCAGAGCTGTTTTTAAGGAACAGAAAGAGGAGTGGGGAAAGGATTTAGGATCTATGGTGTCAGCTAGGTTTCCCATTGTGAGTTTATATAATGGTTTTGTTAGGATGGCAAAACCAGGTATCCAAATGTGAAAGTATCCAACCATGCCCAGGAAGGAAAGGAGTTGTTGTTTTGTAGAAGGGGTTGGGGTTTAGAGATCAGCTGGACACAATTGGCAGGAAGTGCACTTGTGTTTTCATGAAGAATTATGCCAAGGTAGGTAACAGATGAGGAAGAAATTTGAGCTTTGGAGGGGGATACACGATATCCCTTGGAGAATAAATGTTGAAGGAACAGGAGGGTGTCTTGTTGAGAAGATTCAAAGGAGGGGCTACAAAGTAGAAGGTCATCAATATATTGAATAAGGTGAGAAGCAGAGGGGTGGAAAGAAAGTAAATCATGAGAAAGAGCTTGGCTGAACTAATGAGGACGGTCCCTGAAGCCTTGTGGCAGTATAGCCCAGGTAAGCTACTGGGACTGATGGATATCAGGGTCAGTCCAGGTAAAAGCAAAGAGAGGATGGGACGAGGGGTGCAGGGGAATAGTGAAAAAAGCATCTTTAAGATCAAGAATGGAATAGTGAATTGCGGAAGGAGGTATTGAAGATAGGAGGGTGTACAGGTTTGGCACTATAGGATGGATGGGAAGGACGATTTGATTAATAAGGCAAAGATCCTGAACCAACCTGTAAGACTTGTCTGGTTTCTGGATGGGTAGGATAGGGGAGTTATAAAGAGAATTTGTAGGCTTTAAGAGGCCATGTTGTAACATGCAGATGATAACAGGCTTTAGTCCCCTTAAAGCCTATGTGGGATGGGATACTGGTGTTGAGCGGGTAAGGGTGATTAGGTTTTAATGGGATAGTAATAGGCATGTGATCGGTTGCCAGGGAGGGAGTAGAGGTGTCCCAGACTTGTGGATTAAGGTTGGGGGATATGAGAGGAAGACACAAAGGAGGCTTTGGGTTGGGGAGAAGGGCAGCGATGAGATGTGGCTGTAGTCCAGGAATAGTCATGGAAGCAGATAATTTAGTTAAAATGTCTCAACCTAATAAGGGAACTGGGCAGGTGGGGAAAACTGAAAAAGTGCATAAAAGAATGTTGTCCAAGTTGGCACCAGAGTGAGGGAGTTTTAAGGGGTCTAGCAGCCTGGCCGTCAATACCTGCAACAGTTATGGAGGCAAGGGAAACAGGCCCTTGAAAAGAAGGTAATGTGGAGTGGGTAGCCTCCATATTGATTAAGAAGGGGAGAGACTTACCCTCCACTGTAAAAGTTACCCAAAGCATCTGTGATGGTCCAGGAGGTTTCCAATGCAATTGGGCAGTGTCAGTCTTCACCCGCTAAGGTGAGAAGATCTGGAAAGGAGTCAGTCCAAGAGCCTTGGGCCAGAGTTCCAGGGGCTCTGGGAGTGGCTGCTGGGCAAGTTGAATAGTCCGATTTCCAGTGGGGTCCCACAAAGATGGGACATGGCTTAGGAGGAATCCTGGGCTGCGGGCATTTCTTGGCCCAGTGGCCAGATTTCCAGCACTTGAAGCAAGATCCTGAGGGAGGAGGTCCTGGAGGAATGCCTGGCTGCTGCAGTTTAGGCATTTTGAAGTTCTTGTGTGCTGGAGATGTGGCTGGGGTTTCTCTCACAGCGGAGGCAAGTAATTGCAACTCAGAAATACGTTGTTGCTTGACTGCCTCTTCTCTATTATTGTACACCTTGAAGGCGAGGTTAATTAAATCCTGTTGTGGGGTTTGAGGGCTGGAATCTAATTTTTGGAGCTTTTTCTAATGTCAGGAGCAGATTGGTAATAAAATGCATATTGAGAATAAGACAGCCTTCTGGCCCCTCTGGGGCTAGGGCAGTAAAGCGTCTAAGGGTTGTTGCCAAATGGGCCATGAACTGGGCTGGGTTTTTATATTTGATGAAAACTAGCCCAAACACTAACTGATCTGGGACAGGGTGGATAAAGAAAAGGAGCCTTAACCTTGACTATGCCTTCAGCTCCAGCCACCTCTCCAAGAGGAGATTGTTGGGAGGGCTAGTCGCGGAGCAAAACTGTAAGCTGGACTGGGTGTGAGGATGGGAGGTGATAGAAGGATTATAGGGTGGGGGAGTGGAGGCTGAGGAAGAATTGGGACTTGGCTCGGCCTGGCGAGGAGCAGCCTGAGGAGGAGGGGAGAGGTCAGATAGGTCTGTAGAAAAGGAGGATTCAAAGGACTCAGAGCTTGGGGTGGAGACTGAAGGGACAGACAGGAGAGAAAGGAGAATGAAGAAAGATTTGGGATGAGTCACATTGGGAGCAGATACTAGGGAGGGACCAATGTGTAAAAGAATGCCTGGACATCAGGCACCTCAGGCCATTTGCCCATTTTACGACAAAAATTATCTAGATCTTGTAGGATGGAGGAATTGAAAGTGTCATTTTCTGGCCATTTAGAGCCACTGCCGAGTTTGTATTGGGGCCAAGTGGTATTGCAGAAGATAATAAGAGGCTTAGGTTTTAGGTCAGGTGAGAGTTGAAGAGGTTTTAAGTTTTTTGGAACACAGGCTAAGGGAGAAGATGGAGGAATGGAGGGCGGAAGGTTGCCCATAGTAAAAAGGTAAGTTTAGAGAAAAGATAGGGTAGAGACACGGAGGGAGGGAGGTGGTACTTGCCACCCACAGGAGGTGGTACTTGCCACCAAGGGGAGGTGGTACTTGCCACCCAGGGGAGGTAGTACTTGCCACAAAGGTGAAGGATCAAGGCAGGGGTCCCTGCGGTGATCAGACACACCTGGAATGTGGGTGAATAATCAGGCAGGCATCCCTGCAGTGATTAGACACCAAGGGAAGACTGGCTTCCCGAGTCCATGACCAGCACCGGAGTTTTGAGTTCACAGATAAAACGCGTCTCCTCTGTCTCTACCAGAAAGGGAAAGGAACCAAAATTAAGGAAGGGAGAGATTGAAGGGTGGAAGGATAGTGAGAAAGGTTGGAGAAGAGAATAAAAAAGGCTGCTTACCCAATTTAAAATTGGAGAGATGTTCCTTAGGCTAGTCTGAGGACCTGACATTGTAGGTGGATCTCCTCACAAAGAGAGGCGAGGACAGGGGACCAGTCTCCTGAAGGAGTCTCCCTGTCCTGGGTCTCCAGCACCAAATGTCACATGAGTCCGTGTGAAGAGACCACCAGACAGGCTTTGTGCAAGTAATAAAGCTTTTTAATCACCTAGGTGCAGGTGGGCTGAGTACAAAAAAGGAGTCAGCAAAGGGAGATGGGGTGGGGCACTTTTTATAGGATTTGGGTAGATAGTGGAAAATTACAGTTGAAGGTGGTTATCTCTTGCAGGCAGCCACAGGAGTCATAAGGTGCAGGATGGGGAGATCATGAGACTCATTTTCCAGGGGAGGAATGTCACAAGATCGATTGATTAGTTGGGGTGGGGCAGGAACAAATCACAATGGTGGAATGTCATCTTTTGTGGTTCTTCAGTTGCTCCAGGCCCTCTGGATGTATACGTGCAGGTCACAGGGGTTATGATGGCTTAGCTTGGGCTCAGAGACCTGACACAGCAATGTCCCACCCCTGGTACCAATTTTCTGTGTTAAGCCATTCTTGCATTTCTATAAAGAAATACCTGAGACAGTAATTTATAAAGAAAAGAGGTTTAATTGCCTCACAGTTCTGCAGACTTTACAGGAGGCATGATGCTGGCATCTGCTCAGCTTCTGATGAAGCCTCAGAGAGCTGTCAATAATGGTAGAAGGTCAAGAGGGAGCAGGCACATCACATGGCAAAAGCAGGAGCAACCCAGAGAGTAGAGGGGAAGTGCCATACACTTAAACTACCAGATCTTGTGAGTACTCACTATTACAAGGACATCACCAAAACATGAGGGATCTAGCCCCATGACCCAAACACCTCCCACCAGACCCCACCTTCAACACTGGAGATTAAAATTCAACAAGAGATTTCAGTGGGGAAAATATCCAAACTATACCACTCCCTGGTAGAGCTGATGCATAAAGGAAAAAGAGAAAGGAATCAAAACTTGTCACTACTGAAAACCACTCAACTCAAAAATAAACAATAAGAGAGAAAGGAGCAAAGAATATACAAAACAACCAGAACACAATCAATAAAATGGCAGAAGTCCTCACCTATCAATAATAACATTGAATGTAAATGGCTTAAATTCCCCACTTAAAAGAGATAGACTGGCTGAATGGATAAAAATACAAGATGTCCCCCCAAAAAATATGCTGCCTACAAGAAACATACCTCACCTGTAAAGACACATATAGACTGAAAAATGAAAGGATGGAAAAATATATTTTATGCAAATTGAAGCCAAAAGTGAGCATGAACAGCTATACTTATATCAGATAAAACAGACTTCAAGTTGAAAGCAGTAAAAAGAGACAAAGAAGGACATTGCATAAATAATAACAGAATCAACTCAGCAAGGGAATATAACAATTGTAAATATATATGTACCAAACACTGGCGCACTCAGATATATAAAACAAATATTGTTAGATCTACAGGGAGAGATAGACTTCAATATAATAATAATTGAGGACTCCAACACCCCATTTTCAGCACTGGATAGATCAGCTAGATGGAAAATGAACAAGGAAATATCAGATTTAAACTGCACCGTAGATGAAATAGACCTAACAGACATTTACAGAACATTTCACCCAACAGCTGCAGAGCAGTCATTCTTTTCATCAGCACATGAAACATTCTCCAAGGCTGACCATTATGTTAGGACACAAAAGAAGTCTTAAAAAGTTTTAAAAAGTCAAAATCATATCAAGTGTTTCATCTGACCACCAGGGAATAAAATGAAAAATCAAAAACAAAAGTAACATTTGAAACTATACCAATACATGAAATTAAGCAACATATTCCTGAATGATCAATGGGTAATGGAAGAAATTAAGAATGAAATTTAAAAATTCCTTGAAACAAAAGAAAATAGAAACACAACATAGTAAAACCTATGGGACACAGGAAAAGCAGTAGTAAGAGGCAAGTTTACAGCAAAAAAGCCTATATCAAAACTGGAAAGATTTCAAATAAACAACCTACCTAACAATGGAAAAAGAGACTAGGAAAGCAAGACCAAACCAAACTCCAAATTAGTAGAGGAAAGAAATAGTAAAGTTTAAATTAAAGATTAACTTAATATTAATATCAAAGTGACAAACACATAGCTAATATCTTACGGAAAAGCTTTCAATGTTTCCTTTAAGACCGGAACAAGACAAGGATGTCAACTCTCACCACACTTATTCAACATAGTACTGGGTATTTTAGCCAGGGCAACTAAGCAAGAGAAAAAAATAACAGAAAATACACAAAGTTGAGACTAAAAAAACAACAAAGATGAATGAAACAAAAAGTTAGTTTTTTGAAAATATACACAAAATCAACAAATCATTACCTAGGTTAGCTAAGAAAAAAATAGCTAAGACTCAAATAAATAAAACCAGATGGAAAAAATAAAAACAAATGATCATTAGAGACTAACATGAACAACTATATGACAATAAACTTGAAAACCTAGAGGAACTGAATAAATTCTTAGGTACATATAACCTACTAAGATTGAAACAAGAAGAAATAGAGAACCTGAACAGACTTATAAGAAGCAATGAGATTTACTCAGTAATAAAACGTCTTCCAACAAAGAAAAGTTCAGAATTGGATGGCTTCACAGCTAAATTCTTCTGATCCTTTAAAGAAGAATTAATACCAATCTTCCAAACTATTTCAAAAAATTAGAGCAGAGGGAATTCCTCCTAACTCATTCTATATGGTGAGCATAATCCTAATACCAAAACCAGGCAAGGACACAACAAAAAAAGAAAACTGCAGACCAAAATCTCTAATGAACATAGATGAGAAAATCCTCAACAAAATACTATCAAATTGAATCTAACAACACATCAAAAAGGTAATACATTATGGTCAAGCAGGATTTATCCCAGGAATGCAAGGACGGTTTGACATATACAAATCAACAAATGTCATATCACATCAATCCAAAGAAGGCCAAAGCCATATGATCATGCAATAGATACAGAAAAGGTTTTGATAAAATTCAACCTTCCTCCATGATAAAAAAAAAAAAAAAACTCTTATTAGGAATAGAAGGAAACTACCTCAAAATAATAAAAGTCATAAATGACAAACCCACAGCTAATATCTTACAGATTGAGGGAAAGCTTTCAGCCTTTCCTTTAAAAACTGGAACAAAACAGGATGTTGACTCTTACCACTCTTTTTCAACATAGTACAGGGTAGTCTAGCTAGAGCAATTAAGCAAGCAAAATAACAGGCATCCCAATGGGAAAGGAGGAAGTCAGATTGTCCCTGTTTGTAGATGACATGATCTTATATACAGAAAGACCTAAAGACTTGACCAAAAAACTCTCAAAACTGACAAATTTAATAAAGTTGCAGAACACAAAATTAATATACAAAATATAATATTAATATACAAAAATTAGTAGTATTTTTATACATGAACAAGTTAGCTGAAAAAGAAATCAAGATGACAATCCTATTTATAATAGCAAAAAGAAAAAAAACTAAAAATAAATTTAGCTAAGGACATAAAATCCTCCTCCCATGCTCACGGATCAAAAGTATTGTCATTGTTAAAATGACAATACTATCCTAACCAATCTATAAAGTCATTAAAATCCCTATAAAAATAAAAAGGACATTCTTCACAGAAATAGAAAAAAAATCCTGAAATTTGTATGGAACCATGAAAGACCCCAAGTAGCCAAAGAAATCCTGAGCAACAAGAACGAAGTTGGAGGTATGACACTACCAGACTTCAAAATATACTGCAAAGCTATAGTAACTAAAACAGCATAAAAAGATACATAAAACAGTGGAGCAGAATAGGGAACTCAGAAGATAATCCACATATCTACAGCCAACTGATTTTTTACAAAGTCACCAAGAACATGCACTGGGGAAAGGACAGTCTCTTCAATAAATAGTGCTGGGAAAAGTGGATATCCATATGCAGAGAATCAAAATAGACCCCCTACCTCTAACCTTATACCAAAATCAACTCAAACTGGACCAAAGACCTAACTGTAAGATCCAAACCTATAAAAGTCCTAGAAGAAAACATAGGGGAAATGCTTCAGGACTTGAATTTGGGAAAGATTTTATGAATACAACCGGAAAACATAGACAACCAAAGCAAAAATAAACAAATGGAATTATATCAAACTAAAAAGCTTAGGCAAAGCAAAAGAAACAATCCACATATTAAAAAACAATCTACAGGATGGGACAAGACATTTTCAAACTATTCACCTGACAGGGATTAACATCCAAAATATGCAAGGACTCAAACATCTCAACAGCAAAAAACCCACAAACAATGCAATTAGAAAATGGGTAAATGATCTGAACAGACATTTCTCAAAACAGCACATACAAACAGCCAAATACATGAAAAAAATGATTGTCATCACTAATTAGCAGGGAACTGCAAATCAAACCATGATGGGGTATCATCTCACCCTAATTGGGATGGCCATTATTGAAAAGACAAAACAAAAAATGTTGGCAAGCATGCAAATAAAAGGGATCCCTTAAGCACTGTTGGTAAGAATGTAAACCAGTGTAGTCACTATGAAAAACAGTGGGAAGGTTCCTCAAAAACTGCAGATAAAAACACCATATGATCCAGTAATCCCACTATTGGGCATTTATCCAAAGAAAAGGAAATCATTATATTGAAGAGACATCTGCACTCCCATGTTTGTTACAGAACTACTCACAATAGCCAAGATATGGAATCGATCTAGTTGTCCAATAAGATGAACAGATAAAGAAAATATGGATATACACACAATGGAATACTATTCAGTCATAAAGAATGAAATCCTGTCATTCACAGTAACATAAATGAAACTGGAAGATATTATGTAATGTGAAATAAGCCAGGAACAGAAAGTTAAACACCACTTGTTCTTATGTGTGGAAGCTAAAAAGCATTTATCCCATTGAAGTAAAAAGGAGAACAGAAAATACTAGAGGCTGAAAAGGAAAGGGGAAGTAGGGGAAAGGGAGAGATTTGTTAAAGGATACAAAATCACAGCTAGATAGGAGGAATAAACTCCAGGGCTCTTTAGCACTATAGGGTGACTATAGCTAACAGTAATTTATAGTTTCAATTAGATAGCAGGAGGATATTGAATGTTCCCAACCCAAGGAAATTATAAATGTTTGAGATGATGGATATGCTTATTATCCTAATCTGATCACTATACATTCCATGTATTGAAACATCACCATGTACTCCATAAATATGTATAATTATTTTTTGTCAATTAAAATATTTTAATGTGATATTTTAAAATATCAAAAATAGTGGGAAAATGTATGAAAAACTCAAAATTTTAAATAAAGATAGTGTGGTACAATAAATAATATATATTTGGCTTTTGTCTCTGCATTCCTGGCACAGAGCTTCTAAAGTCTTTGGAGTTTCCTGACTCATTGGTGCATCTTTTGTTATTCATAATGAGCCCCTTTCAACAATACTTGAGTTTATCCTAATGAGGCAAATTTTGGTTGGCCCCTAAATAGTTTCAGCCTAGGGACTAGTCACCAGAGGAAACAACTATGTGATTACAGAGTTAGAACTTTGAGCCCTATTCCCAGACCTTCGGGGTGGAGAGAGAGCCTTAAGGTTGACTTCAATTACCAGTGGCCAATAATTTTCAAGTATGTCTACAAAACGAAAACTTTATAAAAACCCACAAATGATGGGGTTTAGGGAGCTTCCAGATTAATGAAGCCATCGAGGCATTGATATGCTCTGCGAAGGCTTGGAAACTCTGTACCCTACAGCCCCCAAACCATGCACTATGTGTCTCTTCCATTTGGCTGTTTCTGGGTTGTATCCTTTATAGTAAACAGTAATAGTAAGTAAAGTGCTCTTCTGAGTTCTATGAGTCATTCTGGTGATTTAAGAAACCTGAGAGGCCGGGCGCGGTGGCTCACGTCTGTAATCCCAGCACTTTGGGAGGCCGAGGCGGGCGGATCACGAGGTCAGGAGATCGAGACCACGGTGAAACCCCGTCTCTACTAAAAATACAAAAAATTAGCCGGGCGCAGTGGCGGGCGCCTGTAGTCCCAGCTACTCGGGAGGCTGAGGCAGGAGAATGGCGTGAACCCGGAAGGCGGAGCTTGCAGTGAGCGGAGATCGCGCCACAGCACTCCCGCCTGGGCGACAGAACGAGACTCCGTCTCAAAAAAAAAAAAAAAAAAAAAAAAAAAAAAGAAACCTGAGAAAGGAGTCATGGGGACCCCCAAATTGGCAGTTGGTGGACAGAAGTGGGAGTAGCCTGGGTGCTCTATTTGTGACTGGCATCTAAAGTGGGGGCAGCCTTGTGGAACTGAGCCCTTCACCTATGGGGCCTGCACTAACTCCAGGAGTTAGTGTCAGAATTGAATTAAATTATTGGACACCAATTGGTGTTGGAGAATTGGTGTGGAAAACTACAATTATTTGGTGCCAAAGAAAAAATCACATTTGGTGTCAGAAGTGGTATAAGAAAACAACACACGAATGGGATCAGTGACACTGTTGTGCCACGCCATAGGAGAGCCAGAGGTAAGAGAAAGAACACTAATACTGACCTCATCTCTATTTAAAATGCTGATATTTTGCTTATCATGCATTGGGGGTATTAATTTTTATTTAAGAAAATACTGCATTGAAATATTTATCCTGATTACTAAGTCTTGACTAGTAAAATGAAGAAAGTATCATTACAATAATCAAGGAGTCTACAATTGAAGCAAAGATTTGCCTCTGGATGTTATCTGAGAGAGTAGCCATGGAGAATGAGCTGTTCTGCAGTTAAGCAAATGCATTCTTCCAAGATCCCAGGGGTGTGGGGCCTTTCTCATTTGTAGACTGTACTAGCCCCTCAAAATCGAACAAATAACACTACAAAATGGGAAGACTTGAGTTCTGACAAGGCATGGGATAGGGAACTGAGCTGGGCATGGGTCTGCAGGGGAGTGACGAGGAAACCGCCACCTGGGGGCAGCAAGACTAGAAAGGGAGATCAGGACTGAATCCAGAGATAACAGACCAGCTACTCCCAGGTCCCGGCAACAAGAGCAGACATCAGTGCTTGGTGGCTCCAGTGATGGTGGCTCTGTTTAATTCCTTCTTAGAGCCTTGAAGTAATTAACTTAGAAAAGAATAATTCAAATTCCATCATATATATGGTTTCAGTATCAACATTTGGTCAAAAAAAATTAAGTTATATTTCTTCACGGTGCTTTGCATAATATCTACACAGCTCTAGATTTTTGCAACTCTTAATATAATCTTGAAATCTCTTGGCAGCAACATTTGAATACCAAAGCTTTTGCTAACACCCAGAGCACTGGGCTCCAATGTGCTAGTCCAAGTTTGCTGTGTGAAATCACTGTCTTCAGGCAGTTTGGAGCAATGACTGACAGCGATGTAATTCTAGAAGCCCAAAGCTGAGGCTCTACAAGAGGATCATATTTTCTACTCAAAGCCAATTATTTTCCCAAGCTATGAAATTTTGCCACTTGAAAGATTTTTCTCCATATCCTATGCAAGAGAGTATCCTCTGAAATAGTTCACCCTGTCTACACTGCCGTCTCAGACACCTATGGCATATCAGAAGTATTATGAATCAATGGATTTTATGAGACTTGGTAACAACTTTATGTTATTGAATCTCATTTTTTCTAAACTGTCCCTACATGATTTTTTTTCTCCATATTTTGTGGTATTTCTTGGATGACACTGCAATTTTCAAAGATACTTTAACCTATCTCTTTTTTGTTTGTGTTGCTGCTGCTGTTTGTTTATCGGCTTGACCTGCTTTGCTTTAGGTTGGGTTTGTTGGGAGAGAAAGAATATAACAGAATTCTTCCACTCAGCTCAAAATTTTGCAGTTCTGGGCTGGGCGCAGTGGCTCACGCCTGTAATCCCAGCTCTTTGGGAGGCCAAGGTGGGCGGATCACCTGAGGTCAGGAATTCGAGACCAGCCTGGCCAACATAGTGAAAGCCTGTCTCTACTAAAAATACAAAAAATTAGCCAGGCATGGCCATGCACACCTGTAGTCCCAGCTACTCAGGAGGCTGAGGGGGGAGAATCGCTTGAACCCAGGATGCAGAAGTTGCAGTGAGCCGAGATGGTGCCACTGCACTCTAGCCTGGGCGACAGAGTGAGACTCCATCTCAAAAAAAAAAAAAATTGCAATTCTGAAACCTTATGTCTTGGTCTTTCCCCCTGACAGAGGGGAGGAAATGAGGCCCCTATAATTAAGGCTCTAATCAGTGTCACTCAGCTGGTTGGTGACTGAGGCAGGAATAAGAGACAGCTTCCCAGCTGCTGCTCCCCTCATTTAAATCACACAATGTCTCAACTATCTGGAAGCAAAGTTTGGTCTGCATGGCATCTACTGAATGACACAGAGTTGTAGCAGGTGTTAAAAGCTCCCCTTCCTAGAATGGTATAAGATCCCCAGTAGCTTATATAGGGCCTACAATATGGGCAAGAGACCTAGACTCCAAGTCACTCCTCTCCCTACAGGAGGCAGCTGGTGAAGACTAGTTCTTCTCTCTCTGTCAGTCACTGCTGGTCTGGATAACTTCTGAGGCATTCCTCCCAAGTCTGCTCCAGGGACCAAGGCAGGTGGAGGTCCCCCAGAGACCTTCCACATCCTATAAAGGCATTTAGTGTCCACCCTCCTCCTGTATCCTTTGGCTGCAAAACACTGTCCACAAGCATCACCCCATGCTCAGCCCCTCTGGGTCTCTAGGAAGATAAATCCTCTCCCCACCCCTGCAGAGCAGCAACTCCCTTCAGCCCAAAGCACTGGCCTCTATTCCCTATCAGGTTAGAATCTCCATTAAGGGGCCAAAAATGCAAAATCTGTTTCTTTCTTATATGTTGGAATCCTCAGAAGCCTCTGCATCTGAAGCTTCCCCTCCCTCCACCCACCCTTTCCCCAAACCCCAGGTATGACCTCTCAGTAGATCTACAGCCCTGGGCTTTAGCAACCTCCGCTCAGCACTTACAAAAAACCCTCAGAGCAGAGCTCCTACCATCCTGACCAGCTCCATGAAATAGGGGAAAACACTGGAAGGATAAACATAGATTAATATTTACTTAAATTATCTAGTCATGCCTGGATAATATGCTTATGGGGAGAACAGATTCTTACATATCAAAGGGGAAAATATTTGAAAGCTTTGCTCAAGAGACTTAAATTGCTTCATGTTAAATAATGTTTTAGGATTATGTATTCAAAACAATAAACACTTCAGAAGAGTTTTATGATGGGAATTTTTATACTTGCATTAAAAATAAGGTGAATTTTAAAAATTTTCTCACTTTATCAAAACAGGGGATCTGTTCCCCTCCCTCTTACTTTAGTTTCTATTAGTTTCCTATGGCTTCTGTAACAAATTACCCCAAATTTAGTGGCTTAAAGCAACACATACTTATTATTTTACCATTCTGGAGGTCAGCACTCATAAAATCGAGGTGTCAGCAGAGCTGTGCTTTTTTGGCTTGGGGGATCCTCAGGGAGAATCTGTTTCCTTGCCTTTTCTAGCTTCTAGAAGCTGCCCGCATTCTTTAGCTTCTGGCCCCTTCCTGGCATCTCTCCTCTTGCCATCTCGGTTCCCACCTTCCCATCTCCTTCTCTCACTAGATCTCTTGCCTCCTCCTTTCATTTATAAATGACACTCGTGATTATATTGGCCCACTGATAGTCCAGGATAATCTCCCCATCTTAAGTCCTAACCACATCAGCAAAGTCCCTTCTGCTAGGTAAGGTAACACAGTCCATGTTCTGAGGATTACAATGTGAAGTCATTATTCAGCCCACCACATCCCTTCTCCAATTTGCCCTCATTTTGGCCTCCTTGACCCTGCACTCTCTCCTCTCTTGCCACCCTGGCCTCTGGCCCTTCAGCATCTCCCAGACACTAGAGTCCTTGCCCGGGCTGCTCCCTCTGCGAGGTGGCCCATTCCCTAGTGAGCTTTGACACTCATTCCTTCGCCTCCTCCAGCCCTTTGCTCAAACATCGCCTTCTCATGGAGCAGTTTTCTGGCCAACTTATTTAAATGTTCAATTCCCTCCCTTATCCCTAGACACTTCTTGTCGCCTTCCCTAATTTATTTTTTTCCCAGAGTAATTATTATCATCTAGCATATCACATATTTTACTCATTTACTTCTTTTATTTTCCATTTCACTCATCTTAAATGTAGGCTTCATGAGGGAAAGAATTTCTTTCTTTTTTTTGAGACAAGGTCTCACTCTGTCATCCAGGCTGGAGTGCAGTGGTGTGATCACACCTCACTGCAGCCTCAACCTCTTAGGTTCAAGTGATTCTCCCACCTCACCCTCCTGAGTAACTGGGACTAAATGCATGTGCCACCACACCGGCTAATTTTTTATTTTTTATAGAGGTGGCATCTCACTATGTTGCCCAGGCTGGTCTTGAACTCCTAGGCTCAAGTGATCCTCCTGCATTGGCCTCCCAAAGTGAAGAATTTCTTTTTTCTTTATTTTTTTCTGCTGAAACCCTTGGACTTAGAAAAATCCTTGGCACATCATAGGCTTTCAGTAAATATTAGTTAGATAAATAAGGCTGGGTAATTTATTAGAGAAGCTTCAAAGTTAATATCTGTAAGTTTTATATCTCAGGCTGGTTAGACTCCCAATAAAGCACTTTCCCTAACTCCGGCAGAGTGGTGAAGCCCTGGCTATCCAGTGAGTTCTGGGAATCCACTGGAAAAAGAGGGCTGAGTCCTCACTACAAAGTGCACATCATTCACTTAATTCTCAATTGTGCCAGACACCCTCTGTTTTAGTGTCCCCAGAGACCTCCCATCTTTGGTTGGATAGGAGAAGGACAGTCTTCTGGCTGAGTGTGGTGGGAGAAGGAACCCAGAGGTCAATGGCGTTTGAAACAGACTTTCAGCCAATCTTCCACATTTTAGGTGCATCTCACTCCCACTTCAGAGGTACCCTGTGTTGTCAGCTCCTGAGGCACTGGTGGACTCTGCAGTCTAGGTTTTGCTGATGCCTAAGTTCCCCTGTTACCTATTAATATTCCCTTTTCTATAAATCCTTTACCACTCACTCAATTGCTTTTCAGACTCCTAAGTTTTATTGCTGTTTTATCCCCACTATTCTTCCCTTCCTTGTGAGCATATGCCTTTAACAAATCCTTTCGCTGTTATTTAATTGAGATTTCAGGAGAGGATGGCATAGATGTGTGATCATCCCATCATCTTCACTACAGATGTCCCATGCTTACTATCATTTGGGGTCTTATGGATCAATACATTGATCCATTGTGTATTCTGTGTGTCTACTGAGTTTTTAACTTGAACTTTAGGAGAAACTATGTTCCAAATTATACTTAAATTATGACTGGCCACATTTCCATTTATGAGTAACACCTCACAATTGAAGATTGCTTTAAGTTGCATGGGCATTTTTGAATTCACCTAACTTAATCCTGTGAGGTAAATGAAGATCTGAGACTCAGAAAAATTGCCACAATATACCCAAGACCAACACAGCCAGTCAGTGGTGGGCCTAGCTCTCGAACATGTCTTCTGGCTTCTGACTAAACCATGTGGTCTCTCTTTGTCATGTTGCCTTTCTTCCTACAAAGAAGACAAATTAGGAAAATGTGTTTCTTTTCATAAATGTGACACAGCACAGAAAGCTTGCTGAAAAAATAGTCACATTCCTGAAACAATCTTGGAAGCCTCCCCACTCTGGTCTTGTGCAGGGAACATGTTTTGCTAGCCCATCAGGCTGGCCACATCTCTCCAGGCTTGCTGGTCTAGAATGCATTGTTGGTACCACCTCTCCCACTTTGGGGCCTATTGATAATATGTCTTAAGCTGAAAATCTTTCCTCTTGATCTCTGAGGTCCTTCCTTGGTCTCAGTACCTTCTGAAATCCCACAGAAAGCTTCTCCCCCCAGTCCCCATGATGCTCTCACATCTTTGCTCCCTCAAGGAGATCTGCACATCTGTTTCCCATGATTGTGAACTATGAGAAGTTGTCAGGGCCTTTCAATCAGTATAACAGCCTATAAAAGCTCGCTGTATTTTCAGTTTTACTAAATATTTCTATAATTCAAAAATTATGGAAATGGATAACGTTTCTCTTCTTTGGGAATATATTTAACAGCTGTGTGTGCACCAGATGCAAATGAATATATAGAAATAAATTGTGCATTTTATAGACTGCACTTCATATTAACTTGCTTCCCCTTCGGATACCTCAGGCCATGCTCCTGCCAGAATGCCGAAGACACTGGAGCACTTTCCAGGGGGCTGTCTGTTTCTTAGTTCCATGGAGAGAACAGGTAAGGTTCCACCCAAGCAATCTATGAATAAAAGCACAACTCCTCCTGCCTAAGCCAGTGTTTCTTGAGCTGAGGAGCAAATTGCAAAAGGTAGGTCTGACATTAGGAATTGTGTAAAATTGGTTAAGTTCTACCTCCCTAACTGTAGTTCACAGTTAGAGAATGGAACTATTTATCCAGCAGAATTTACTCAAGATTAAATGTGACCACTTAGGTTCCCGGCAGATAGATCAATAACTATGTGGTGTGCAGCGGTCATGCTTTTTTTGATTGCCCAACCTCTGAATCAGAAGTGGAAAAGCCAGTCTTTGCTCTTCCTAACATCTGGCAACTACTATGCAGACACAGGATTTGAAAAAGCGCCAATTGGTTATCTAGCCCAGGACTTTACATTTGAAGAAGTGATAAAACAAACAAGCAAACAAACAAGGGCAGTTGCAGAATTCCATTTGGTAGAGCAGTGGCCTCCAGGGTCCTGGCCACGGGGTGGAGTCTAGTGTCCTCCAGCAGTGGCTGTGGCTTCTGACCAGCCCATCTCTACTTGCATCCCTCTGAGCTTCCTTTTCCATTTCTGAGTCAGTTTTGCTGGCCTTCCCACCCTTCTGTGAACTACCCAGCAGCCCCTTGATAAGTTCATTTTTGGATTAGGATAACTTAAAATAGGCAAATTCTCATTTAGGATTGAGAACACTGATTGTTAGGAAATATAATTTTACTTGCTTTCTAGAGTTTTGGGACTCCTTCCATGTGCATCACAGAACATTATAGAGACCAGAGACATAGGCTGTATGAACTGGGTACACCTTCTCATAACCTCCCTACTGTTCTAGTCCTCATGCTCCCAATTATCCGGCTTATGAAGGCAAGATCCAGGCTGGGGAATGACCCCAAACAGTCAGGGGTCATCGTAACAATTGGGGTTGCCTGGATCCAACTGTGACTGGGGATTTTTTAAGAATCCTGTGATTAATAAAGGTTGGAGGAATACTCAGGAGACCATCGGAGGGAAAAACCACAGTTCCCATGGCCGGGTGTCCCAGACAAATGGGAATACACAGAAGGGCTCCCGCTATCAGCCCTGCATCATCAGCAGCCACTCCAGTTCCCGAGAGAGATAAGCGAGAACTCAATTGGTGATTTCACTCTGCCAATTTCTAGAGCTATGCTTCACATGAGGAGACAATACACACTTCCGTCCTACAACTGCCTTGAGTGAAATCCCAGCTCTGCCACTTACCACCAATAGGGCTTTGGGCAAGTTATTCAAAGTCTCAGTGTTCTTATTTCCACATTGTGAAATGGGGATAATAATGGCAGCTACTTCATAAAGCCGTTGTGAGGAGTAAATAAGTCCAAACATTTCAAGGTCTTAAAACAGGGCCCGGCCCAGCATAGGCACTCAGTATTTATTAATGGTAGTATTATTTTTTTAAAAAATGCTAGTTGCCAAATAAATGGTGCTTGTAGCCTAAGGAGAATGAGTAAAGTAACTGAAGTTACCTTACAAGATTACTTTAAAGTCATTACAAGAACTACTAACTGTCGTATAATGGCCTGCATCTCACAAAGAACTTTTTTTTTTTACAAGACTCGTAGTTAAGAGTGTCAGTCATGGCATCAGACGAACTCAGGCTCAAATCCAAATCTTTTACTTCGTAGTCAGGTGAATCTGGGCAACCCCTAAGCCTCAGTTTACACATCTATGGTACAAGGTTAATAATATTTCTCTCTTGGGCCTATGTTGAGGACTAAATTAGATAATAGGCACAAACAGCTTTACTCAGTGTCTGACACATGGGAAGCACCCACTAAATGATTGTCATCATTTTCACAACAATTCTGTGAGGCCCTAGGTTTTTAATTCTCATTTTCAAGATGAGGACCTTAAGGCTCAGAAGAGAATAGTAACTTCTCCAAGATCTTGTTGTCTGTAAAAGACGGAAAACGGGCCACGCGCAGTGGCTGACGCCTGTAATTTCAGCACTTTGGGAGGCCGAGGCTGTTGGATCACTTGAAGTCAGAAGTTCAAGACCAGCCATCGCCAACATGGTGAAACCTCGTCTCTACCAAAAATATAAAAAATTAGCCGGGCGTGGTGGCACATGCCTGTAGTCCCAGCTACTCAGGAGGCTGAGGCAGGAGAATTGCTTGAGCCTGGGAGGCAGAGGTTGCGGTGAGCCGAGATCGTGCCGCTGCAATCCAGCCTGGGTGACAGAGTGAGACCCTGTCTCAAAAAAAAAAAAAAAAAAAAAAAAAGATGGAACAGGGACTTCAAAGCCCTGTGCATTTTTGACAGAAACATATTCAGCCCTCCTAAAAAGCTCTCTGGTCAGCATGATATTGTAATTCTTATTTTGGGTGGGTGGACTCTCAGGCACCATTTGATTTTCTCAGCTAGGCAAAGATGTTTCCATGATCCTCAAAATTATTCCAGCTTTATTTCTATCTGTATCTGTGCCTTTTTCATGCTTAAAGTCAAGTGATCTCAACTCATAGGGCAGGTTATTGGAGTAGGGAGAACAGAAACTCGTCCCATGTCCATATCAGCCCAAGAGACAGTCTTCCTCCAAAACCGTATTTTGTTAAATTCAGGTGATTCTTCTCTCTTGCCTGTGAGCCTATGAGCCCTGTGGCTTTTGAAACCTCTGACTGAGTATACCCTTGTTAACCTGTCACCCTTCGTTATGTTAAACAGCATCATTCCAAGCCTGGGAACTTGTCAGTTTCCAGAGTGAAGAGCCATAGTTTCAAAACCTTAAATTAAAAACAGGGAGAAAATGTTCCATTCCATCCATCAGAAGGAACTTCGTCTCCTTGAACTTGCTTTCTCATACTTCATCTCTGCTCTTTGTCTGAATAGACTTGACAGAAAAATTATTTGGACGTGTCATATGCTTGTCATCTCAGACCAAGAAATTGATGGTTTAATGCAAAATGACATGACGGCCCAGGAATTTCATACGTAAACCTACCTCACACTGCTTTCAAGAACAAGTTATTCCACCTGGGAATTCTAAGTAAGAGTTTAACACTGCCCTAATCTCTTGGACACTGATTTCTTAGTGGGAGCACTAGCCCTGCAATGGAAGGGGAAGCAGGAAATATAATCTCATGTCTCCAAAGATGACTCTCTTTCCATCAAAGGAAGAAGAATCTTTATCTTCTTCAATGGAAACAAAAATCTCATTGTGTCTCTGTCTCTGTCTCTCTCTCTCTTCCCCTCCCCACTTGCTCCCTCCCTGTCCCCACAAAAATTCTCAAAAGTGCTCACAACATCCAACAACCCAAATACAAGACCGGGAGTTGGCTTATCCTGCTTTTAGGATTACTGTGTGCCAAATGAAATGGTCCAACATTAAATAATAACAGCACAGCTGGCTGGCAGGAAGCCTCTCACCTGGGGCAGTGGGTCTAGTTCCTGACACTGTGGGTCAGTCACCTGACTTCTCCAGGCCTCAGTTTCTTCACCTGTGAAAATGGGTGGTGTGTGGTGGGGAAGAGGTGGGCAATTTGATATTTAATGATGTGCTTCATGACCTCAGCTTGGGAAATTTTGGCTGCCTCCTGAGAACAAAGAACGAATAGAAAACTGTCTAAGTCTTTCCCAGAAAATTGATAATTGTTAGTTTATATGTAGAAACTATATTAAAACTAGAGATTTGTATACATCACATCTAAAGAGGTAACAAAATAAATAAAATTCCAAGTAAACGTAGAGCTGGAAGGGCTCACAGAGATCCTCTGAGCATTTCCTTATTCTACAGAGATGGAAGGTAAAGTCCAGAGATATGAGGAGTCAGAAACCCACATCCCCCAGCTCACCGTCTCCGGCTTTTCCCACACACAGGGGGCCTGATGCTGTCTCCCAGTCACCTGGGTTAGAATTACAGTACTCAGCTTGAGAACTAGTGTTCTCTGAACTTTTTGGCAAATGGAATCTTAGAAAGAGAATGATGAATGGATACCCATAACTGCCCTGGAGAGGTTAGGTGGAAATCTCTCACTTATGCATTTTTATGGGTACAAGGGGAGAAACAAGAAGACAGATCAACCGGATGTTTTTATTGGGGAAATGGCCCTGATAATTATCTCAAGATAATGAAGGCAGTGCTGTCAGGGAAAAACAAGCCAAGGGAAATTACATCTTGGGTGAAGCATTCTGCCTTTTCTAGGACTCTTGTCATTTATAAATGACATCGTTTCCCTGAAAATCAGAAAACAAAATGTGTCTCATAGGGTCTTAGTTAATAATTATTTCTCCCATTGCAAGTGAAATTAATATGCTCAGATGTAAATATACTAATCTTTCCAGCTGCTGCTCTAACCTGATTTTGTCTTCAGGTCTGAGTGTGTCCAAAGCCTGTCATGCATCAACATTAACTGTCCTCCATTACATTTTATACATAATTGTTTATTTAACTGGTGGCTGCTTTGCTCACTAGGAGTGCTTATATTATAAAACGAATTAAAATCAAATAACTTCATGAATAAAACAGTGATACAAACACCAATTATTGTTTTGCCAGCTTTTACATATATGGCAGCCTTAACTGTTACCTAGAGCCATCCGTTAAATAAATCAACCATTGCACATTGACAGGCAACAAAGAATGGAAAAATTCTGTTGCAATTTGACATAAGCAGAAAACCAAATTCACAGTTGAGAATGTAAGGAAGGTGGAAAAGTCAGTGTGCTAATCCTCCCAACAGCTAACCATTCTTTTCCTATGTGTTTGGATGGGAGCCAAACTGTCAGCTAAACCATAAGCAATATGTTTTAATCATATAAACCTTTAGACAACACAATTATGTAAGAGGACACTTGGGAGGAGAAAGATTTAATTCCTTCTTCATTGTTTCACCAGAAAGATGTTAGATAGTTCTAAACTCCACCCACTCCTTTTCATGCACTATTTTAATAATGACTGAATTTATCTAAGTACCTAGCTTTAAAAAATGTGGTTACATGTATTTTGGAAACCAAGCCAAGAAATACAAGACCTATAAAATCCTGAAGCATATTAAATGACGGTTCCTTTTGCCTTAATCCTCCACCGCAAATATCAATTAAATGTAATTATATTAAACAGGATCCCCTGAGAGCAAATAAAGATTTTTCCAGAACACAAATTGCTACCCAGGTGAACAATATATAATTTTCTCACATACACAGACAAATACAGATGTTATACTCCAGAATGTAATGCAACAAATGTGTTTACTATAACATATACATTTATTTTTTTTCTTCGCTACCAAAATGGCAAAGGGCCAAAAAATACAAATGAAATATATGAGTTTTTCTCTTTTCTTGGATGAGAGGATAAAGATTGCATTTTATATTAATAACTGCTAATTAAAAGGCTATTAATCTGACAATAGTAAATTAATGAACTCTGCTAGAAGCAAATGCCAGAAATAAACTTGTAAGTTTTGACAAAAAAAAAATATTTAAGCAACGCTTTTTCTTATTAAAAGCAAATGTTTTACTGAGCTAACTATGAAAGGAAGAAATGAATCCACAAATAGGAAAATGAAAACAGGTAGGATAAGACAGACTTGGTTAACCATTTTAGGAGCCAGCTATTCCATGCCTCTGGAAGTGAAAGAACAGGAAGTGGTGAGGCAGAGGACAGGGGTGAAAAACAACTTTCCCAATTATAAAAATGAGCTGCCTGCAGATGTTTGAATTCAAAAATCCCAAGGAATATATATACATATATATGTGTATATGGATTGAGAGAGAGATTGAGAGAGAGGGTCAGCTCTGTAGCCCCAACTAGAATGCAGTGGCACGATCATGGCTCACTGCAGCCTCCACCTCCCTGGCTCAAGTTATCTCACCTCAGCCTCCCGAGTAGCTGGGACCACAGGTGCCCACCACTACGCCTAGCTAATTTTCTTCCTTTTTTTTTTTTTTCCCAGGCTGGTCTCGAACTCCTGTACTCAAGCAATCTGCCCACCTCAGCCTCCCAAAGTGCTGGAATTACAGGCGTGAGCCACCACGCCTGGGTGAAATATTTCTAAAGAAAATTTTCTTTTTCTTCTGCAGGAAAAAGGAACAAATGCCATGCTCATGTTCTTTTTCATTACGTGATATGTCAGGTATGAATTTCTTCTGTCAGATGTTTTTAGGAATAGAAATTTAATTCATTTCTGGTGTCGTATGGAAAACCTTGAAAAATAATCAATTTAAGATTGAATGTGCTGATACGTCAAGTATTTTTAGTGTTTGCTCTTTTAAAAGTAATAAAAATAATTTTCTATAAACAGAATCTTGGAAGCATAGGCACTTTCCTTTTCCTACTGCTCACTCCCTTCAGATTGGAATCTCCCCTCTGCCCCTCAATATTGACTTTCATAGTAAGAATATCCCAATGTCAGGTCAGGCAATGCCAGAGGGAAACAGAAATTAGGTCTTTTGAATCTACTGATCCCCAGCTTTCTCAGCTAGAAAATGTCAGAAGTAGTCACTAACAACCCTTCTCATATTAGCGATTCTAGGATTTCTCATTAAATTGTCAAATAATATGACCTTCAGATAGAACTCCCCCTGGTGAAACAGATGCTGTCTATACATGCTGGTGTACAGAGCTGTCTGTTCCTCTCCTTCTTGGAGCCCAGGGAAAGTTCTGCATGAAACTTGGCTTGAGGGATCTTCTTCCCTGGCAGAGATGCCCCTCAAGCTCTTAGAAAGACTCCTGAGAAGATGGGGCATCCTGGTTCTGTTGAGCTGATCCTTGGGGAGTCCAAGGACCAGAAAGAGAGTATCATTCACCCTGACTGATGGACAGCACTGCCCTTCTCCCCAGGCCAGCTGTCCTGGAATAGGGTGGTGAGGCGGATGATTCCAAAAGGACCCCTTTTCCCTTCCTCACATTGCTGCCCTCTCCACTCCCCTTCCCTCATCCTCAACACCCTTAACTCCTTATTTTCCCTAAAGTTTCTTCTTTTCTCTGTTAGGCGTACTAAGCCCCAAGCTCCCTGCTCTGTCTTGTAAATCTTGACAGGCTCTTCAGCATTGGATAGTGAGTTTTAACTCTTCTCTACTGCCCTGCTCTGCAGCTGGATGGGAATGTGGGGCAGCAGCTTCCTTCCTAGGATGGCAAAGGAGAAGGAGGTTGGAGAATGGCCTTGCACACTGGGAGATGCCCTCCTTCCTTTCCACCCTTCCTGCTCCACCCACCTCCCTCCCTTCTTCCTTCCTTTACTAGGGAACCTCAGAAAGACTAATCACACCTTTTAGTTTATGGTGCATTCTCTATACGGATCCAAGGAAGGCTGATCTCTTAGTTACTTAGTTAGTTAGTTAGTTAGTTAGTTAGTTATCCCTTGTCTCCCATTCTCTTTTCCTTTTCCCCTACTCACGCCAGTTAACCATTCTAATGTTTAATACAAATCTTGTTATGTATGTTCTTACAAATTTCATAAGGTACTTCTCTGTACGTGTCTTTTAATTTATCTGAGTGGTATTATAAACCTCATGTTACTTATAATTGTCATTCAGCATCTCAATTTTAATACCTTGTCTGCTGCTTCTGCCAGCTGCATAGCACTTCATGGTGTGCAGGCACGATATGGCACCTGGGTGGTGATGGAGCAGTGACTGCCTCCACCTACCTTCAACCACACATAGCATTGCACATGTCTCTTTATGGACACCTGTGAGAATATATTTGGAACACATCCTCAGGAGTGGAATGCATTAATGTAACTGAGTTCTGCCAGGTTGCTCCCTAAAAAGGCTGTGCCAAGTGATACTCCCACTTATGGCACACAACTGTTCTTCTGTCTTCACCTCCCTAACCGTATCTGGTACTTGGATGCAAGTTCATTAAGAACGATATCATATTTTATAAAATAGAAGGAACCTTCTCTACATTCTTGGGTCCATTGCTTCCAAAATTCTTCCCAAATTTTAAAAACAATGGTGTATATTTGACTATATAGGAGATATTTTCTTTTAGAAAGAATGTGATAATACTATTAAATTGCAAAAGGAATAGAATGAAAATTGCACTAGCTCAATCTAAATAGTCTCCAAATGTTCTATACTAAGAAAAAAAATAAGTGATGTGCAAGGCTCCAGAAGAAATATATTAGGGTCTCTTCTGAAGATCTAGCTTGAAGATAGTCTCACCTGTCTACCCTCTCATCCATTCCATCTTAATTCAGTTTCCTACTGAAAGCTTTCCCTAACCCCCCAGGCTGGATAGGTGCACATCCTATGTGTCAGATCTGCCTGTTAGCTTGTCTGTCTCTCACCCTAAATTCCATTAGGCAGACTCCATGAGAGCAATGCCGCCTGTCTTGTTCATAACTGAATCCCAGTGTCCAAAATACCATCTGAAACATACTGGTCAAAATACCATCTGAAACAATTTAACAAATATATGTTGAATAAATGAATGCATAAACAAGTAAATTGATTTTGGGTTGCCACACCCTAATGCAGGGTTTGCTATAGGCCTTGGATTGAATTAATAAATGGAGGCATGAACAAATGACCAATTCTACCCCCTTTGTTCTCTCTTCCCTTCTCTCCTTTGGGCTCCCCCATCAGATCTTCCTCCTTGAGTTTTGCCACATTCCAGGTGGGAGGACAGGGCTGTCACTAGCATAGCTTTAACTCACTTTACTGTCACTTGCCCCTTTCTCACTCCAAGATGGGGGAACTAAAAATGGCCCATGCTCATTGAAAAGTTGTGCACTCCAGGGAAGGAGTGAGAAGGCACAGCCAAGAGGCAACGTTCCAACTTAGTGTGCATGAGTGGGTCCCTGCAGGGCAGGCCGCCTAAGTGCACACACACCTTGTCTCCTTTACGCTGTCTGTTTTCCTCTTCTCTCCCCTTTCCCCTCCTCCCCGACAGGCTTTATTCTTCATGACTGTCTAAAGAAAGGCTGGTTTAGGGATGGAGGTCCCCTGATTACACACAGATCTATACATGCACATACCAAAGAATGCATATAATCATATTTAGACAGTTTGTTTTCATATTCTATATAGTTTATGATGATACAAAGTTGACAGTTTCTAGGCATCATTTTCCCTAAATAAGCCCTCTATATTTTTCCTGGATGTGAAATACTGTTTTCACAGCCAGAAAAGAGCACTTGAGAAATTCTTGGGAACTGAGTGGTGCTTCGGGCCATCTTCCTTGGTTAACAATCAGTGAATAACTCATCTTAAATTCTGCTTCTACCTAATTAAAATAAGCAAGGGAGCCTTTTGAATTAAAGCCATCCCACTTAAACTATTTGGACCAGAGAATTTGAACATTTGATAGCTCAAGCCTAAGCCAGTTGCATTCCAAATATGATAATATATTTTCTTGTGCTGCAGATAGAATCTGCTTGATGTTTTCACTGATGGTCTCTCACCTCACTATGTCAACCTCAGTATTCACGCAGATTTGCAATGGGACATTGACAGCACAGATTTCAGAACCCTGACTCACTATTCACTTACAGAATTTTTAAAAAGAAAGCATTTATGCTAAATTTATGATCCTTGAGGACATGGTCTATCACCTACAGCTGTTAGCACAGAGTCTTACTCATATAGTAAGATATCAAGATTGGTTTTCTTATTGATAAAATTTTTAACAATTGAATTAGTACTATTGTTAATGCTGGCTCTACCTTATTAGGTTGAGGACAGTTGTCCGGACCTGTATGGAGCCCCCTCTTTCCCCACCTCAGACATTATTCAAGTAAGAGCCCTACCTCCCCTGGGAAGGCTTCCCAAACCCTTTGGGGTCCTTAGAAGAAAGGATCCATTTAGAGGCAAACTAAATAGCCTCCATTTTCAGTAAACCAGATTACCCAGACCAGCAGAGAGCATTTTATTTAAAAAGAAAAAAAATACATTAGGCAAGCAGATTTTTTAAGAAGACCTCCATCCTTGGAAAATAAATACAGTTTTATATCTCTATGCCATGGAATTTTCTCCAAGTGACTTGAGCCAGAGGATAATTCTGCCTGTAATTGAGTAGTATGAAAACCCTCAATAATGCCACTGTATAAGAGTGTTCAGCTTCCCAGGCGCTGCCTTCTAGATACTTAACCTCCTTGGAGAACAAAAGGATGGGTTTGCTTTGGCCCAAGTGATTTGGGTACACTGGGATTAGTCATCAGATCAGTGCTCCAACTCTAGATGATTATAGGTGCCTTATGGAAATGTATCCCTTAAGAGAGGACGTAAATGCCAGCTTAAATTATTTCTGGAAAAAAGTAGGGAATACATACATACATACTATATGTCACACGTTCATACGCTAGGCATAAAAGGAAGACCTGAAGACCCCAGAAATTCAGTCTGAAGTCCAGTCTGAAGATTAAAAATAATAGCTAGCATTTATTCAGCAGTTATCACTGTTCTGAAACACTGTTCTAAGCCCTTTACATATATTAACCCATTTAATGCTATCACTGTCCCTGTTTTACTAATGCAAAAACCAAGGCACAGAAGAATTGAGCAACTTACTCAGAGTTACATAGCTCGACCAAGGTAATTTGGTTCCAGGGCTTTCTTCTGTGTTACTTCCCTAATTCTGCCTTCTCTAAGCACTGCCCAGTTTAGAACACAGCTTTGCAGTATACACAACCTGTGCTTAATTCTGCTCAAACAAATAGGCTTTTTCTGGCACTCCCCCTTGAACCCAGCAACGTGTTGAGTTCCAAGGGGACCTACAGTAGGCACATAAAGTACAGCCCCTGCCTCCCAGGACCTCGTAGTCTAGGGTAGAAAACGTGGCAGAGCTTCTGACCAACAAGAGTGGTGGGCAACTACCCAGCTGTCTCATCCCCCTGGAAGGAGGCAGAAGAGATTCTGGGCAGGACCTCTGCTTTCTCTCTCAAGCCCAACCTGATTCAAGCTGATGACCTGCCCTTTTACCCCACCCAGGACTATCCCCCTGGAGGCTGAGAAGCAGTAAGCTGGCTGAGCTTCCCACCCAAGCAGGACAGGTCCAGAGTGGCTGCTTTGCAGAATAGCTTCCATTCAGGAAGTATCCTGTGAAAAAAGTAAAGGCGAGAGCTAAAATGAATTAAGGGGACATCCTAGCCTCAATAAAAGAAAGAAGCCTGCTAACAACACGTCTGCAGAACCCCAGAATTGACGGCACAATCACATGGGTGTGACTCCTCAGATGAGGAGAATGCCTCAGTGGTTGTTATTCTGGCATTTCTCCACCATCCTTTTTTTTTTTTTGAGACCAAGTCTCGCTCTGTCGCCCAGGCTAGAGTGCAATGGCACAATCTCAGCTCACTACAGCCTCTGCCTCCTGGGTTCAAGTGATTCATATGCCTCAGCCTTCCAAATAGCTGAGACTATAAGCGTGTGCCATCACACCCAGCTAAATTTTGTATTTTTATTAGAGATGGAGTTTGCCATGTTGGCCAGGTTGGTCCTAAACTCCTGGGCTCAAGTGATCCACTCACCTCAGCCTCCCAAAGTGCTGGGATTATAGGTGTAAGCCACCATGCCCAGCCCATTGTTCTAATAAGTAATTGCACTGACTTGAATGCCTTGGTTCACAAGAGCCACGCCACCTGCCTTCTCACAGCTTCTTCAGAGAACCCACACAACTGGCCTAAGAGCCAGGCCTGCAGCCCACTCCCTGCCTCCATACCTTTCTCTTAAAAGCTACTCAGGAGGCTGAGGCGAGACGACAGCTTGAGCCCTGGGCAATATATCAAGACCTTACCTATTTAAAAAAAAAAAATAAAAAAAAAAAGCAAATTTGAGTCTTTTTCAGGAATTTTGAAGTAAATGTTTTTAGTCTACCACAGATCATTTACAAATGTGAAGCTATCATTTAAAGTGCACCTGACATCATATTGCACAACTTCAAACTATATTACAGGTCTACAGTGACCAAAACAGCACTGTACTGGTACAAAAATAGAAACATAGACCAATGGAACAGAATAATGAACCCATAAATAAAGTCATACACCTACAACCATTTGATCTTTGACAAAGTTGACAGAAATAAGCAATGGCAAAACGATTCCTGATTCAATAAATTGTGCTGAGATAGCTGGCTAGCCATATGCAGAAGAACGAAACTGGACCCCTACCTTTCACCATATACAAAAATTAACTGAAGATGGATTAAAGACTTAAATTTAAGACCAAAACTGTAAAAATCCTAAAAGAAAACCTAGAAAATATCATTCTGGACATCGACTTTGGCAAAGAATTTATGACTAAGTCCTCAAAAGCAATTGCAACAAAAACAAAACTTGACTAACAGTATCTAATTAAACTACAAGGCTCTGCACAGCAAAAGAAACTGTCAACAGAGCAAACAGACAACCTACAGAATGGGGGAAAATATTTGCATATTCCACATTCAACAAAGGTCTAATATCCAGAATCTATAAGGAACTTAATTCGACAAGCCAAAAACAACTCCATTTAAAAAATGGGCGAAGGACATGAACAGACACTTCTCAAAAGGCAACATACAAGCAAACAACAAACATATCAAAAAATGCTCAACATCGCTAATCATCAGAGAAATGCAAATCAAAACCACAATGAGATACCATCTCACACCAGTCAGATGGTTATTATTAAAAAGTCAAAAAAAAAAAAGATTCTGGTGAGGTTGCAGAGAAAAGGAACCTTTGTACACTGTTGGTGGGAGCGTAAATTAGTCTACAGTGGAAAGCAGTTTGGAAATTTCTCAAAGAACTTAAAAAACTACCATTTGACCCAGCAATCCCATTAGCAGGTATATACCCAAAGGAAAATAAATCATTCCACCAAAAAGACCCTCATATGTTTGCCACTGCACTATTTGCAATAGCACAGACATGGAATCAACCTAGGTGCCCATCAGTGGTGGATCAGATAAAGAAAATATGGTACATATACACCATGGAATACTACACAGCCATAAAAAAATAAAATTATCTCCTTTGCAGCAACATGGATGCAGCTAGAGGGCATTATCTTAAGCAAATTAATGCAGGAACAGGAAACCAAACACTGCATATTCTCTCCAATAAGTGGGAGCTAAATACTGGGTATTCATGGACATAAAGATGACAACAATTGACACTGAAGACTACTAGATGGGGGAGGGAGGGAGAGAACTAAGAATGGAAAAACTACCCTTCAGGTACTATGTTCACTACCTGGGTGACAGGATCAATTGTACCCCAAACCTCAGCATCACACAAACCCACACATATATCCCCTGAATCTAAAATAAAATTTGAAATAAAAAAAGAAAAAGAGTGTGCCTGAGATAATATGTGATGAGCAAGACTTACATAAAGTATACATCAAAAGATGAATATTGACTATGAAGTAAGCTTCTTTTGTGGGTTTGAAAACACAATTCAACCTCCAACCCCATTCCTCCCTCAACCATACACACTCCATCTTGTTTCATTTTAAGTCAAGATTATTTTTCCCAAGGAAAACATTTATTGTGTGTTTACTGCATTTGCTTATCTGGGAGCTTATTAGCAGAATTCTCTCCAACAACTAAAAATTTGTAGGGTTAATCTGATGTTGAACAAAAAAATGGTTTTATAAACATTTGGGATCCCCATCACCTCCTTGTTCTTGGCACTCCGTGAATCACTGATCCACATCTCCCTGGGGCTTCTGATGCTGCTGACAAGAAGAAACTGCTGTTTAAATTACATCAGGGCTGAAATGAGCATCCTGAGTCAGAGCTCCAACCCACAGAGGAGTATCAGCTCCAAGGAGGCACATCAGAGCTGACAGTTATCTTAAGGTAAACAGTTCGACTGTAAAGTGCAGTTTTATGGCCCCAGTAAGTGATTTCCACTCAGCCTCACAGGTGTATGTGCATATTTTTTCTTTGTTGAGGAAATTGTAATATCTTACTCTTAGCACCACAGAATCTCCTCTCCCAGAGAGCACATTAAATGTCCCTCCAGTTTCCAAGGCTTAATTAAGAGCTTTGTAAAATCAGCTACATATTTTTACCCAGGTGGTTGCTAAGCATGTTGAATGATTCTCTGCCTACAGACACTTCCAGTCAAGAACCCATTCAATTGCGTATAAAAGGGGATAAAAAGGACTTTTCTTTCTTGATTTTTTTTTCATCATGTCTTATCTAAGGTAGTGAAAATTAGATCACCATTAGCTGGCATGTTGGGAGTATCGAGACATCTAAAACAACTTACATGTTATCCCTACCAAATGCCCAGGCCCTGATGTTTTAGGACCCTTGTTAGAAGGTGCACTTCTACCTCCAAGCATCACCTTTAGTTTACCCTCTAGAGTGTGACCAGATAAATCTCAGGAAAGGAAACAATTTCCTCTGGTCATTAGCAGAACAATAGAAAGGCAAACACAAGAACCACAATTGCCCATGATTCAGTACTTTGGGTGTTACCCTCCACTTACTATCTTTAATGAACTGTGCTAATTCCCAGTAAATGTTCTTATTTTCTATAAAAGGACATATTCCTAATATCTATACTGTATACTATAGATATTCAAGATATTCAAGAAATATCGTTTAAATGAATGTTTAACAACTCAGGTGGGGGTGGAAGAGATTTTTCTTAATAATTTTTTGAAAAGCAGCCAGTCCATAAATAGGCACAGTCTTTATTATAATCAAGGCAGATGTTTGGCCCCATCTTTCTCTTCCCTTCCCCAGACATTCTGCTTAAAATGTCTCTGTCTGATTCCCCTGTGAAGCTGCCTTCACTCTTAGGAAGAGAAAAAGCAAAATAGGAAGGACCAGATTCAAGAAGCTCCTATTCTTCAAATGCTCACAACAAATTTTCTTAACAATGACTTTTTAAATATGTAGATGCTATCTATAATTGCTTTCTTAAAAGTCTGGGGGACAGAATTGTTCTGAAGCCTTTGCTTATTAGGGAAGATTCATTGAAAGGAAAAAGAATCATCAGTCCAAATTTTCTGGATGACTTTTAAATAGACGTGAGTCTTAAAAGTTAACCCAGGATTCCTCCTGAAGACTAAGAATGCAAACACATTTTTAAAACTAATTAAATGCTTCTGGTTGCTAGCATAGTCCTTTTAAATGAGTCTCATTTTAGATACACTAAACCTTAGCTTCTCTACTTTTGACATTGCTAAGCAAAGTTTTCAACCCTCTGGTTATAGTCAGCATGTGCCTACATTTCTGCTTATTTGAAAATGAAGATTGTGAAGTGCTGAGCCCTTCTGCTTTTAGCTCCTTGATCTTGAGCCTCAATTTCCTCATTTGTGTGTTGCAGAGTTGGACAACCTCCTCAAGGCCTCAGGGGTGAGGTGGGGCTATAGGATAAGCACAGAAGAGCAAGCCAAGGCAGTTCTATTTTAATCGGACTTCAAACTTCTTCATTTTGTAAGATTTTCTTTGATCAAAAAGGGATTTTGACTTAAAAAAGAAAAAGTTCACAAACACCTGGATTAAATGAACGATGACTGAGGTCCCTTGAGATTCAAAGTTCCCATGGTGGAGATTAGCTTTACAAATTTACCAGTTGAGTAAAATGTGCAGTTTTGTGGTTGTTGAATCTTTGGTTTGGTTTGAAAAGCAGGTGATAGCTATGCCTTCTCCAAGGATGAGTTTTTGGTGAGGAATGCAATGCCCTCACTGACAGTGGTTCCTCTGGAAAGTTCTGGATCCATATTCAGAAGGTCTGCTTTAGATCATATAATAGTTCTATTTTTAATTTTTTAAGGAAACTTCATACTGTTTTTCAGAGTGGCTATGCCATTTTACATTCCCACCAACAGTGGACAAGGGTTCTAAAATCCTAACAGGTGTGAGGGGATATCTCATTTCAGTTTTGATTTGCATTTCCTTAATGATTATTGAGGTTGAGCACCTTTTCATATACCTGTTAGCTATTTGTATCTCTTCTTTGGGAAATGTCTATTCAAATCCTTTATCCATTTTAAAAACTGGTTATCTGGATTTTGGTGGGTTTTCTCCTCTATTTTCTTTCTTTCTTTCTTTCTTCTTTTTTTTTTTTTTTTTTTTTTTTTTTTTTTTTGCTATTTTGTTGAGGAAGTTCCTTATATATTTCAGAGACTAACCCGTTATCAGATATATGGTTTTCAAATATTTTCTCCCATTCTTTGGGTTTCCTTCTCAGCCTGTTGACAGTTTTCCTTGCTGTGCAGAAGCTTTTCACTCCTGGGTATATATCTCCAAAATCTGAAATCAGGATCTCAAAGAGATATTTGCACTCCTAGATTCATTGCAGCATAATTCACAATAGCCAAGATGTGGAGTCAACCCAAATGTCCATCAACAGATGAGTGAGTAAAGAATATGTGGTATATTCATAAAATGGAATATTATTTAGCCTTTATAAAAGAAGGAAATCCTGCCATATGCTACAACATGGATCAACCAGGAAGACATTATGCTAAGTGAAATAAACCAGACACGAACGATGAATACTGTATGATTCCACTGAAATGATATATCTAAAATTGTCAAAGTCATAGAAGCTGAGAGTAAAATGGTTGTTCAGGGGCTCAGGGAAGGGGGAAATAGGGAGTTGCTGTTCAACGGGTATAAAATTTCAAGTTATGCAAAATGAATAAGATCTACAAGTCTGTTGTACAATGTAGTACCTGTAGTTAACAGTACAATTCTGTGCACTTAAAAATGTTTTAAGAGGGTAGATCTCATGTTAAGCATTTTTACCACACACATACCCCCACAGACAAAGCAAAGGGACACAAGAAAATTTTGGGAGGTGATGTGTGTGTATATATATATATATATATATAACTTTGATTTCAGTGATGGTATGATGGGTGTATGCCTATGTCCAAACTCAGCAAATTATATACATTAAATATGTGAAGTATTTTTGTATATCAAATATACTCAACACTACAACATGAATGAACCTGGAGGACATTATGCTAAGTGAAATAAGCCAGACACAGAAAGACTACCACTACACGATTCCGCTTAAATAATATATCTAAAATAGTCTAAGTGAGGGGTAGAATGGCATAATAAAACAGCCTTATTTTGTGGTAGAAATCCTAGAAGGACAGGGTAGAGATAAAGAACAATGGATTGTACTTCTGTGGCTGAGGGAGGAGGTGGTTGAGGGTAAGAAAACAGCAGCAAACGAAGCTCATCAATAGAGGTTATGCAGAGAGAATGGCTCTGGAATGAAAGAAAGCATGGAAGAAGAAAAAGCAGTTACTTACCTTGGGGAGAAGAAGAGAGTTGTGAGGAGGCTTTCACTGGTAGGAGCCTACAAAACTGAAAAGAAGAAAAGAAAATGAGTGAGAAGTAGCAAAAGGAACAGAATAAGGAGGAGATGGTGACAGCTTGACATGATTTGTGAAGCTTTCTAAGGAGTGATTGCCAGTCAGAGAAATCATGAAAATAAGAAGGTAAAGATGAACCAAATACAAAAGTTGCAGTGAAAGAGGAAATGAACAGTAGGAATGACAACAACAAAAACAACAACAACAACAGACAGATAATGAGAAGAAAAATAGAACATGGAGGATTCATCCAAGGAAGAGGTTGTTTTAAGCCACATGTTCAGGAAAAGGATGAATGATTGATAAAAACTCACAACCCTTAAGATTAGCTTCTGAGTCAAACTATCACTGAAGGTTCTTATTACTGCCTCATAAATGGCCATATTCATTTCACAGCTCTCGAAGGGCTCAGAACACATTCTTAAAGCATCTTAGAGCTACAGTCTGAGGGCTAACCATGACCAGCTTTTATTCAAAAGCTTCTATACTTACCATCTGCACAGCACTACTCTCATCTTTGCTAAACCCAAACGAGAAAAAAAGCTCTAGGATTAAGAAGAAAAAGTCATCTTAAACAGTTTTTGTTGAGCTAAGTGCCCACAACTCCTTCTCCCTGTTAGATTTTTATCACACGTTTAAAAGTCAGCGAGGAAAAGGTAAATGAAGATTTCTACAGAGAAAGGGGGAATAAACTACTTAAAGAAAGAAGCTCGCATTAGGATCTAGAGAACCTCATTTTGCAAATTCAAAATATTAAGCGATTTAGATATTATGACAAGTTGTTTCTGGGAAAAGAAAACCAACTCTATTTTTTATCCATATTCACTATACATTCTCTGTGCCCACCAAGGTAGACATAGTGAGAATCCATGGGGTGCATGAAGCTAATTCAGTGCTCCCTTGAGATTTGAATCTTTCCACAGACTTCCGCTGATGCTGTCATGAAATCTGTCACTTTCTCTCTTTTAAAATAGTGACACTAGTACCCTTTATTGATAATAATGATGATTCTTATATTTATTTGCCTTAACCAAAGGAGCAAAATGGCTTTATGATTGAGAAGAAAGCATAATGTTAAAGGGTATGCATAGAGCTACTCAATAATGGCTTTAGATGTTTAATGCAAATGATAGGCTTGTGCCAAGCCCATGACGGAGTGCTTATGGGATTGTTTCCTTCTCGTGGCGGGAGGAGACAGGACCTATCGCTGTTTCTTTCTGGAATGCGACTGATTTAGATGATTTACAAACTTTGCTCCATAGAAATGCCTCTCCCTCCGCGGGCGAGGCTCTTCCTCTCTCCCCCGTAATAGAAGGGACAAAACAAAAACAACAAAGCAGCCGGGGGCAGTGGCTCATGCCTGTAATCCCAGCACTTTGGGAGGCCAAGGCTGGGCAACATGGCAAAACCCCATCTCTACTAAAAATACAAAAATTAGCCAGGCGTGGTAGAGGTCAGGAGTTCGAGACCAGCCTGGGCAACATGGTGAAACCCCGTCTCTACTAAAAATACAAAAATCAGCCGGGTGTGGTGGCGGGCACCTGTATTCCCAGCTACTCGGGAGGCTGAGGCAGGAGAATTGCTTGAACCCAGGAGCCAGAGGTTGCAGTGAGCCGAGATTGCGCCAATGCATTCCAGCCTGGGTGACGAAGACAGACTCTGTCTCACAAAAAAACACAAACAACAACAAAACAGCCTGGTAGGAGCATTGCTGAAAGAAGGGAGAGAAGAATGGGGTTCCTACAGAGGTAGAAGTAAAAAAAAAAAAAGCCTTTGGGTTTCTGCAACTCCTCTCCCTCAGCACGAGCACACAGAACTCCAGCACCCGTCCCAATGCCCCTCTCACCGACCCCAGCCTGGCCCCTCCACTGCAGCAGGGCCAGTGCCCCCAGGGTCCCCTGAATGCAGCATAGGCCTTGTCATCTTTGCTTTGCTTTCCCAGATGCTGCCCAAGCCCCGTCTCCTCAGCACAGCATTTCCTGACCTTCCAAAGCACCATTCTCTCTTCCTTCCCTGAATTCCTTCTGCATCAAGTCTGACCTGAGTGCTTGGCTCTAAGTCTCATTGCCTTTTCTTTGACTCTAGTTCAGGGACATATGTTTTGCTGTCCCACTGAGACAGCAAGCTAGAAAGACCAGGAGGCATCTCATACTTTTGTTTTCCTCATGGCCTTAGCATAAGCCTCACTCAGGGATTCCTTGCTGAGTTGAATTGATTCAAACTGAACCATGAAGAGTAAAAGTACAGAAAATCAAACCCCTTCTGAGACAAAGATCTGACGTCTTCTGCTTTCCTGAGCATACAAAGAGGGTGAGAGGCTTTCCCACCAAAGTCCCCTCTGTTCAGATTTGGGGTCAAACTGTAGCACATGAGAAAGTGAGAAGTGGTTGAGAGAATGAGAGGTCCATATTGTTTTCCTCCTACCAAATAGGGACTTTTTTTTAGGTTAGTTTTTTGTTGTTGTTGTTTTTACAGAATCTCACTTACTCTGCCACCCAGACTGGAGTGCAATGGCACGATCTTGGCTCACTGCAACCCCTGTCTCCCAGGTTCAAGTGACTCTCCTGCCTCAGCCTCCCAAGTAGCTGGGATTACAGCCGCCACTACCACACCTGGCTAATTTTTGTATTTTTAGTAGAGACGGGGTTTTGCCATGTTGCCCAGGCTGGTCTCGAACTCCTGACCTCAAGTGATCCACCCACCTTGGGCTCCCAAAGTGCTGAGATTACAGGTGTGAACCACCGCGCCTGGCCGGGGCTTTCTTCTTTCTTTGTTACCTCTTAATTTTTAAAATGGCCTGCTAGCCGGTCATGGCAGCAAGGGCCTATGGGCCCAGCTCTGCGGGAAGCTGAAGTGGAAAGATTCCATGAGCCCAGGGCTTGGAGTTCAGCCTGGGCTGCACAGTAAGGCCCCATCTGTTTAAAACACATTGCCTATAATTTTGGAGGAAAACACAAGAATGTGAGGTTTATTAAAGCCAATTTCTGAGCCTTAGACATCTTGTTCTTGTCTATGCATTAATTATGAATTTACTAAAAATATATTGTTACTGAAATGGCAAAAGTTCCCGTGTTCCCCTCGCAGGGCACGTGATGGGGGTGTGGCTCACTTCTTCAGTGCCCTGCTGCTCAAACCTCTAGGGGGAGCATACAGATCGGCAGTGGGGGCAGTGTCTAGGGCTGAATGTTTACAGCTGAAGCCCCAGTGGGCATGTATTACAGGGTGCTCTTTTAGTTTAGCCATCGTAGGTGGCTTGTGATAGCTCAGTTAGACCCCCCTGCCTTATCACAAGAACAGAGGGCTTTCTGTATCCCGGGGTTCTTGCCTTGGTGTACGGGAAGAATCAGATCACACGTGGGCTTGGAGAATGAGCGCAAGGTTTTATTGAGTGGAAGTAGCTCTCAGCAGATGGGGGAGCCAGAAGAGAGATGGTTTTCCCCTGGAGTCGGGCTGCTTGGCGCCCGGGCTCTCCTCCAACTGCCCCGGCCAAACTCCACGTCGTTCTGCCAGTCGGTGACCTGCTGGTGTGCTGGTGCCTGTCGGTGCGTTCCTCTCAATGTCCAGCCGCCCACGTGTGCCTCTGCTGAAATGCTCCTCTCCACGTCCAGCCTCCTGTGTGTCTGGCTGCTAGCGTCTCAGGGATTTTATAGGCACAGGATGGGGGAGTGGCAGGCCAGGGTGGTCTTGGGAAATGCAACATTTGGGCAGGAAAACAAAAATGCCTGTTTTCACCTAGGTCCATGGGCACAGGCCCAGGGCTGGAGCCCTAGCCAGGGACCATGCTCTTCCCCGCTTCCCTATCATTTAAAGGGACCACGCCCTTCTCTTCCCAGCACTTTCCTTCCCCATTCCGCATCATTGCTGAGTGGCTGCATTGTGCGTTATGATAGCTGCTGGGTGTCCACTGATGAACAAAAGACACCTGGTTGTTATCTTCATGGAGCCTGTACTTTAAAGAAGTTAACACATACATATAACAAAATACAAGTGGATAGATTGTATAATGTGTGAATTATATATCAATATGACCATTACAAAAATAGAGACTACAGAGAGCAGCCTTTTTAAGTAGAGTGGTCAGGGGCACCTATTTTCACTGTGTTCTAACTAAGTGTGCATGCACAACAATTATCACCTGCATATCCTCACATGATACCCTGCACGCAGTAGGTGATTTTTAACACGTCTGTGGTCCAGATGAAGAATGCTGAGGCAGGGCTGGACTTTCTTACTTGAAGATTCTGGAGAACACAAAGAGACACGAAGCATTTAGCTGCCACCTTCCATCACAGATGTTCCTGTGGCATGTTAACTTGTAACTGGATTGGCTTCTCCAGAGCCCATCCCTTTCCCCCTCTTTCTGGGGGTACCTTTAATCTCCAAGTGCTTCATTTTCCACTTTGGTGAGTCACCCAGCCAGAGGATGGAGAACGTAAGTCATTACTTTCTTCATCTTTGCAGATAATTTGATACCGTCCTTTTGAATGTTTCTTCTGTATTTAAATCTTGGCAAGGGCCTGCTACATTGTTTGCAATTCTTCTATTCTCATTGCCAGCTTTTTCTGGAAAAAGTCAAAAAGTACGATGCAGGACACATCAAGCCACAACCACTTGGCTCCCTGGTGGTATAGGGTTTTCCCCATTCTCCTGCCGCCCTCATTGGCTCCCAGCTCTCGCTCTTTGCTTCTGAGGACACTTCCTGGAGACTCTCCCCGGGTACATAGTCTCTTGCTGAGGCTGCTTGAGAACATGCTAATCCCTTTCCTCTTTCACACCCCCAAAATTAAACATTCCACAAAAACTCTTCTTCAAGGTGAGACTGATTGGCTTAACCTCTGACAGGTTTTCTACTTGTGTTGACGTGAGTGACAGAGAAAAATTAGATGTTCTCCAACAGGCTCTCTAAGAACACAAAGAAAGGAAGCCCCTTAATCTAAACCAGCCCAGAATTCCAATGGTCCTGCACCCCACACATTGTTAGAGCTAGCTCCTCTAATAACAAGGGGGAGTTGTTGAACTTCCAAAAGATAAATTAAGTTACCATTCGCTGCCCAGTGCAGCAGTTAGGGGAGTTTTCCCAACTGATCCAAGCCAATCCTTATGTAAAATGAGAGTTATTTACCAACATTCAACAGTAACTACATTAAAATATAAGCCTTGGCCCTTGAGTCAGAGTAAAATTGTTTCCTTGACATTTGGGTTTGAATGTTTTCAATATATTAAAAAAGACTCTACAGTAAAATATTGACACTGTATTTGTCAGCTTCATGTCAGTCCCTGAAATATTTCCTCTGAATAAACAGTTTGTCACAGATTTATTTGTAGGTGGCATTAGATTTTTATTCTCTAGTGCATCCATTGAACATCAGGAAACATTTCCCAAATATAAGAGACTAGTATGTTATGAAAACAGAAAACAAAATGGGGAGTTTAGACTATCCCTAAATCAAATGCCAAACATGTAATTGAATAGCCTATTTGATTCAATTACTGCAAAAAGGGTTGCATCAACAATTCAGCAATTCAGTCATGGGTTTGGTAATGAACTTGAAAATGTTCAGTTTTTTTATACTGCCCAGGCATAACCAAAAGATATGTCTTTTCAGTATAGATTTATGAAGACCCAGCAGTTATGATATTAATATAAGCACAGTAGGGAGCCAAATCAGGGAGTTAGGTACCCAAGTGGATTTTCTTTTTCTTATCAGTTTTGGAATTTGACATAATAATCAGGTTAGGTGATTTGATCAGTTACAAGTTTGTCTCCTTGACTGTTCTTTCCAGTCCTAACCCCAGGAACATGGAGCTGCTGTATGTAGTGACTTGACCGAAGGCTACGTGTTTTGTCGCCTAAAGGTATGCCTTATATTTTTTGAAAACCAAGTATGTAGCAGTGATCATTGAGCCAGTACAGTCTTGGTTATTGCTTTCAGTCTCAGGTCAACAGAATCTTTATCCTTGCCTCACCTACAATTCAGAGCAAGCAAAGAAAAGACTGAACTGCAGGTGCCAAAATATGAATGGAGAGCATACCAATGGCAGTCGTTGCTCTCCAGGATTTAGGTCCTATTTTCTCTAAATACAACTTGGGTCATATTTTTTCTCTGTTAAAATATTGGATTGTGTGAGTTGGGCACTGTGGCTCACGCTTGTAATCCCAGCACTTTGGGAGGCTGAGGTGGGTGGATCATGAGGTCAGGAGTTCGAGACCAGCCTGACCAACATGGTGAAATCCCGTCTCTCCTAAAAATACAAAAACATTAGCCAGGTGTGGTGGCACACGTCTTTAATCCCAGCTACTCAGGAGGCTGAGGCAGGAGAATTGCTTGAATCTGGGACGTGGAGTTTGCAGTGAGCCGAGATTGTGCCGCTGCACTCCAGCCTGGGTGACAGAGTGAGACTCCGTCTCAAAAAAAAAAAAAAAAAAAAATATATATATATATATATATATATATGATTGTGTCGTGGGTTGAACTGTATTCCCTCAAAAACTATGTTGAAGACTGAACCCCTGGTACCTGTGAATGTGACCTCATTTGAAATAGGGGTTCTGCAGATGTAATCTCATTAAGGTGAGGACATACTGGATTGGGATGGGCCTTAATCCAATGACTAGTGCTCTTATAATGAGAGGAAAATGTAGATGCACAGACATAAAAGAAAGAAGCCCACATGAAGGCAGAAGCAGACACTGGAGTGATCATCTACAAGCCAAGGAATGCCAAGGATTTTCTAAAAACATGAGAAGCAAAAAGAAGCAAGGAAGGATCCTGGAGCCTTCAGAGAGAACATGGCCCTGCCCATACCTTGAGTGTAGACTTCTAGCCGCCAGAACTGTAAGGGTATACTTCTGTTGTTAGAAGTACATGGTACTTTGTTCTGGCAGCCCTTGGAAACTAATACACTGTGATTTTCATTTTTTCTTCCATTTCAATTACTTACTGTCTAAATTTCCCACTTTTTACTTCTACAGTGTCTGTCCATCAGGATTTGAAGGTTATATGTTTATTTAAAAATGTATTTTGGGGCCGGGTGCAGTGGCTCATGCCTGTAATCCCAGCACTTTGGGAGGCCGTGGCAGGCAGATTACCTGAGGTCGGGAGTTTGAGACCAGCCTGACCAACATGGAGAAAACCCGTCCCTACTAAAAATACAAAATTAGCTGGATGTGGTGGCACATGCCTGTAATCCCAGCTACTCGGGAGGCTAAGGCAGCAGAATCGCTTGAACCGGGAAGGCGGAGATTGCAGTGAGCTGAGATTGCGCCATTGCACTCCAGCCTGGGCAACAAGAGCAAAATTCCGCCTCAAAGAAAAAAAAATGTATTTGGGAAATGGCAGGATTAGTTGATGACTTTGCAGTGTAATGTTTGCACACCAAGGGAAAAGAAAAGAAACGCTTATTTATGTGTTGTAATGCACTGCTCTTGCCAAAATAAAATGAATCTCCATGCATGATATGACAGTTAAATAGGGAGTAAGTCTGCAGCAGGAAACCTGCAGCGAATGAGCTCTGTATCAAAGTCACTCCCATAGGTAAGTAAGTGGACACAGTTCTAATGTGCAGAAGAAGTCTCTGGGCTCCACCAGTGGGTTTCTCCATGACTTGTTTCTAGTGGGCTGCCCTGCACATAGTTAAGTGTCGATGGGTTGACAAACAGAGAGCACTGGATTTGAATCCTCTTCATAAAATGATCCTATCTCTTAGGGTGACCGAGATAATTAAACAATATAACATAGTGCCTGCTATATACTGGGAGCTCGACAAAGAGAAACTGCTATTATTATTATTAACTGCCAAGATACCTAACATTGTCTTATTGTAAATCACTTTGAATCCCTTGTGAAAGGAAGCAAACTAGAAAAACATTAGTATATTTCAGGAAGTGAAATTTACTAGCTATTTTTCAAGAACACTTGAAAATCTCTTGATACCCAAAATACTCCCTCACATTCCTGTTCCCTGGGCTACAAATCAGCCCCCCGCTCCAACAATTGATTACAGCTGATGTTCACTCTGACTTAAACTGATTACAATATTAGCAACTGACCTATTGACAATGATCTAGACCGTGATTCTTGTTTCTGCTCAACAAAAATAAGAGACTAATATGTTGTGAAAACATCAGAAAATCTTGTATTGCATGGCCTAAGGCCAAACTAATATTACATTTTAGCTATGCACATTCTCTTTGATCAGTAGATTAACCCCCAAATTAAGTGATTCCTATAGGTGCTAAATTTTAAGTAAGATAATGTAATTTTGTGAAACAGCTGTTTGAATTATGGCACAAATACTGTTTAAGTGTGACTGGTTTTAGAGGCAACATCTGCAAGAATGGGTCATGTGTCCATGTGTGACATTGCCTGGTGAATGCCTGTTCACCTTTGCCAAAACAGCACCCAGCTAGCACTGTAGATAAACACCCCTCACGTCCTCTCTGGAGAGTGTACAGCTTCTGTGGTTGCTATTGCAACCCCCTGCCATGATTTCTGTGCCTCCCCTGCCCAGGCAAGTTAGACCCAACACTTCTCAAAACCCCACAGACCACCAGAGGGTGCCCATCGCCTCCTCTCTGCCATCTGTGTTCGACACCCTGCCTGGAGTTAGGGTGTCCCTCCCCTTTCCCTCCCCTGAGCTAGGGGCCTTCTTCCTCGCTGCTGGGACTGAGAATGACCAAACCTGTCAAGGATGCTTCCTTTTGTTTTACTTATTTTTATTTTGGGAACATTTGACAAACAGTGAAAACAGACTGAGGATAATAGAATTGCAACAAAATTAAATACCTATGATTTGAGGAAATGAATCTGCACTCTGTCTATAATTGCTAAGCAGACAGAGACAAGAATAGCCAGTATGGTCATGTAGAACACAAGTATGGAATAATAATTGAGTTTCCCAAGTGTTTGGTGATATCAAGTTTAACCAAGTTTAATCTTATGAATGTTTTTTGTCACTTTTTTACTTTGAAATGATGTCAAACATACAGAGAGGTTACAAAAATGGTACAAGGTCTACCCAGTATACCCTTTACTCCAGGAGTTATCAGTTGTTTATTTTATCCTATTTTGTCCTATTTCCATTGTCATTTTCTCTCTCTCTCTTCATATATAAATATATATATATAATCTCTCCATATATAAACATACATAGTGATGTGCATGTATACATAACTCTATGTGCATGTATGCACAGCTCTATGTATGTTTACATGTGTATACATGTGCATGTATACATATCTCTATGTATGTTTATATATGTATATAGACATATGTGTGTATATATTATTTTTTGAACCACTTGAGAGCAACTTGTAGTTATCATGTGCCTTTACCCCTTAATACTTTTGTGTGTATATCTTAGAAACCAAGGACATTTCCTTATATAACTGCAACATAATTTTAAAAATCAGGATATTTAATTTTGTTGCAAATCTATTATCAAATCTACAGTCCATTTTCAATGTTTGTCAGAAGTCCCCAAAATATACTGTAGAGCCAATTGTTTTCCAGTCCAGGATTCCATCCAGGAAGACACATTGCATTTGGTGGTCATGCCTCCTTAGTCTCCTTCAATCAGAAACATTTCCTTAGCCTTTGCTTTTGTTGACTTTTTCAATCTGGAAGATTACAGGCCAGTTACTTTATAGATGTTCCTCAATTTGGCCTTGATGGCTGTTTCTTCATGATTAGATTCAGATTATGCATTTTTTTGGCAGAAATGTCACAGAGTGATACCATGCCCTTCATATCAGGAGACACATGCTACCAGTTTGCTTCATTTTGAGTGATAATTGACTTTTATCACTTGGATAAGGTGCTATTTACCAGATTTCTCCACTGTAATTATTTTTCCCTGTGTAATTAATAAGTAATTTGAAAGGAGACACTGAGATCACGAATGCATCTTGTTTCTCATCAAACTTTCACTCACTTGTTTTAGCAACCATTGTTGATTTTCTAAGTCCATCATTCCTTCTATAGTTACGGCATGTTATTCTATTTTATTATTTTTATTATTACAGATTCTATAATTATTATTAGCATTTTATTTTCATTTATGTATATCTGTTTTTTGGCGATTTACATGCTTATTGTGCTTTTCCTTTTCCTATTTTTTGTCCTAACAATTGTAATTTATAAGGTAATCCAGGGATCATTTATGTTGTTTTTGTTTTTCTAAGACCATTTTTTGAGGTATGATTGACATACAACAAGCTGTACCTATTTAATGTACACAACTGAATGAGTTCGGAGTTAAGTATACACTGACGTGACCATGACCACAATCAAAGCCATAAACTTACCCACCACCTCCAAAAGTTCCTTCTGCCCCTTTATTTTGTTTAAGATTTTTTTCTTTTGTGGTAAGAGCACTGACCATAAGATCTACTCCCTTAGCAAATTTTTAAGTATAGAATACAACACAACATTGTTAACTATAGGCTTTATAACTATAGATCTAGTAGATCTCTAAAATCTATTCCATTTATTTTTTACTTTTGCCAATCAGAATCCATAGATTTATATTTTATGTAATGTGTTATGATCCATTATGACAATTTATTATTATGCTTAAATTGACCCACATTGGCCAGTAGGAACCTCTTTAAGCTGATTTCTATGTCCTTTCCATAGGTCTTCACTAACTTTTGAGCACTTCCTTACTTTCTAGCAGAAAAAAGGGTTTGTGAGTATTTTTAACAAAATAATTACATGTTTGCATTAGCTATAGCCACAAAAAAATACCATTGGGGTCAGCCTCCCAATTGCATGCCCCTGCCCTAGATAGCTTGTGGATGTGAAGGGAGGGGCTACACCAGGTAGGGAGGCTGACTCTGGCACCTCGTGTCCTACAAATGATATACATTTGATACACAGAAGCCTCTGCATGGGCTTAGGGATTTGGAGTCCCTGAGTAAAAGGAAAATGTACCTATTCCATTTATTCCTTCTTCAGGTATCTTTGAATGTCCTTTGCCATACTGTTATAACAATTTCTCTACTCCTGGCATTCAGGATTTATGTGGAAGAGAAATCAGATTCAAAAAGAATCAAGGATCCTAGACACATGTTGTCCATGCCCGGGCCACCAGTGTGCACACACTATATTTACATCAGGCATCTCTGCACCAGGAGACAAGCCCAAGAGGCAGCAGCCAGGCACCCAAGGCAGCAACACAGTACAGAGGTGGGTTTCAGAGTGGATTGCACATGTGGCCCCAGATACTTCTCAGTCAGCCCACAAGTGTAATGGGATGAAGAAGACCCAAACCCCAAAGAAAATGTGGAGGAAAGTGTGCATTTCAAGCTTAAAACCTAAATTCCCATTCCACCATCACAAACAGCTAAAGTGGCTAAATTAATTATTCTCCTCATAAGAAAGAATGTTAAAAGATTTATTTTAATCTCTAATTCCTCCTCAGACCTTAAGAGATTTATGGTGTGAGTGGAGGATTTAATTGTATTACAATTTTTTTTCTTAAGATTGCATTTTCCTAACAGATTACATGATTTCAGTGTATTCATCATGATGCAGATGAATTACACGTTCTCTTGTTTGGAGGCAACAACGCAATGGAGTGTTCAATTCTGGAAAGCTGACTTCTCCGTAATGCTTATTGAAAAGAAAAGGGAGTAGTCAGTTAGTCACAGATTCAGCTAGAAAATCATATTCTGTGAAACTGTAAACAAACTGCCTCAGGGACTTTTCATAGAATGTCTTAAATCTGTGTTTGCCAGATATGGACCTTACCCCTGAAAGTGGGAAAACATAATACCCCAAATCTACACACATGATGACAGACTTGGAAGAGAAATAAATTATACCCATAATAGCCTTGATTTAATCTTTAGAGCATGGTTAGGCTGAGCAAATGAAATAAGGCCAAAACATTTCCTCACCTAACTCATAAGAAAGTGAGCCTTTTTATTTTTGCAACAGACATTTATGTTATGGTTTGATTAGGCACCATTACCCTCACCTCTCCACTTACAGAGGAATTTTCCCTTCACTAAAATCCAGAGAAGAAGGGTGGAGGGTGTGGGACAGGGAGACCACAAGAAAGACATAGTCCAAACTCACCACACTCTACCTTCTGCTATTTGGAAATATGGTGACTTTAAAAGCAATTTAGAAATAAATGTGTTAGCTTGTGGAAAGTTAGTCTTAACAGAATATAAGGGGTCTTTGGCACACAAGAGGTGTCTGATAAAGTGTGTTCCAGACGAAAGCTCCAAATTAAGTATTTGAGAATGTCATCCAAGAGAAAAAAAAAAAGCCAAATAGTTGGCAAAAACACAGCTGAATCGTGAAACTGTACACCAGGCTGCCAAGTCTCAAAGAATACTCTTAGGTACAATTTACTAAACCAACTAAATAAGAGGCAGCCATAAATTACAGATGAATGCAGATGTTGGTGGACTCTAGAGTCACCTCTAAGCCTATTAAAACTTTAAACACTCTGGTGCCTGATAGCCTGAAAGGCTGAAAATAGTGCTGTGGTGAACTGCTTATAGGAGACGTGTGTGTGTGTGTGTGTGTGTGTGTGTGCCGTGTGTGTGTGTCTGTGAGGAGAGAGAGAAAGGGAGACAGAGGTCTGCTGCTACTGGATGCCCACTCCTGCCCTGCTGGTCCTGAGAATGTACCTCAGAAAATACAATAAAATGTCTGTGAAAATCACCACATCAGGCCAGTGGAAAATGTAAACTGCTCCAAGATGAAAACTTCCAACAAAGCTGCTGAAGTCACGAAACTTTCATGGATTTTTAGAAACAAAATGCCTACATCAAAGGCTTATGTGAAACACAATTCCATTAAGCTAATGTATGAAAGCAAGCAAGCATGAACTTTTAGCTTAGGAAACCAGCTGCTACACTTCCACCCCGGAGATGAGGCTGTACCACAGGGCTGAGAGGGAGATGCTGTCTTCGGAGCTGGAGGACCCTCCCTCAGCTTGGGTCTCCTCAGACAGCTCCATTTCCTGGAGCAGTGCCATTTCCCTAGGAATAGAAAATTGATTCCCTAGGAATAGAAGAACATGGTTTTGACCCATGTTTACACTGTGCTGTACAATGTACAGAGAGCAAGCACATATGTGTAGACATTTAAAGATCCAACTCTTCTAAAATTTTGAGCATCTTTTGTTCCAAAATATGTCTTTTGGGATTCCAAGATGTAATCCTAAAATTCTGACAAAAATTTTATCCACTGGTAAAATTATGGGATTTTACTCACTTGTCTTGAGACAATAATCAGATTGAAAGGAAAAAATTGAAGAGTTGACAATCTGGAATATTAACTACCTTTACAATAAGCACCATTTATGTGTCATCCAATTATTTTTTTCTTTTTTATCTTAAAAAAGAAATTTTTTAAGATAAAAAATTGGGGCATTGCCCAAATTCCTTATATAGAATGAAAAAAAAATCAACAAGTTAAACGCACAGAAGAATTGACAGACCCAATAACCAAATGTTGCAATTTATCACTTTTCATGTATTAAAGGATGTACTGAATGTTACTATTATAGGAATACTTAATATAATGAAATCTAATTTCAGCTGATAAACCCACTTGTTAATCCAGCTCCCTGGAGAAAGCAGATGCCAAGATGGGATTCACATGAGAGGATTTCATCAGGGGAGACACCTGGGAGAACCATTTAGCTGGATAGAGTTCCAACCACAGTGCATGAGAGAGAGACAGGAGGTTGGGCAGTAGCACCCTACACTACAATAGATAATGCTGGGATAAGAAGATAGCCATATGCAAAAGAATGAGGTTAGACCCCTTCTTCACACCATACACAAAAATTAACTCTAACTGAACCATAGGCTTACATATAACAGATAAAATTATAAAAATCTTAGAAGAATACACAGGAGTCAATCTCATCAGACACTTTTCTAAACTTCCTTTTAAAAGTCTAGGCTAGGCCTCTCCATGGTACATTAGCCAGATGGGCAGATTCTGTCTTCTCAAAACTGACAACTGAAAACATAAAATAACCCAGCAAAAATGATATGTGAGGCAGACCAATGAACAAATAAGTCTGAACATAAGTATGTATTTAATCTTGTGGTTAAGAGCACAGACTCAGGAGTCACACAGAATCCCAACTGCACTACATACTGGTACTGATAATGACCTTGGACAAGTTACCTAACATCTCTGTGCCCAGTTATCACATCTGTAAAGTGGGATAATCATAAAAATACCCACCTGTATTAGTCAGGGTTCTCCAGAGAATCAGAAACAATTGTGTGTGTGTGTGTGTGTGTGTGTGTGTGTGTGTGTGTGTGTGTGTGTGTGTGTGTGTCTGTAAAGGGATTTAAGGAATTGGCTCATGTGATTACAGAGGTTGGCAAGTCCAAAATCTGCAGGGTGGACTGGAAGACTGGAGACCGGGGAAGAGCTGATGCTGTGGTTCAAGTCCAAAGGCCATCTCCTGGCAGAATTTCCTTTTGCCTGAGGGAAGTCAGTCTTGTGTTCTATTCAGGGTTTCAACTGATTGGATGAGGCCCACCAGCATTATGAAGGGCAATCCGCTTTGTTCAGTCTACCCAGGTAAATGTTACTCTCAACCAAAAACACCCTCACAGAAACATTCAGTAAAATGTTCGACCACATATCTGGGCACCTTGGCCAAGTTAATTGGACACAAACAATTAACCATCACATCACTTAAAAGGACTTTTGCCAAGATTAAATCAGTTGACATATAAAATGCTTAGGACTGTGACTGGCACATAATTGGTGCTACGTAAGTGTTAGCCATTGAGACAATTATTGTCATTTTTATTATGCAAGAGGCAATGGAGTGGCAAAGGGGCCATGTTGCTTACCTTCCAGAAGCAAGACCCGTTCTTTTACAAAGCAGTTGGGAAGGGCCTCATTAAAAAAAGGGAATTTCTGTATATTGTGGGAATGAAGAAAGAATGACTAGAACACCAAGACACTAGGGTGTGGCTTTTGGGGGAAATGTGACTAGAAGCAGAGGGCATTGTGCAGCATTAGTAAGAAAAGGGTTAGACTTTGGAGCAAAAGATGAGACCCCAAGCCTTCTTTTGCAGAGCCACTGGAAGGCCCTCTGAGGCATGGGGATCAGGTTGAATGCACTGAGCAAACACAGGGTGTGAAATAACTTTGGCAGTAGAGTTGAAGGAAGGGCTGAGTAAGAGGTGGAGGCTTTCAAGAAGAGGAGACTGTAGCACTCCACATACTGAGTGAAGAAAGACCATTTTATCCACTGCCCCCAAGAACTACAGAAATGAAAAGTAATGTCTATAATACAGTGGAAAATATGATAGGGTTTCTTGCTTAGGACTTTGAAAATTGCCTGTAGGTAGATTCCTATAAAGGGGATGATTGGCCTAATGGGATAGTGGCAGAAAATTAAGCAACTTCTTTCTACAAGTGCCATTTTCAGTTTTCCCTGGCTATGCAGCTTATCTCTCACTTGAAATAAACCTACTCCTATGAATTTATACCATTAATAAAACAGGACACTAATTTATGCTGCTCAGTCAAAAGGCTCAAACATAACACTGCATGTTAGACAATGACAAATTATGTTATTGCAGCTTAACTTCAGCAGACATTCATAATCCAAAAGAAAAAGAGAGGACAAAAATTAAGTTATGGGATCAGGGCACCAGTAAATCCTCACACGTGGGGAGGTTAAGAGGGGAGTCATTCAGAACCAAGAATTAAGAATGGGTTGCAAAACCACTTGTAGTTCAAGACCAAGAAAAGTCCATCCATGAATATCATTTCCATCCTTTGTTTGCCTGCCATCTTTTGATTCAATGGAACACTTCTTCCCCTAAATTGTATATTTTTGTGGCTATAGCTAACACAAGATGTAATTATGCCCTAAAACAAGACAGTAGCACAAACAGGCCAGCCAATTGAATTAAGCCAGATCATCCTGCCAGCCATCTCCAGGTTCCTCACCTGCTCTTGTGCTTGATGTGTTTTTATCATTCTTTTTTTTTTTTTTTTTTTTTTTTTTTTTTTTGCTTGCTTGTTTGGTTTGGTTTGGTTTTTTTGAGATGGAGTCTCGTTCTGTCGCCCAGGCTGGAGTGCAGTGGCCCGATCTCGGCTCACTGCAAGCTGCGCCCAGGTTCACGCCATTCTCCTGCCTCAGCCTCCCCAGCAGCTGGGACTACTGGCGCCCGCCACCACGCCCAGCTAATTTTTTGTATTTTTAGTAGAGACGGGGTTTCACCGTGTTAGCCAGGATGGTCTCGATCTCCTGACCTCGTGATACGCCCTCCTCGGCCTCCCAAAGTGCTGGGATTACAGGCGTGAGCCACCGCGCCCGGCCGTGTTATCATTGTTTAGGCATCCCAAGTGATTCTCAGGACAGCAGGAATAGGAAGCACTGCCCAAAGGGAAGACAAATATGGAGGAACAAAAATGGAAACTTTATGCTCCATCAGCTCCTCCCATGTAGAGACCGTTCCCACACCAAAAACCGTGAGAGATCCTGCTTGACTTTTCCCCGGGACAGGGTGGTCCCCCGCAGCCCCCTAGCTTCCACGTTGTGTTGGCGACAATGCCAACATCTTGGAGAGGAGTGGGGTCTGTGGAAGGAAAGGAGCGGCACTCCTAGGCCCACCGTCCCGTTTCTTTTGAACTGTTCTGAAGCCCAGCTCCAGCGCAATATGTGAGAGAAAGCTTGGGAACTTGGGAACGCTGCTCTTAGGGAGAAATTTAAAAGCATCCCTGACTTCTGCATTTCATTTCGGATGACAAGTTGGCTTTTCAGATCAGTCAGGGAAGGCAGGGAGGTGGGGAAGCCGTGGGAGGGAGAGGAAGCTCCGCTCTTGGAGCTAAGGCCCAGGAACTGCAGCCAGGTTATAAACATTTCCATGGCTCATCACGGCAAAAGCAGAGGATATGACCGCAGGGCCATGAGGATTGGACATATCCTGTCCCTCAACTTTATAGCTGTTTTATTTCTTTCCAGACTCAGAAAACTTGGATTGGGGCTGAGGAAGGGTGGAGAAATCAAGATCCCCATTTGCAAGAGGAACTTAGAGCCCTGAGCAGGCTGTTTGGGGAGAGGTGCTGATTCCAGTCTTCAGTGACCACATAGCCATCCGGCCATGGGCTCGGCTCCTGCGAGGGGAGTCCTCAAATGGAGGCCTTGCCTGGGCAGGGAGCCCCTGCCCTTCTCCACAGAGAAGAAACCAAATGGCCACCTTTCAACCTCCCAGGGCTTACAGGGTCTTCACAAGCTCTGTTCCCAGCATTCAAAATCAGAGCTAAATTCCCAATGGTGATCTGGGAAGAGTGGGTGGGGGTCAATAGGAAAAAGGGATTGGAAATTGACGGAGGTCTAGTTTCCTTGTCTTCAGATTTATGAACCAGCAGCACGGCGAGTCCCAACAGGCCCTGTCCTAACGTGGTGCTTTTTTCTCCTTCTGAAAGTTAGCATAGCTGAGCCAAGCTTTCTGTCTTCTTTCCCTGGAGAAAACAGAAAAAAGGGCCTGTGTCCTGCATTTGAAAAACATCTGGTGGGACTATCAGGAGAGAAAAAGCAAAGACTATAATTTAACTTACCTTTTGGGATAGTTTTTATTACATTTACTTTCTCGGATACGCAAAAAAGTTTGGCATTTCCCCATTAGTTAATGGGTTCGGAATTTTATTAATCAATGTCTAAATGTTCATAAAATAATGCCACCTTTTAAAACCAGGGGCAAGGACTCCTTCCAAATGCTTCCAGTCATAAGGAATAATATTAAAATGCAGGTTGCATATGTGCCAAAACCAGTCTTCGGGGAGTGGGGCATAAGGCCTCAATTATCCCAGTCACCTCCAGAGCCAGAGATCAAGGGCAGAAATCCATGCCAGACCAAGAAATACACCTGAGGAATGGGCCCACCAGGCCCTTTCACAGCTCAAGCTGATCTCCTCACTTCCCTCCTCCCAATCGCCACACAAAACTCACCCTATCCCAGGTCTCATGTGCCCTAAGGGCTACCAGAGCAGTTGGGTATTAATCACATATCTCCAGGGAGGGTGTTGTTGCTCAAGCTGAGTGTGGTTCTCCCTGGCGGTTGCCTGCTGTGCTTTAAGTACTGGGAAAGTTGAAAGTGTATCTTACATCCCCCTTTTTTTCTGAGTACTCACTCCTGCTATCACTTGATGTGACTGCTTTTTTAGGTCAGCTCCCCAAGCTGGTTCATAACAGATTTATTCATAATAGTCCAAAACTGAAAACAACCCAAATCTTCATCAAGTAGTAGAATCGACAAATAGAAGGTAGGGTATTTGCAATGGAATAATACCCCCAAAAAAAGGAATATTAAAAAAAAGCTACAACTCTACTCAACCACACAATATTGAACAAATGAAGGCTTCCCAAAATGTGTGATTACATTCATATGAAAGTTCAAGACCAGACAGAACAAATCTATGATGATAGAAGTCAGAATAGTAGAAACTCCTGATGGGGGATGGGTGGTGGTGTATGGGTGGCCAGGTGCCAGGGGATTGACAGGGAAGGGTCCAGATTGCTTGAGGAGCTGGAAGCCCTTCCTTCAGGTTGTGATGGAGTGGAGGCTGAATGTTTCCACATTGAGAATGACAACTAGTGAAGGAAAGCTACACTTTAGGGCTCTGCAGAAGACTTGGGTCCTACCAATTGCTGTATAAGAAGGAAAGCTCCATGAGAAGAGTGACTTGTCCTTGCTCGTATGAATCTCAGGATTTAGAATAGTGGCCTCACACAGGAAAATGTTTTTGAATGAGACAGATTTGGAATCCCTTTGCCTCCCTGTGACCATGGGTCTCTCCTTGATTCTTCCGTCAGCGCCCTCTCATGCTCACTGAACGCTCTCCCCACATATGAGGCCCTGCTGTGCCTGCAGGCCAGCGGCTACCTCCAGTCAACATGTCTAAATTGGCACACCTCCTATTCCCACCCTCAGCAGTTCTTTCTCCTGGGCTTCCTCTTAATCTTCCACACCTTCAACTTACCAAGACTTGACACTTGGCCATCTTTAACATCTCCCTCTCCCTTATATACCACAACTACTCTTAAACAAGAGCCCATCTGCTATCATCTCACTCCAGTTAAAATGACTATTATCAAAAAGACAAAAAAAAAGACCAATGATGGTGAGGACGTGGGGAAAGGAGAATTCTTATACACTGTTGGTGGAAATGTAAATTAATACAGTCATTACAGAAAATAGTATAGTGTTCCCTCAAAAAATTAAGAATATAAACTACTATATGATCCAGCAATCCACTACTGTGTATGTAGCCAAAGGAAAGGAAGTCAAATATTTTGAAGAAATATCTGCACTCCCACGTTTACCACAGCACTCTTCACAATAGCCAAGATATGGAATCAACTGAAGTATCCATCAAAGGATGAATGCATAAAGAAAATCTCATATATATACACAATGGAATACTATTTAGCTGTAAAAAAGGACAAAATCCTGCCATCCACAACAACATGGATGGAACTGGAGGACATTGTGTTAAGTAAAATAAGCCAAGCACAGAAAGACAAATGTCACATGTTCTCACTTATATATGGAGTCTAAATAAATGAATCACATGGAGATAGCAAATAGAATGATAGTTATTAGAGGCTCAGAGGGTAGTGAGGAGGGGGAGTGGGAACGAAAACACACTTAGATATTATAGAAGGAATATAATCTAGTGTTCAGTAGCATAATAAGGTGACTATAGTTCACAGTAATTTACTGTATATTTTTACATAGCTAGAAAAGAAGATTTGGAATGTTCTCACCAAAAGAAATAATAAATATTTGAAGTGATGGATATCCCAATTGTGCTGATTTGATCATTGCACATTGCATACATGTAACAAAACATCACACTGTACCCCATAAATATATACAATTATTGTGTATCAAAAATAAAGCTTAAAGAGAAAAAATGTAGAAGGAAAAAAAGAAATGTAAAAAAATTTTTTTTAAAAAAAGAGCCCATCTGTTGACATGATCTGTTTCTACTCACAACACCCTGACACCAAAATATGTAAGTTTTTTTCCACACCCACAACCAGTTCTCCAGCTTTCCAGACACCAACTGGGTATCCAATGATTAAATTCCATTCTGACACTAGGTACCCAGAGTTAATTCAGACCCCACAGGTTACGGCCTCAGTCCCACAAGACTGTCCCACTTCAGACACCAATCACAAGTCCCAGCCACCCATACTTCTGATAAAACAGTCATAAAGTCAGAGGTTCCCACAACCCCTTCCTCAGTTTCAATGGTTTGCTAGAACAGCTCACAGAACTCAGAAAACCAGTTTACTTCCCATTGCTTATGTATTATAAAAGCTACAACTCAGGAAAAACCAAATGGAAGAGATGCATAGGGCCGGCGATGGGGGTGAGGACATGGAGCTTCTGTGCCCTCTTCACACGTTGATGTGTTTGCTGACCAAGAAGCCCTTCAAATCCCATTGTTTGGGGATTTTATGGAGGTTTCATTACATAGGCATAACTGATTAAATCATTGGCCATTGGCAATTGACTCAGTCTGTATCTCCTCTTCTTTCTTCAGAGGTTGAGGGGTGGAAGTGAGGTTGAAAGTTCCAACTCTTTTATCCTGTCTTGGTCTTCCTGGGAACCAGCCCCCAGCCAGAAGCTATCTAGAGTCCCCCAACCCCCAGCCATCTCACTAGCATCCACTCATGTGTGGTTGAAAGGGGCTTACGAATAAAATAACACACTCCTCTCATCCCATCGTTCAGGGAATTCCAAAGGTTTTAAGAGCTCCATGTAAGGAACTAGAGCCAGGGCTGAAGACAAGGATATATTTTTGTATTATATCACAATATCGGGCTATCTTCTGCACCATTCCCTCCTGGCAGTTCTCACCACTATTATTTAAGCTCAGGCCTTGATTATTTCAGCTTGAAATAAACATTCTCCAGGAACCTCTGACCCATGATTCCTAGCACACAGTTGGAGTCCTGGCGCTTTACTGTTCACACACTTTCAAAGGCTCCCACTGCCGACCAGGTAAGACACCATCCTCCTTAGCCTGGCACTGACAGTCTTCTAAATATAGGCCTCAAAACACCTTTTATCTTTATCTCTTGTTACTCCCCTCCACATACCCTATACTTAAGTTAAAGGGAACCATGTGAATGCCCCAAACAAACATGTCAGTTTCTTACCCCATGTCTTTGCTCCTTGCCTTCCCTCCGGCAATGCCTTCCTCTCCCTTCTCTGCCTGCCTTCTGTAACACTACAGGTTCTAGTTGAAATCATGACCATCCTTCACAAAGACTCATCCCACATGTTGGTTCCCCCAGTGGGTGCTCCCTAAACACCTCAGTTCCTGCCCTCAATTGATTTTTTTCTATTTGTGCTGTTCTTATGTCACTTACTGTATGCTGCTTTATGGTGACTTCAGTTCCCTTTTAACCTGTAAGTTCATTTAGGGCAGAGTGCATGTCTTACTCCTCCTTGAACTCACATAGTATCTTGTCCTCAGATGGTCATTAAATGCATACCAATTGAAAGAATAAATGCATGAAGGAAAATAAAATCAAGCCTCAGCTAGCTGTTACATTGAATAAGACAATAAATTAATTCACACTTAGATGGAAATGACTGCTTAAATGATTATAGACACAAAGATATTTTCATTGTAATTGCAGACAATCCATTAACCAAAGAATGACACTAAATTATGGAACCTCACAAGGGTAGTGTTGGAGTTTCCTGGTGCCACCTAAAATCAGATCACCAACTATCCTGCTTTGGGTATGAACTGCCTTAATGATTGGCTAGGCCTAGGTGTTTCAGGGTCCCCAGGATGGTCAGGTCTCCCATGTGACCAGTGCAACCTTATAATGCCACTCAGTTGAAAGTCAAACAAAGCTGACTGTCACATCCACCCTGCCATCCACTACAATATGTTACTTTGGGAAACTAACTACCTACCTGAGGCTTGGTTTCTTCGTCTGTCAAGCAAGAATGATAGTCCTGCTTTTCCAAGTTCTCATGAGGAACGGTGATCCAGGCAGGCAAGTAGAAGCTGCCAATGCAGCCGTGAGCATTCAAGTTTCTACTTGGGCCTCCAAGCACCACAGGTATGCTTGTGGTTCTGTCTGGCTCCACGTGGCTTTGGCAGGAGAAAGGGAGTCTGCCTCGCTGTCTTGCTGGACACTGCAGGAAGATGTTTGAAGCCTCCCCTCCAGTCTTTGTGGAAAGTTATCATAGGAGGCAATTTGGGGCAGGCTCCCTGATTCTTATGACTTTCTCCACCTCTGAGTTCACTGAGACCAAAGGAGCTTTTCCCAGTGAGGAGAGAAACATTCCAATCTATTGACATAAAAATGCCCATGGGAGAGTCCAGGGGAAATCATCAGACAGGAAGAAGATGGAAGAGATTGCGTGGCAGAGGCTTCAGGAGAACACAAGGTCTCAGGGTCAAGCATGCAAAGTGAGAGAGAGAGGGAGCGTGTGCTCCTGCCAATTCCTTCTGCTGAACATGTACCCTTAGCACAAAGAGCAAACACGCACACACACACTTTAAAAATACAAAAAACAAATGGGAAGTTTTCCCTTGGAAAAAAATAGCCTCTGGCAGAAAACCATGAAGGTAATTGCTAGAGACTGGGCCCATCTCGGCCCATCTATGCTGAAACGTGGCCTCCCCATACATGAAAGCTACTGCTCGCTGGTCAGGCCAGAACCCCAGGCCAGGCCTTCCACTCTCTCTGTCTCTCCTCAGGATTCAATCTTACTGCCAACTGGCAGTGAATCTGGACAAATTGGCAGGGGCCCACCTTGCTTTAAGTGAATGCATGTGCACCTCTCAAGCTCGCAGAGGATACTCATTAGCCTGCTCCACTGCCCCTTTGAGGGAGGTTAAGGTGGCCTGTCTACCAACACCGACAGAGCCCACCTCTCGAAACCAGTCACACCCCCCGCCTCGAGGAGCAGAAAGGAGGCCTTTGCTCCCCAAATACCTGTACATAGAAAGAGCTTCTATTCACAGAGTTATATGCTGGCTTCTTCTCATGCACTAGTCTCCCCACACATTTCTGTGGCTATGTGCTATGTCCAAGTAGAAAGAAGTTCATCGAGCTGAAAACTCCCCAGAAAGTTAGACATTGAGCATGACTCTAAATATGCCCCAGGGAACACAGCCCAGAAAATTTGTTAATTAAATCTCGGTGGAAAACTAAGTCTGACCACAGTCATCTTGAGTTTAACATGGATCAGCTAAGAAGTAATGGAGATCCATCCTGTGGTCACGCTAGCCGGAACTTTGTCACCTCCCTGGGCAGGGAATGGAAGGTGCTGCCTGGCACCATCTGCTGAGGAGGCCTGGAGTCAGGGCGGATGCACAAGATTTCAAGGGAAGGACAAAGGGAAGCCTGAGGAATTGGAGAATTTCCATTTCACCCCTGCCCCTTCCCCTTCTCCTCTGAGGGGCCTGCTTTTTCGACTTTGTCACATTCTCTCTCTGACCCCATTTTAGATGAACTCTTTAAAATAATGAATTTCCTATTTGATGATTCCATTTATCTCTTTGATAAATGGAGAGGGCATCGATTGCCAAGAGCTGCCATCAACCGCCTGCCTGGATTGGGCTGGTCGGGTGCGGTAATTAGCAAATGTTTAAGGACAGAAGAGTCAGTTCCATAGTTCTGGTTATTCACAATCGCTACAGTTCTTCTTATATATCCACCAATTCCACCTCTAGGAATTCCTGCTAGAGAAACATGCAATGATTTAGGACTCAAACTAGTAACAAAAATGTTATTTATAAAGGCAGAAAAAACAAAGGTTAAAAAGTAGAAATGTACTTGAATGAGTTACAGCACAAAGGAATACTTCTAAACCAATAATAAGTACACATTATTATGTATTTATCACAAAAAATGTGTTCACAATACATGAAGTAAATAAAAGGGGATCACAAGCAGTATGATCTCATTTTGGCAAAATGAAATAGTGAAAAAAAAGTAGGAAGAGAGAAAATAAAGACAGGAGGGAGGGAAGGAAAGAAAGAATCTAAGGATATGTATTTTAAAATGCTTCTTGCCTGTAATCCCAACACTTTGGGAGGCTGAGGCGGGCAGATCACAAGGTCAGGGGATCGAGACCATCCTGGCTAACATGGTGAAACCCCATCTCTACTAAAAATACAAAAAATTAGCCAGGCATGGTGGCAGGCACCTGTAGTCCCAGCTACTCAGGAGGCTGAGGCAGGAGAACGGCATGAACCTGGGAGGCGGAGGTTGCAGTGAGCCGAGATCACACCACTGCACTCCAGCCTGGGCGACAAAGCGAGACTCCGTTTCAAAAAAAAAAAAATGCTTCTCTATATAGTGACGTTCTCTTTATCCTTATTATATGGTATAAATTTTCCTTGTAAATTTCATTTTTTTAATTAGAGAGGAAAATCATGCTATTTAAGTGCGCGCGCGCGCGCGCGCGCACACACACACACACACACACACACACACACACACACACACACACACAGAGGAGTCTGTCCACTTCACTGTCCTGTCTCTGAGATGAGATGCCTGTTTGCCAGCTTCCTGCCAAGGGGCCTGGGCGGGCAGGCTGCACCACCCCGTGGCTTAGAGCATGTTCTTGCAGTACTTGCCCACCATTCCACCAGGCCAGGTGGCACCTGGCAAAGGTGAGGAAGCAGGGGTGTGGAGGAGCAAGACAGTAGGATGCCTGGCTATCCAAGTTCTCCTATTACTAGCACAGGCTTGTGAACCAAATCAGAGCTCCTCTTACAGAATATTTTTGTTTTCCAAAACTAAAATACCAAATTGACAGGAAAAGGAGAACACCCTGAAGGGCTCTGCTAAGTAGACTATTTCACTCCATGACTTTACATTCAAGGTCAAACTAGTTTAAATGTTCGCTTCCTGTTGGGGAGCAGGGTGCATGTGCTGTCCCAAGAGGGGCTGCCTTGCTAAGGGTCACAGAGTATGATACTTAGTGCTCGCTGACACTTAGTGCTCTACAGGAGGTGGCAGGTCCCAGCAGCAGCACCAGCTCCAACACTTTGGCATCACACTTCATTTTCCAGGCCTCAGTTTCCCCCTGTGTAGTAATGGGTACTATGTATTCACTAATAACCAGCATAACAGTCAGTACTCTTCACGCTCTGTTAGAGGAGCTCCATGGGGAGCTTATGGGGAGGGTGAGTAGTGGCTTAAGTGGGAGCCAAGGAAGAAGCTAAATGGGCAATGCCTTGGACCCCCAACCCCCAATATAACCAGAGCAGCTCCACACATTATCTCTTTTATATATTTAGGTTCAAGGGAAGGATTTATTGGAAAATAGATTTCTACAATTATGACTTAGCCACCAAACCAAAAATGTAGCTCTGATATATATACATATATATATATATATATATACATATATATATACATATATATATGTATATATATATATGTATATATACATATATATATAAAGAGAGAGAGTTTTTTTTTTTGTTTTTTTTTTTTTTTTTTGAGATGGAGTCTCGCACTGTTGCCAGGCTGGAGTGCAATGGCACAATCTTGGCTCACTGCCACCTCTGCTTCCCAGGTTCAAGCGATTCTCCTGCCTCAGCCTCCCAAGTAGCTGGAATTACAGGCACCCACCACCACGCCCAGCTAATTTTTTGTATTTTTAGTAGAGACAGGGTTTCACTACATTGGCCAGGCTGGTCTCGAACTCCTGACCTTGTGATCTGCCCGCATCGGCTTCCCAAAGTGTTGGGATTACAGGCATGAGTCACTGCACCCAGTCCTGATATTCTTTTTAATAAAGTATTACCTCTAAGCACAGTGGACTTATAATTATGTTTCAGCTGAGACAGGCATTGATTGCCTGGACTCTTTTTCCTATTTTCAATGTGATTTACTCATGCAGAGGAGGGCTGCCATCTTTGGGTATAATCTCAGAAATAAGATTCAAACATTCAGCAGACAAAGATGTGTTATTAAGTCATCCTCCCATAAAGAGAGTGAGAAATCCATGAACCTGGCATCTCTACAAGGCACCTGGCACCAATTATTCCTGGCCCTGGCTAAATGGTTCTACATAAGAGTGCTCAAAAATAAAGTGGAGCTATTTTGGACTCTTTGCTTGGGTTTTATTAGGTATTTTCTTTCCATATGAGGAAATGGTTCATTGCTCTGTTCTCCATGGTACCTGCTATTTAGCAATGGTGATGTCTATGTTTGTGCATATGCACCTACATGCAATGCCCTTTGGTGGTGGACATCTGCATTTTAGAAGTACTTTGAGTGAGGGGAATATATGCCAGCTTTATTTCTTAAAATAACAGCCATCTCAGTCTGTTGTCCGTTCCTATGACAGAATACCTTAGATTGGGTGATTTATAAAGAATTATTTCTTCTGGTTCTGGAGGCTGGGAAGTTTAAGGCTGACATCCAGTGAGGGACTTCTCACTGCATCATAACACAGTGGAGGGCATCACGTGGTGAGAGCAAGAATGTGCAGGTCAGCTAGAGTCTTTCTTTTTCTTCTTATAAAGCCACCCATCCCATTTTGCCCCCCCCCCCACCCTGATGATCTTATCTAAACCTAATTTCCTCCAGAAGGCCCAATGTCCAATCAATATATGAATTTGGGGATTAAGTTTCCAATACATTCAAACCATAGTAACAGCACCAGAGCAGAACTTTCACAACTATCTGATTCCTGACCCCCAACATTCCTTCCTTTCCTGGAAATAAGAAGGAGAAAGAAGAGAGGAAACAGAAAGAGGAAAAGAAGGGATGGGAAGGTAGGAGGGATGAGAAGGAAGAGTAGAAGATAAAAGAAATTAAAATTCATTTTAGAGCAAGCTTTTTAATCTCAAGTACGCTAGATTTTTGTTCTGGATGGGCTTGGGAATTCTTAGCCTGTGTCATTTTCATGATCTTGAAAAACAAAACCATCTATGGGAAGGGCTGCCATGTGGACCTGGATTTGATTTTATTGCATTTTGCTCTCATCTCTTCTGGAGTGTTGGTGGGGACCATGAGAAGCATGAATGTCATTTTGACAGAATCCAGAGCAACCTAGCCAAAAAAAAATTCCTCTCTCTCTCTCTCTCTCTCTCTCTCTCATGCACACACACACACACACACATACTCGATAAAGATGGTCAACTGCTCATGACTTCATGCTGAGCCCCCTTTCCCTGGGCCACCTCACACCTGCCCAGGCAGTGATGAAGCTCTCGGTAACCTCCCTGAGAGGCATGACTGTTGCCTGCATATTGTTGTCCATGAAAAGTTGACATTTTCTTATTCTGAAACATTTGTGTATATGTATGTATATATATATGAAAAGGCTTGGAAGGTTGATAAATTTTTCCACCTCTGGCATGTTTTTATAACATAGTGCTGAAAAAAAAGGTGACTTCAAGGGTAGGTTTGAGTTTGTGTTTTAGCAGATACACTAGGAAGAGAATGTCTCTGAATTTCACAAAACATCTGCATCCTGATGGGTGCTGGCAGTGACCATAAAACTAACATGTATTGGGTGACACCATATTCAGAATCCTCTCTGGGCCCTTCACCTGAGGTAACTCATTTAATCCTCACAACTCTCCAGTGCAGTAAGTCCTGTGGTTCTCCTCATTTTAGGCAGGAGTTTGAAACTGGTCCAGTCACGCAGCTAAGAAATGCTAAGCAAGACTGGAACGCAGCCCTCTAGCACCAGAGATTGAAGAAATACAAACAGGTGGAGGAAGGAGGGGACAGGTAAAATCTAGGAGTAGGATTGCTAAGTCTTATGATAAGTGTATTCAACCTTATAAGAAACTTAGCAAGCTCTTTTTAAAGTTTTTATTTCAATTTCAAATTACTCATTGCTAGTATACAGAAGTACAGTTGATTTTAATATAATGAATTTGTATGCTGCAATCCAGTTAAATTCACTTATTGGATCTAATAGCATTATTCTAGATTGAGATTTTCAATGTAAGCAATCATGTCATCTGAAAGAGTTTTATTGCTTACTTTCCAAATTGTATTTCTTTTATTTCCTTTTCTTGCCTTGTTGCACTGACTAGACCCCCTAGGACAATGTTGAATAGAAATGGAGAGAGACATTTACAGAACAGTTCATCTAACAGCCACTGAATACACATTCCTCTCAATTGCCCATGGAACTTTCTCCAGGATAGATCATATGTTAGGTCACAAACTTAATCTTAACAAACTAAAGAAGATTTGAACCATACCAAAATGGTATAAAACTGGAAATCAATGACAGGAGGAAATTTGGAAAATTTACAAGTACATGGAAACGAGACAATGCACTATTGAATACCCAATGGGTAGAAGAAGAAATTAAGAGAGAAATTTTAAAATTCCTTGAGGCAAATTAAAATGGAAATGCATCATATGAAAAACTATAGGATACGGCAAAAGCAGTCCTAAGAGGGAAGTTTATAGCAACAAACACCTACATCAAGAAAGAAGAAAGACCTCAAATAAACAATCTAATACTGTATCTCAAGGAACCAGAACAAATTCAACCCAAGGTTAGTAGAAAGAAAAATTAATAAAAACGAGCAGAAATAGAGATTTAAAAAGCAATACAAAGATCAGTGAAACAAAGGGTTGGCTTTGTGGAAAGATAAAATTGACAAACCTTTAGCCAGACTAAGAAGACTGCTAAAGAAAAGACTCAATAAAATCAAAGATGAAAAAGAAGACATTACAGCTGATACCACAGAAATGCAAAAAATCATGAGACTATTATAAGCAATTATACACCAACAAACTCGATAATCTAGAAGAAATTAATAAATACACATACCATATACCAAAATTGAATCATGAAGAAATAAAAAATCTGAAAAGATCAATAGTTAGTGAGGAGATTGAACCAGTAATAATACTATAAAATGTCTTCTATCAAAGTTTCCACCCAGAACCTGACTGCTTCACTGCTAGATTCTACAAAACATGTAAAGAAGAACTAATGCCAATTCTTCTTAAACTATTCCAAAAAATTGAAGAGGATGGAATACTTCCAAATTTATCCTATGAATAAGTTTGATGCCAAACCTGACAAAGATACACACTAAAAAGGAAAACTGCAAATGAATATTTATGATGAACTCACATGCAAAAATCCTCAACAAAATCCTAACAAGCCAAATTCAATGGTACATCAGAAAGGTTTTCCACAGATCATCATGGTGGATGGGAGGCAGGACTAGATTGTAGCTCTGACTCAGACAGAGCAGTGTGTGGAGGCTTAAATCATGAATTTTAGCTCCAGAATGACTGCAAGAACAAAACAGGAATCCCAAGAGGACCCACAGACCTTCTGAAGGAAGCAGACTGCTCCTGTAGGACCCGGGAGACACCCCAACTACTGTGAGTACCCCAAACTTTGGAAGTAGGAAAGGGAGACCCTCCACTCCCAAACACACACCCCCACTGGAGAAAATAAAGATCTAGTTTGTGGGACAAGTTTCCAACCTTACCTGAAGCTGAGTCAAATTAGAGAACCGAGCAAAACACAGGGGTAGAGAAAGCAGCAGGAAAGACCATGAAAGCTCACTGGGTCCCCAAGCAGGCCATTCCTGCCTGGTACCACAGGGACCCTTCAGGAGGACAGCCAGAGGCATGGAGAAAAATGCTACAGGAAAAAGGAAGTCACTAGCTGAACTCTGTAATAATTGGAACCAGGTGAGAAGCCTCCTTGCCAGAACTTGGTGTCAGGGAGGGAGTGAATCCAGTGTGCAGACTCCACAAGTTCTGTTCTTGTGGAAGAACCAAAGTCCTGTTCTTTCGCAGTGGGAGGTGGGTAGCCTGGGGCAAGCTCTCAAGCCTGGCTCACCCGCTGCCTGGAAACAGACTCAGGGCTGTTATGGGGGGCACGGTGGGAGTGAGACCAGACCATCAGATTGCATGGCAGCTGGGTAAGGCCTGTAACTGCCGGCTTTCCCCAACTTCCCTGACAACTTGCATGACGCAGCAGAGGTAGCCATAATCCTCCTAGGTACACAACTCCATTGATTTGAGAACCTCACCCCCATCCCCCACAGCAGCCACAGCAAGACCCACCCAAGGAGAGTCTGAGCTCAGAAATGCCTAGCCCTGCCCCCACATCATGAGCCTTCCCTATCCACCCTGGTAGCTGAAGACAAACGGCATATACTTTTGGGAGTTCTAGGGCCCTGCCTACCACCAGTTCCTCCCTATACTACCACAGCTGATGCTGTCTGGAAAGCACCATCTCCCAGCAGAAGGCCAACCAGCACAAAAACAGAACATTAAACCACCAAAGCTAAGAACCCTCATAGAGTCAATTTCACCGCCCTGCCACCTCCACCAGAACAGGTGTTGGTATCCATGGCTGAGAGACCCATAAATGGTTCACATCACAGGACTCTGTGCAGATGACCCCCAGTACCAGCCTGGAGCCAGGTAGACTTGCTGGATGGCTAGACCCACAAGACAGATAACAATCACTGCAGCTTGCTTCACAGGAAGCCACATCCATAGGAAAAGGGCAAGAGTACTATATCAAGGGAACACCCCATGGGACAAAAGGATCTGAACAACAGCCTTCAGCCCTAGACCTTCCCTCTGACAGAGTCTACACAAATAAGAAGGAACCAGAAAACCAGCTCTCGTAATATGACAAAACAAGGCTCTTTAGCACCCCCAAAAAAATCTCACTAGCTAACCAGCACTGGAACCAAGCCAAGTGGAAATCCCTGATTTACCTGAAAAAAGAAATCAGGAGGTTAGTTATTAAGCTAATCAGGAAGGCACCAGAAGAAGGTGAAGCCCAATGCAAAGAAATCCAAAAAATGATACAAGAAGTGAAGGGAGAAATATTCAAGGAAACAGGTAGCATAAAGAAAAACCAATCAAAACTTCAGGAAATATTGGAGACACTTATAGAAATGCAAAATGCTCTGGAAAGTCTTGGCAATAGAATTGAACAAGTAGAAGAAAGAAATGCAGAGCTCAAAGACATGATCTCCAACTTTAAAATTACCAACAAAAAAATTCCAGGACCAGAGGGATTCACAGCAGAATTCTGCCAGACATTCAAAGAAAAACTGGTATCCATCCTTTTGACACTATTCCACAAGATAAGAGAAAGAGGGAACCCTCCCTAATTCATTATATGAAGCCATCATTACCCTAATACCAAAACCATGAAAGGACATAACCAAAAAAGGAAACTACAGAACAATTTTCCTGATGGAGGTAGATGCTAAAATCTTTAACAAAATACTAGCTAACCAAATCCAACAACATATCAAAAAGATAATCCACATGATCAAGTAGGTTTCATATCAGGAATGCAGGGATGGTTTAACATATGCAAGTCAATAAATGTGATACACCATATAAACAGGATTAAAAACAAAAATTACATGACCATCCCAATAGATACAGAAAAAGCATTCAACAAAATCCAGCACCCCTTTAGGATTAAAACTCTTAGCAAAATTGCCATACAAGGGACATACCTCAATGTAATAAAAGCCATCTATGACAAACCCACAGCCAACATAATACTGAAAGGGGAAAAGTTGAAAGCATTCCCTCTGAGAACTGGAACAAAGCAAGGATGCCCACTCTCACCACTCCTCTTCAACATAGCACTGGAAGTCTTAGCCAGAGCAATCAGACAAGAGAAAGAAATGGAAGGCACCCAAATCGGTATAGGGGAAGTCAAACTGTCACTGTTTGATTATGATATAATCATTTATCTCAAAAACCCTAATGACTCCTCCATAGAGATTCTAGAACTGATAAAAAAAAAATTCAGCAAAGTTTTAGGATACAAGATTAATGTATACAAATCAGTAGCTCTTCTATACACCAACGGTGACCAAGCTGAGAATCAAATCAAGAACTCAACTCTTTTACAATAGCTGAAAAAATAAAATAAAATACTTAAGAATATACCTAACCAAGGACATGAAAAATCTCTACCAGGAAACTACAAAACACTCCTGAAAGAAATCATAGATGACACAAACAAATGCAAACACATCCCATGTTCCTGGATGGGTAGAATCAATATTGTGAAAATGACCATACTGCCAAAAACAATCTACAAATTAAGTGCAAACCCCATCAAAATACCACCACCATTCTTCACAGAATTAGAAAAAACAATCCTAAAATTCATATGGAAACAAAAAAGAGCCCACATAGCCAAAGCAAGACTAAGCAAAAAGAACAAATCTGGAGGCATTACATTAACTGACTTCAAACTGTACTATAAGCCCATAGTCACCAAACCAGCATGGTACTGGTATTAAAACAGGAATATAGACCAATGGAACAGAATAGAGAACCCAGAAATCAAGCCAAATACTTACAGTCAACTGATTTTCGACAACGCAAACAAAAATATAAAGTGGAGGAAGGACACCCTATTCAACAAATGGTGCTGGGATAGTTGGCAAACCACATGTAGAAGAATGGAACTGGATCCTCATCTCTCACTCTATACAAAAATCAACTCAAGATAGATCAAAGACTTAAATCTAAGACCTGAAACTATAAAAATTCTAGCAGATAACATTGGAAAACCCCTCCTAGATATTGGCTTATGCAAAGACTTCATGACCAAGAACCCAAAGCAAATGCAACAAAAACAAAGATAAATAGACAGAACCATTAAACTAAAAAGCTTCGGCACAACAAAAGAAATAATCAGCAGTAAACAGACAGCCCACAGAGTGGGAGAAAATCTTCACAATCTATAAATATGACCAAAGGACTAATATCCAGAATCTACAACGGAGTCAAACAAATCAGTAAGAAAAAAACAAACAAACCCATCAAAAAGTACTCTAAGAACATGAATAGACAACTCTCAAAAGAAGATATGCAAATGGCCAACAAACATATGAAAAAATCCTCAACATCACTAATGATCAGGGAAATGCAAATGAAAACCACAGTGCAATACCACCTTAATCCTACAAGAATGGTCATCATAATCAAAAAAATAAAAAAGCAGTAGACATTGGCATGGATGCAGTGATCAGGGAACATATCTACTCTGCTGCTGGGAATGTAAACTAGTACAGCCACTATAGAAACCAGTGTGGATATTCCTTAAAGAGCTAAAAGTAGAACTACCATTTGATCCAGCAATCCCACTACTGAGTATATACCCATAGGAAAAGAAGTCATTATACGAAAAAGATACTTGCACACACATGTTTATAGCAGCACCATTTGCAATTGCAAAATCGTGGAACCAACCCAAATGTCCATCAATCAATGAGTAGATAAAGAAACTGTGGTATATATATATACACAATGGGATACTACTCAGCCATAAAAGGGAATGAATTAACGGCATTTGCAGCCACCTGGATGAGATTGGAGACTATTATTCTAAGTGAAGTAACACAGGAATGGACAACCAAACATCGTATGTTCTCAGCAATACATGGGAGCTAAGCTATGAGAACACAAAGGCATAAAAATAATACAATGAAATTTGGGGACTAGGGGAAAAGGTGGGAAGGGGGTGAGGGATAAAAGACTACAAATAGGGCACACTGTATACTGCTTGGGTGATGGGTGCACCAAGCTCTCACAAATCACCACTAAAGAACTTACTCATGTAACCAAATACCACCTGTACCCTAATAACCTATAGAAAAAAAAACTCTGAAAGCAAATTAAAAATAAGTAAATAAATAAAAACAAAGCTATATGTATTCTGAAAAAAACAACTAAATGCAATATTACTTCTTAATTAAAAGGCAATTACCAGTCCTTAAGGTAGTAAAGTTATTCCTATGAATATGTGAGCAAAAATTCAACTTTACCTAATTAAATTACAGAAAGAGACCCCTCCCTCATCAGATTGACAAAGAATGAAAATAAATGCTAATAACCAGTACTGCTAAGAGTGCAATAAAACTTTCAGTCTTTAAAAATAAAGTGGGGGTTGGGGGGACCAGGCATGGTGGCTCATGCCTGTAATCCCAGCACTTTAGGAAGTCAAGGCAGATGGCTCATCTGAGGTCAGTAGTTTTAGAACAGCCTGACCAACATGGCAAAACCCCATCTCTACCAAAAAAAAAAAAAAAAAAAAAAAATTAGCCAGGCATGGTGTTGCATGCCTGTAATCCCACCTACTTGGGAGGCTGAGGCAGGAGAATCGCTTGAACCTGGGAGGCAGAGTTTGCAGTGAGCCGAGAACGTGCCACTGCACTCCAGCCTGGGTGACAGAGTGAGACTCCATCTCAAAAAAAAATGTTTTTCCATGATCAAGTAGGATTAACAGGGATGAGAGGATGGTTCAACATACACATATCAATAAATGTGATACATCACATCAACAGAATAAAGAACAAAACCCATGTGGTCATTTCCGTAGATACAGAAAAACATATGACAAAATTCAACATCCTTTTGTAATAAAAACTCCCAACAAATTAGGTATAGAAGGAATGTAGCTCAACACAATAGAGGCCTTATATGACTTACCCACAGCTAACATCATAATGAATGGGAAAAAGTTGAAAGCTTTTCCCTTAAGAACTGGAACCAAGACAAGGATGCCCACTCTCCCCACTTGTACTCAAGATAGTACTAGAAGTCCTAGCAAGAGGAATCATACAAGAGAAAGAAACAAAAGACAACCAAATTAGAAAGGAAAAAGTTATATTGTCTGTCTTTGTGGACAATGTGATGTTATATGTAGAAAACCCTAAAGACTCCACCAAAAAAACTGATAGATCTAATAAATAAATTTAGCAAAGTAGAAATATACAAAATCAACATACAAAAATCAATAGCATTTCTATACACTAATGGCACATTTTCTGGAGAAAAAAGAAGTCAAGGACACAATCCCATTTATGGCAGCTACAAAAAATAAAGCAGCTTGTAATAAATTTAACTAAGGAGATGAGAGATTGCAACACTGAAAACTATAAAACATTGATTGAATACATTGAAAAAGACACAAATAAATGGAAAGATAGTCTATGTTCATGGATGGAAGAATAAATATTGTTAAAATGTCCATATTACCCAAAGCAATCTGCAGATTCAATGCCACCCCTATCAAAATACCAGTGACATTTTTCATAGAAATAGAAAAAACAATCACAAAGTTTGCATGGAACCAAAAAAAAAGACTCCAAATAGACATAGCAGACTTGCATTTTAAAAAAAACAGTGCTCAAGACATCACACCACCTGACTTCAAATTGTACTACAAACCTATAATAACCAAAGCAACATGGTACTGGTATAAAAACAGACACATAGACCAATGGAACAGAAAAGAGACCTCAGAAATAAAGCCACGCATGTACAGCCAGTTGATTTTCAACAGAGGTGTCAAGAGCACACAATAAGGAAAAGACAGTCTCTTTAATAAATGGACTTGGGGAAACTGGATATCCACATACGGAAGAATAAAATTAGACTCTTATTTCTCACCATAAACAAAAATAAACTCAAGATGGATTAAAGACTTAAATGTAAGGCCCAATACTACGAAACTGATAGAAGAAAAAATAAGGAAAAATCTCCATGACATTGGTCTAAGCTACGATTTTTTGAATAAGATCTCAAAAGCACAGCCAGCAAAAGCAATAATAGACAAGTGGAATTACATAAAACTAAAAAGCTTCTGCACAGCAAGAGAAACAATCAACAGAGTGAAGAGACACCCTATGACATGCAAAAACATATTTGCAAACTGTACATCCAATAAGGGACCAATATCTAAAATATATAAGGAGCTCAAACAACTCAATAGCAGAATAATAAATAACTCAATTAAAAATGGGCAGAAGACCTGAATAAACATTTCTTAAAAAAAGACATAAAATTGTCAACAAGTATATGAAAAAATGCTCAACATCACTAATCATCAGGGACATGCAAATCAAAACCACAAGCTAACACCTCACTCTAGTATGAATGGCTATTGTCAAAAAAGTCAAGAAATAACTAGTGTTGGCAAAGATGTGGAGAAAAGGAACTGTTGTTGGGAATATAAATTAGACATTATGGAAAATAGTAGGAGGTTTCCCCCAAAATTAAAAATAGAACTATCACATGTTCATGATCCAGCAATCTCACTACTGGGTATATATCCAAAGAAAATGAAATCAGTATATTGAAGAGCTATCTGCACTCCTATGTTTATCGCAACACAGTTCACAATAATCAAGATATGGAATCAACCTAAGTATTCATCAATGGATGAATGAATAAAGAAAATGTGGTATAGTCCAGGCACAGTTGTTCATGACTGTAATTCCAGCACTTTGGGAAGCTGAGGCAAGTGGATTCATTAAGCCCAGGAGTTTGAGACAAGCCTGGGCAACATGGTGAAACCCCATCTCTACCAAAAGTACAAAAAATTAGCTGGGTATGGTAACCCATGTCTATAGTCTCAGCTATTTGGGAGGCTAAGGTGGGAGAATCACCTGTGCCCAGGAAGTTGAGGCTGCAGTGAGCCATGATTGTGCCACTGCACTCCAGCCTGAGCAACAGAGTGAGACCCTGTCAAAAGAAAGGAAGATAAGAAAGAAAGAAAGAAAGAAAGAAAGAAAGAAAGAAAGAAAGAAAGAAAGAAAGAAAGAAAGAAAACAAAGAAGGAAGGAAGGAAGGAAGGAAGGAAGGAAGGAAGGAACGAAGGAAGGAAGGAAGGAAGGAAAGAAAGAAAGAAAGAAAATGTGGTGTGTGTGTTGAAGGTGTGTGTGTGTGTGCAACAACATGAATGATAGGAGAAATAAGTTCTGGTATTTTAATGCACAGTGTGGTGACTATAGTTAATAATAATGTATTGTATATTTCAAAATAGCGAGAAGACAGGAATTTGAATATTCCTCACTACAAAGAACTGATAAATGTTTGAGGTGATAGAAATGCTTATTTCCCTGATTTGATCATTACATAACATATCCATGTATTGAAGTGTAACATTGTACCTCATAAATATGTACAATTATTGTGTGTCAAATAAAAACGAACATTTTAAAATAATTTTTAAAAGAGCCAAGGAAATAAAATCGCACAGCCATGGGGGTCTTTTCTTCTAAGTAGCAGAAAGACCATGCCATTTATACAATGGTGAGGGATTTTTGTTATTGTTGCTTGCGTCCTTGGTTACCATTAACTAAAGATTATGGGAGAAGCCATCCTTATTCATTGATGACCTCTCTCTAAAAAGGAAAGTAAAATGAAGTGTCAATATGTCCATTAGATTTCCACTTTAGGGATTTAGATGACAACATGCTTCTCCTATGGTGAGGAACTACATTTCAAAGACCCACATTTCTATAAACAAGGCTACAGGTCAGTACTGTCTAATAGGACTTTCTATGATAATGGAAATGCTCTATATCTGTAACTTTCAATAAGGTAGCCACTCCACATGCAGCTACTGAGCACTTGAAAGGTGACTAGTATGACTAAGAAACTAAGTTTTAATTTTATTTAAATATGTGAATTTAAATTTAAATAACCATGCAAGGCTAGTGACTATCTAAATAGCCAGTGTACCTAAACAGTGTCAATTTTATTTCTCAAAAACTCTTAGGAACCAAAGTCCTGACTAAAGAAAGAGAGAGAAAGACCTAGAAACAAGCTGTAAATGTAAGGTTTCCTGGAGAGCCTGTGGGTGGAATTTCCATCAAATTGCAGACTAATGGATTCTCAATGCTTCTTTGGTATTATTAACATCACACTGATCAAAGAACAAACTTGTCAGTGGATGGCAACATTATGCTTTTTATTTGGAACTCATGTTCTTATGGTGCTCTGTATTCTTAAATATACACTCTCTCGGGAGGCATCAAATTGAATATTCAACATGACTTCTCTGAGATTTGATTCCCACAAACTGAATGAATGTTTTGGCTCTTACGGGATGGTAGCATAAATATCTGAGCTTTATATCACCAATAGAGGATTCAGAAAGAAATCAAACTTCATTTTTGTGTCTTGCTTCTTTTAATTTCATTTTATTTTCTCCCTTCTCTCTTTCATTCTTAATAGCTGAGATGGATGGGGGGAACAATTAAAAATAAATGGCATGCTTTGGAGCAGCACTGAGCCTGACTCAATTTTGATGCATTTCTTTCAAAGGACCTTTTATGTTAAATTGCTTACTTGCTATCAGAGGTACTCACAGTGAACACAACTTAGAGATTCATCAAAATGACAAAACTGAGAATCTCCAGGGCAGGAAAAGGTCATCAGGCTCTGCGCAGTGTTCGGTCTGTATGAGTCCTTCACAAACACTCTCAGGATGGTGATGCCTTTGTTCTCCTCTGTTCTGGTGGAAATGATTTAGTGAATGCTCTGCACCTTTCCCTCCCTTCAATGCCACCCTTGACCCCTCACCCCCACCCTTTCACATTAGATCTTTTTGCTTCACTTGCCTTTCCGGATGAGGAAGAGTCTCACCAAATCAAGAATGTACCTTTTCAGAAGAGGTCAATTAGTCCTGGGGAGTAATGAGGACTAAGCTGCCCTCTTCACTTTGACCATTGATTTAAACACTATTCACAGGCTCCAGGGTGCTAGTGAGGCAACTCTCTGGGAACCGATGAGGGACATCATCCTCCATTCCCATAACCCATGCCCAGTCACCCCAGAGAATCAGCCACCAGCCGTAGCTCCCTCCCACCCTGCTACATGGTAACCAAAACAAACCCCTTCTGTGTACATTTTCTGTAGCGTGTAATTGCCAACTGGTGACAAAGAAGAATGGAAAGGAAATGCATTGAGACAGCGCCGAGAGAATTATGGTAAGAAGGATTCTAAGGCCACAACCCTGCATGCCAAGAGCAAATTTTGTGGCATGGCTCATGCCTGAAGGCTGGACCATGCCCAGAGCTGCTTCCTAAGAACTCAGCACCTTTGCCCATGCCACACACACCACGTGGGCCAGCTGTGCTCCTAAAACCATAGACTCTCAAGTCAAGAGACCTTGGAGATTCTTGGAGTCTCACTCTTTCTCACGTAAGGACTCTCTTTTCAAATCCCCCAGAAGTGGCCACCCAGGGGTAAAGACATCACTATTTCCCCAGAATAGACCCAAATTGAACCAAATATTTTATGATGGCTATCATACATTCCTTGATTTTTATCATTTCTGTTCCAAATGAAATTTCCCTGTTTTTTTCCACTGTGAATTCAATCCTCATATGATATGATTTTGAGGTTCTTCCCTATCCTGGTCACTCTTACAGTCAAGGTCAGTAAGAAATTTCAAGCCGAGCCACATCTATACAGATGCCATCATATGTCTCTAAATGTTTTATTTGAGTTTAGCAGAGAAGAGTCAGAGGCATGTGAAGAGGGTGAAGGTAGGAGGTGGGGGAAGGGGAGGTGGTAGTAGCTTTATCCTTTCTCTGAAGCCGCACTGAGAGCATAATAGATTACAGTAGAAGCACATGGAGACAGGCACAAGGTTTCCTGATGTGAAAAAGCTTCAGTCTTAGAAATAATTATCTAATTTTTGAGCACCTATCAATCAAGATCTATTCCAGACATTTTGCATATGTTAATCCTTACAAGAAGATAAGCCTTACTATTCTCACTTTACAATGAAAGGAAGGGGCTCATAGAGATTAAATGATTTGTCCAAGGTTATATAGCTAATAAGTGGTAAATAATGTATTTCTCTAAAACTTCTAACTTAGAATCATTTCTCCTGGCCAATGCCACATCCTGGAATTATACAACCTCTTGAAGGCCAGATGTGTTCTGTTTCAACTTTTCAGAGCCTTCCAGTTACTCCAGTTTGATCTGATTTTTCTGGGCTCAGATCATTATCTGCTGTGACCTTTAATTCCTTCCTTATTTTTCCAGACTTGCCTGCTCTGACCTTGGACATCTTCCTGATCCCACAAGTCAGTCTGGGTGCCTAGTTTTCCCCTCATTGTTATGTATGGACATAACCCTTAGCTCTCTCAAGAGAAAGGGAGATTCCAGGCCCCTGAATCACTGAGTCTACGTGTTCTCTTCCTTGCAAATTCTTTGCAATGGTCTGGGTGATCAAAGATGAAAGTAAGCTTTTATGTAGGTCTAGACTTCTAGATGTCATTATATGATTTTAAATTCTCTAGATTTTTCTTCTAAATGTTTACATCTTCCTTCTTTTTTTGGTGATATTTCCCAAAGAATCCAGTGTCCTGTGGATGTCTCCTGAATTGTTAGGAGAAAAAAAATGGAATAAGCACCCAATTGGTTAAAGGCTGATTAAGTGACTTTCAACGTAGCTCATTCTCAAACAATACAGCCTGAGTCAAATCTCCAGAGACTGTTTTTAAGTTGTCCTACTTGTGATACAATTCAGGTGTTTGAGAACCATTAGAAAATTCATATCAGAAATCCATTGAGGCTGAAGATGGGTGTGTTCTTACTGAAGAACCTCGTTCTAACTAACTGAAGAGTACTTTGTACTTTTAACAACTGTTTATAAACTAGAGCCCCATGTGTTCCAGTCTCTGCAAGTTATAGCATTCAAGTAAATACAGTCCTGGAACTATAAGTAATTAAAAGCAATTCCAATATTTTCTTGAATTTCTTAAAGGATGTCAAAGGAAAATCCATTTATAACCCACAATGATATTTCTTAAAGCCCTCTTTCTCTATTATTTTCCCTCTCAATATCAGTCTTATTCGCAACTTCCCCAAAGCTCTATGTATTTCATTCTCAACCTTCAATCCTAAACTCTTCCTTTAAAAACAATTAGCACAGACTTTCTTTTTCCTTTAGGTCTCCCCTACCCAAAGCTTTCCTGAGAACCACAGGAACCCATTCTGCACTCACCCACATGCAATCATGTAGTGCAAGATAGTTAACACTCCATAGCCAAATCTTCACTATAGGAACTAGGAGCTGATAGATAAATGTTTCCTTGTTTCTTCCCCTGCACATTTCTTAAGCTTTTCACATTGTCCTAGAGACATAACTTGCAATATACTTAGTAACCTTAAATAAATTCTTTTTTTTCTTTTTCCTTGTAGTAGTTATAGTGAATTATGTTGTTTGCAACCAAGAACTGTTTCCAATAAAGATTCCAATAGCAGCTATTAGAGTTCCAGTTTCCAGGTGCTTCCAAACATTGGCTATTATCAATTAAAATAAGCAAACAGCATGAAACAAAACACCTTTTACGGTCCAACCTTATAGGACAAGAAAAGCAAATAAGTTTCTCCAGAGTCCCCCCAAGTTGAGCTAGCTCTTAACTGTGAGCTATAAGCTGGGTGAGGATTCTCATATGAACCAGGGCTCATAGGAATTTAGCTGGATGGCTATTTCCCTCTTTTAATTACTCTGATCATTTTGTATTATGACCCTCAAATCTTATGGGATGCTTGGTGGAAAACATATGATTTTGTAAAGCATGACTGTTTCCGGTTAACTAGAGGAGGGATTTTTCTGACCTGCTGATTCCTTCTCAGTGAGAACCTGTATCCAAATGCATTTATCTAAAATTTGCCTCATAATGGATTCTCACACATGTGTACCTCTATTAGTGGAGCAAATTCATTCTCTTGGGGGTCTGATGGTAGAAGAAGTGGCACAACTCAACTTTAAAATAGCTCTGAAATTGTTTTTCTCAAAACATTAGTTTAAACCTTAAATTTTACATTTTGTTCCCTAAAATGCCAATGTCTACTTTTACATAAAAATAATAAATAGAATTACTAAGAGACTTCCAATTACATAAAATAGATGAAATAATACATTCGTCTTTGCTCCATCTCAAAATGCCATGAAAAATGTTACATAACATCAACCTAAAAAGAGAAAGAGATCAAAGAGATGCCAGCCAAACTGGAGAAGATGGAAATCAATTGATTAAAACTAACCTAGGCTGGGCACAGTGGCTCACACCTGTAATCCCAGCCCTTTGGGAGGCCAAGGCAGGAGGATTGCTTGAGTCCAGGAGTTCAAAACCAGCCTGGGCAACATGGCAAAACCCCATCTCTACAAAAAATACAGAAATTAGCTAAGTGGGGTGGCACCCGCCTCTAGTCGCAGCCACTCAGGAGGCTGAGGTGGGAGCATCACTTGAGCCCAGGATGTCAAGGCTTCAGTGAGCTGAGATTACACCACTACACTCCAGCCTGGGCAACAGCAAGACCCTGTCTTAAAATACAAACAACAACAACAACAAAAACAAAAACAAAATAACCTAGCTGAGTAGAAAAGTTAAGATTTAAAATGACAACAGAGGAGAATGCCAAGCGAACAAAAATTCAGATTTGGTACACAAAATTCTAGGGATGGCCAGGAATGGATGCACCTGTATCTCTAAAAGCAGAGTCGAAGATTGGGAAGAAAAGCAGAAGAAAGTGGTTGAAAGTCCATTTAGGGAGCAGTTAGATCCTACTCTACCTGTGCTTCCAAGTGGCCCTCAATCCATAATCTTAGAAGCAGATTGAAGGTTTACTTTATGAAAAAAACTAAAACAGAACCACTGAGCAATGGTTGACTGAGCAAACTGTGTGTGACTGAGCAAACTGTGGGATGGGAGCCACCTACTGAAAAGAGGGGGATTAAGTAAGACTCTACATGTTGAACATAACTACCTAGCCTTGTTCCTTCATGCAGCTCCCAAAATGCTGGCAGCTATATACTCCCCAGAAAATCTGACCCTAGAGAAAAGCCCTAAAGAAATGACATCTATGGAACACCAAGTGAAAAATCCAGGTGACTGGCCCCTGTTGCACAGCAAGGGCAGGATGGGAGCTATAAGCCTAGGGTGTGAGCAATGAAGAACTGTTTATAGATAATTTAAAACCAATAATTAAATTGATTAAAAGTTGGTTTGATTTTTATTATTACTCTGTGCAGCAGTTCTGAGTAACATGGCTCAACTTCAGTGATAGAGTACTCCTCCAAAAAAAAATGTTTTCTGGGTCTAAGTTTTGCAAGTGCTGTGACTATAATTGAATATTAGTAACATAAATGTAAACTTCAACTTGGCACATTTTAGTGTTCTACCTGAAAGTTCATTCAGAAAACTCCCCATTATTCAGTCAATTTCCAAGTAACAAAAACACAGCTGTATATGGTACCTTTGAGAGTAAGTTCAAAGGGCCAAATTCTTCCACTTTGATTTAGCTCAGTCCATGTCTCCAATCCCTGTGGCACTACATATTCCTGTGTTTAAGCAGTAGATTAAAAAATAAACACCGGGGTGGAGCCAAGATGGCCGAATAGGAACAGCTCCAGTCTACAGCTCCCAGCATAAAGGACACAGAAGATGGGTGATTTCTGCATTTCCAACTGAGGTACTGGGTTCATCTCACTGGGAAGTGCCGGACAGTGGGGGCAGGACAGTGGGAGCAGCGCACAGTGCGTGAGCCAAAGCAGGGTGAGGCATCGCCTCACCCGGGAAGTGCATGGGGTCAGGGAATTCCCTTCCCTAGTCAAAGAAAGGGGTGACAGACGGCACCTGGAAAATTGGGTCACTCCCACCATAATACTACGCTTTTCCAATGGGCTAAACAAATGGCACACCAGGAGACTATATCCCGCACCTGGCTCGGAGAGTCTTACGCCCACGGAGCCTCGCTCATTGCTAGCACAGCAGTCTGAGATCAAACTGCAAGGCGGCAGCGAGGCTGGAGGAGGGGCGCCCGCCATTGCCCAAGTTTGAGTAGTTAAACAAAGCGGCTCGGAAGCTCAAACTGGGTGGAGCCCACCACAGCTCAAGGAGGCCTGCCAGCCTCTGTAGGCTCCACCTCTGGGGTCAAGGCACAGACAAACAAAAGACAGCAATAACCTCTGCAGACTTAAATGTCCCTGTCTGACAGCTTTGAAGAGAGTAGTGGTTCTCCCAGCACGTAGCTTGAGATCTGAGAACAGGCAGACTGCCCCCTCAAGTGGGCCCCTGACCCCCGAGTAGCCTAACTGGAAGGCACCCCCCAGCAGGGGTGGACTGACACCTCACACGGCCATGGACTCCTCTGAGACAAAACTTCCAGAGGAACAATCAGGCAGCAGCATTTGTGGTTGACCAGTATCCACTCTTCCGCAGCCACCACTGCTGATACCCAGGCAAACAGGGTCTGCAGTGGACCTCCAGCAAACTCCAACAGACCTGCAGCTGAGGGTCCTGACTGTTAGAAGGAAAACTAACAAACAGAAAGGACATCCACACCAAAAACCCACCTGTACGTCACCATGATCAAAGGCCAAAGGTAGATAAAACCACAAAGATGGGGAAAAAACAGAGCAGAAAAACAATAAACTCTAAAAATCAGAGTGCCTCTCCTCCTCCAAAGGAATGCAGCTCCTCACCAGCAATGGATCAAAGCTGGACGGAGAATGACTTTGATGAGTTGAGAGAAGAAGGCTTCAGAAGATCAAATTACTCCGAGCTAAACAAGGAAGCTCAAACCAATGGCAAAGAAGTTAAAAACTTTGAAAAAAAATTAGACGAATGGATAACTAGAATAACCAATGCAGAGAAGTCCTTAAAGGACCTGATGGAGCTGAAAACCACAGCACAAGAACTACGTGATGAATGCACAAGCCTCAGTAACCAATGCGATCAACTGGAAGAAAGGGTATCAGCGATGGAAGATGAAATGAATGAAATGAAGCATGAAGAGAAGTTTAGAGAAAAAAGAATAAAAAGAAATGAACAAAGCCTCCAAGAAATATGGGACTATGTGAAAAGACCAAATCTACGTCTGATTGGTGTACCTGAAAGTGATGGGGAGAATGGAACCAAGTTGGAAAACACTCCGCAGGATATTATCCAGGAGAACTTCCCCAATCAAGGCAGGCCAACATTCAAATTCAGGAAATACAGAGAACACCACAAAGATACTCCTCGAGAAGAGCAACTCCAAGACATATAATTGTCAGATTCACCAAAGTTGAAATGAAGGAAAAAATGTTAAGGGCAGCCAGAGAGAAAGGTCGGGTTACCCACAAAGGGAAGCCCATCAGACTAACAGCTGATCTCTCAGCAGAAACTCTACAAGCCAGAAGAGAGTGGGGGCCAAGATGCAACATTCTTAAAGAAAAGAATTTTCAACCCAGAATTTCATATCCAGCCAAACTAAGCTTCATAAGTGAAGGAGAAATAAAATCCTTTACAGACAAGCAAATGCTGAGAGATTTTGTCACCACCAGGCCTGCCCTAAAAGAGCTCCTGAAGGAATCACTAAACATGGAAAGGAAAAACCGGTACCAGCCACTGCAAAAACGTGCCAGATTGTAAAGACCATCAATGCTTGGAAGAAACTGCATCAACTAACAAGCAAAATAACCAGCTAACATCATAATGACAGGATCTAATTCACACATAACAATACTAACTTTAAATGTAAATGGGCTAAATGCTTCAATTAAAAGGCACAGACTGACAAATTGGATAAAGAGTCAAGACCCATCAGTATGCTGTATTCAGGAACCCATCTCACGTGCAGAGACACATATAGGCTCAAAATAAAGGGATGGAGGAAGATCTACCAAGCAAATGGAAACCAAAAAAAGGCAGGGGTTGCTATCCCAGTCTCGGATAAAACAGACTTTAAACCAACAAAGATCAAAAGAGACAAAGAAGGCCATTACATAATGGTAAAGGGATCCATTCATCAAGAATAACTAACTATCCTAAATATATATGCACCCAATACAGGAGCACCCAGATTCATAAAGCAAGTCCTTAGTGACCTACAAAGAGACTTAGACTCCCACACAATAATAATGGGAGACTTTAACACCCCACTGTCAACATTAGACAGATCAATGAGACAGAAAGTGAAAAAGGATATCCAGGAATTGAACTCAGCTCTGCACCAAGCCGATCTAATAGACATCTACAGAACTCTCCACCCAAAATCAACAGAATATACGTTCTTTTCAGCACCACACCACACCTATTCCAAAACTGACCACATAGTTGGAAGTAAAGCACTCTGCAGCAAATGTAAAAGAACATAAATTATAACAAACTGTCTCTCAGACCACAGTGCAATCAAATTAGAACTCAGGATTAAGAAACACACTCAAAACCACTCAACAACATGGAAACGAAACAACCTGCTCCTGAATAACTACTGGGTACATAACAAAATGAAGGCAGAAATAAAGATGTTCTTTGAAACCAATGAGAACAAAGACACAACATATCAGAATCTCTGGGACACATTCAAAGCAGTGTGTAGAGGGAAATTTATAGCACTAAATGCCCACAAGAGAAAGCAGGAAAGATCTAAAATTGACACCCTAACATCACAATTAAAAGAACTAGAGAAGCAAGAGCAAACACATTCAAAAGCTAGCAGAAGGCAAGAAATAACTAAGATCAGAGCAGAACTGAAGGAGATAGAGACACAAAAAACCCTTCAAAAAATCAATGAATGCAGGAGCTGGTTTTTTGAAAAGATCAAAAGAATTGATAGACCGCTAGCAAGACTAATAAAGAAGAAAAGAGAGAACAATCAAATAGAAGCAATAAAAAATGATAAAGGGGATATCACCACCGATCCCACAGAAATACAAATCACCATCAGAGAATATTATAAACACCTCTACGCAAATAAACTAGAAAATCTAGAAGAAATGGATACATTCCTCGACACATACACTCTCTCAAGACTAAACCAGGAAGAAGTTGAATCTCTGAATAGACCAATAACAGGCTCTGGAATTGAGGCAATAATTAATAGCTTACCAACCAGAAAAAGTCCAGGACCAGATGGATTCACAGCCAAATTCTACCATAGGTACAAGGAGGAGCTGGTACCATTCCTTCTGAAACTATTCCAATCAATAGAAAAAGAGGGAATCCTCCCTGACTCATTTTATGAGGCCAGCATCATCCTGATACCAAAGAACGGCAGAGACACAACCAAAAAAGAGAATTTTAGACCAATACCCTTGATGAACATTGATGCAAAAATCCTCAATAAAATACTGGCAAACCGAATCCAGCAACACATCAAAAAGCTTATCCACCATGATCAAGTGGGCTTCATCCTTGGGATGCAAGGCTGGTTCAACATATGAAAATCAATAAATGTAATCCAGCATATAAACAGAATCAAAGACAAAAACCACATGATTATCTCAATAGATGCAGAAAAGGCCTTTGACAAAATTCAACAATGCTTCATGCTAAAAACTCTCAATAAATTAGATATTGATGGGATGTATCTCAAAATAATAAGAGCTATCTATCACACACCCACACCCAATATCATACTGAATGGACAAAAACTGGAAGCATTCCCTTTGAAAACTGGCACAAGACAGGGATGCCCTCTCTCAACACTCCTATTCAACATAGTGGTAGAAGTTCTGGCCAGGGCAATCAGGCAGGAGAAGGAAATAAAGGGCATTCAGTTAGGAAAAGAGGAAGTCAAATTGTCCCTCTTTGCAGATGATATGATTGTATATATAGAAAACCCCATCGTCTCAAACCAAAATCTCCTTAAGCTGATAAGCAACTTCAACAAAGTCTCAGGATACAAAATCAATGTGCAAAAATCACAAGCATTCTTATACACCAATAACAGAAAAACAGAGAGCCAAATCATGAGTGAACTCCCATTCACAATTGCTTCAAAGAGAATAAAATACCTAGAAATCCAACTTACAAGGGATGTGAAGGACCTCTTCAAGGAGAACTACAAACTACTGCTCAATGAAATAAAAGAGGATACAAACAAATGGCAGAACATTCCATGCTCATGGGTAGGAAGAATCAATATCATGAAAATGGCCATACTGCCCAAGGTAATTTATAGATTCAATGCCATCCCCATCAAGCTAACAATGACTTTCTTCACAGAATTGGAAAAAACTTCTTTAAAGTTCATATGGAACCAAAAAAGAGCCCACATTGCCAAGTCAATCCTAAGCCAAAAGAACAAAGCTGGAGGCATCATGCTACCTGACTTCAAACTATACTACAAGGCTACAGTAATCAAAACATCATGGTACTGATACCAAAACAGAGATATAGACCAATGGAACAGAACAGAGCCCTCAGAAATAATGCCGCATATCTACAACTATCTGATCTTTGACAAACCTGACAAAAACAAGCAATGGGGAAAGGATTCCCTATTTAATAAATGGTGCTGGGAAAACTGGCTAGCCATATGTAGAAAGCTGAAAGTGGATCCCTTCCTTACGCCTTATACAAAAATTAATTCAAGATGGATTAAAGACTTAAATGTTAGACCTAAAACCATAAAAACCCTAGAAGAAAACCTAGGCAATACCATTCAGGACATAGGCATGGGCAAGGACTTCATGTCTAAAACACCAAAAGCAATGGCAACAAAAGACAAAATTGACAAATGGGATCTAATTAAACTAAAGAGCTTCTGCACAGCAAAAGAAACTACCATCAGAGTGAACAGGCAACCTACAGAATGGGAGAAGATTTTTGCAATCTACTCATCTGACAAAGGGCTAATATCCAGAATCTACAATGAACTCCAACAAATTTACAAGAAAAAAAACAATCCCATCAAAAAGTGGGCAAAGGATATGAACAGACACTTCTCAAAAGAAGACATTTATGCAGCCAAAAGACACATGAGAAAATGCTCATCATCACTGGCCATCAGAGAAATGCAAATCAAACCCACAGTGAGATACCATCTCACACCAGTTAGAATGGCGATCATTAAAAAGTCAGGAAACAACAGGTGCTGGAGAGGATGTGGAGAAATAGGAACACTTTTACACTGTTGGTGGGACTGTAAACTAGTTCAACCATTATGGAAGTCGGTGTGGCAATTCCTCAGGGATCTAGAACTAGAAATACCATTTGACCCAGAAATCCCATTACTGGGTCTATACCCAAAGGATTATAAATCATGCTGCTATAAAGACACATGCACATGTATGTTTATTGTGGCACTATTCACAATAGCAGAGACTTGGAACCAACCCAAATGTCCAACAATGATAGACTGGATTAAGAAAATATGGCACATATACACCATGGAATACTATGCAGCCACAAAAAAAGGATGAGTTCATGTCCTTTGTAGGGACATGGATGAAACTGGAAACCATCATTCTCAGCAAACTATCTCAAGGACAAAAAACCAAACACCGCATGCTCTCACTCATAGGTGGGAATTGAACAATGAGAACACATGGACACAGGAAGGGGAACATCACACACCAGGGCCTGTTGTGGGGTGGGGGGAGGGGGGAGGGATAGTATTAGGAGATATACCTAATGCTAAATGACGAGTTAATGGGTGCAGCACACCAACATGGCACATGTATACACACGTAACAAACCTGCACGTTGTGCACATGTACCCTAAAACTTAAAGTATAATAATAATAAAATAAAAGAAATACATTTAAAAGTAAATAAATAAAAATAAAAATAAAGAAATAAACACCACCACCAAGTAATTGTGAAGAAAAAGAATCCTTGAATTACTTAATTTTGTCATTCTACATAACCACTTGGAGTTTTTATTTATGTTTACAAATTAAAGCAGTGACACAGAGAACTGTGAAGAATAACACTTTTGTTTGGCAATTGCAAAATTTATTTTATACATAAAATATTTCACTTAATTTGAATAAAATCTTTAAAACAGAAATTTATTCTCCTTTCTATTCATTGTTTTTCAGCTAAAGAACTAACCAAAAAATAATAACTGATTTTACAATTACTGACAATAATTTTGCTATATATGTACATATATAAACACATATATGTATTATAATAAATAAATATATTCACATATGTGCATAAACTGATCTGATCCAGATATCAAATATGCTAGGTACACCGCTGATTTGAACCCTACCTTACTCCTGTATCAGCACAGTCAGCAATGATCATCAGATACGTGAAATAAATACAAAGACCAAAATTAACAATCCAAAAAGAAACTTGGATGAAACAGAGACCATGCAGAGAAAGAAGGAAACTTAAACCTCAATCTAAAATTCTCAGAGACAAAAGAAAATATTGCCTTCTTGATGAGGAATAATAAGAATAGTATATTATTTTAGAAAGAAATGAAAGGAACTTTCTGAGCATAAGAAAGAATTGTTGGAATAAAAAATGTGGAGGCAAAAATCTTAAACATAGAATAAAAAGAGGGTAAAGTTGAGAAAATCTTAAAGGAAATAGGACCAAAAAATAACACAGTGGAAAATAGGAGAGAAAAGGTTTTTTTAAATAGAGGATTGATTTGGATGGTCTGGCCTCTGACTAATAGGCATTCCAGAAAGAACACCAAGTAAACAGATGGAAGTAAAAATCAGATAATATAGAGAACTTTCCCAGAACTAAAGGCCATGAGTTTCCAAATTGAAATGGCCTACCAAGTGCTGAGAACAATAAATGAAAAACAAACCACACCAAAGCAAACCACTGTGAAATTTCTAAATATTAGGAATAAAAAGAAATCCTAAGAAATTTCAGACAGAAAAAACAGGCATATACCAAGAGTCAGGCATCAATAAGACACTGAATTTTTCAAAAGCACTCTGAAATGAAGATGCTGGAGCAATGCTAGCAGTATTCTAACTTTTTAAAATATTTTAATCTAAAATTCTATCAGCAGCAAAATCAAGTGTAAATGTACAATAAAAATATTTTCTGATGGCCAAGGTCTCAAAAATATTACCTCCCATGTAACACTATGTCAGAAAGCTACTGACACATGGCTTCACAAAAATAAGACAGTAAACAGAGACATGCAGAAAATGAGAAATATAGTTTCAGAAGAGCTGTGAAGAGACGTCTAAGAATAACAATAATGGGAATACCCAGATCTGTACCTATGCAGCAGGCCTGGAAATTCCCCCAGTTCAGATTACAATAGGAAAATGAAATACTCCAGAAGAAATATCACCAAGGAAAGAAGTGGAATCAATTTCCAAAACCATCTTCTCCTGAAGAATGTGGAAACTAATTAGTATAGGTACATAACACTAGACAGATTTATTTAGAGAAAGAGATAATTTAAACTCCAAGAAAAACAAAAAGCTGGTACAAGAAAGAAAGGTAGTCATGGTAAGCTGTGAGCAATATTTACATCAACCCAATAATGTAAATATTGAGTAATTTAAAAAATAATTATGACATAACTGCCTTGGGTGAATGAGGCTGGAGAGAAGTTGGTGTGTTTATGAGTTGTATTAGTCCATTCTTGCATTGCCATAAAAAAAACTAACTGAGACTGGGTAATTTATAAAGCAAAGAGGCTTAATTGGCTCACAGTTCTGTGGGTGTGCTGTACAAGTTTTGGTTTATGGGGAGGCCTCAAGAAATTTACTGTATTAGTCCATTTTTACGCTGCTGATAAAGACATACCTGAGTCTGGGCAATTTACAGAAGAATGAGATTTAATGGACTTACAGTGCCACGTGGCTGGGAAGGCATCACAATCATAGCAGAAGGTGAAAGGCACATCACACATGGTGGCAAACAAAAGAAAAGAGCTTGTGCAGGGAGACTCCCATTTTTAAAACCATCGGATCTTGTGAGACTTATTCACTATCATGAAAACAGCACAGAAAAGACCTGCCCTCATGAGTCAATTACCTTCCACCCAGTTCCTGCCACAACACATGGGAATTCAAGATGAGATTTGGGTGGAGACACAGCCAAATTACATCACTTACAATCAAGGTAGAAGCCAAAGAGGAAGGAGGCACCATCCTTACATGGCAGAACAGGAGAGAGAGAGAGAGGGAGGGGGAAGATGCCACATACTTTTAAACAACCAAGTCTCTGAGCACTCACTCACTATCACAAGAGCAGCACTGAAGGGGATATCTGCTCCCATGATTCAACCACCTCCCATGAGGCCCCTCCTCCAACACTGGGGATTACAACTTAACACGAGGTTTGGGTGGAGACACAGTGCCAAATCATATCATTCTGCCCAAGGCCCCTCCCAAATCTCACATCCTTCTCACATTTCAAAACACAATCATGCCTTTCCAACAGTACCCCAAAGTCTTAACTCATTTTAGAATTAACTGAAAAGTCCACAGTCCAAAATCTCATCTGAGACAAGATAAATCCCTTCCACCTATGAGCCTGTAAAATCAAAAACAAGTTAGTTACCTCCAAGATACAATGACGGTATATGCATTGGGTAAATAGTCTCTTTCCAAAAGGGAGAAATCGTCCAAAACAAAGGGACTTCAGGCCCCATGCAATTGTGAAACCCAGCAGGGCCGTAATTAAATCTTAAAGCTCAAAAAAAATCTCCTTTGACTCATGTCTCTCATCCAGATCACACTGATACAAAGTGTGGGTTTCCCAAGTCTTCAAGTAGCTCTGCTCCTGTGGCTATGCAAGGTACAGTCTCCATGGCTGCTTTCATGGGCTGGCATTGAGTGCCTGCAGCTTTACCAGGCACACACTGCAAGCTGTTGGTGGATCTACTATTCTGGGTTCTGGATGACAGTGGTCTTCTTCTCAAAGCTCCACTAGGTGGTGCCCCAGTAGGGACTCTGTGTGGGGGCTCCAGCCCCACATTTCCCCTCTGCACTGCCCTAGTAGGGATTCTTCATGAGGGCTCTGCCTCTGCAGCAGAATTCTGCTTGGACATACAGGCATTTCCATACATCCCCTGAAATCAAGGCAGAGGCTACCAAAACTCAACTCTTGTCCTCTGTGCACCCACAGGCTTAACACCGTGTGGAAGGCTTGGCAGATTCCAGCTTGTCCCCTCTGGAGCAGTGGCCTGAAATGTATCTGGGACACTTTAGCCAAAGCTGGAACAGCTGGGATGCAGGGAGCAGTGCCCCAAGGTTGCACCAGGCAGCAGGGCCCTGGGCCCAGCCCACAAAACCATTCTTTCCTCCTAGGCCTCTGGGCCTGTGATGGGAAAGGCTGCTGCAAAGCTCTCTGAAATCCCTTCCAGAAATTTTCCCCATTGTCTTGGCTATTAATATTCAGCTCCTCTTTACTTATGCAAATTTCTGCAGCTGTCTTGAATTCCTCCCCAGAAAATGGGTTATTCTTTCTACCACATGGCTGGGCTGCAAATTTTCCAAACTTTTATGGTCTGCTTTCTTTTTAAATATAAGTTCCAGTTTAGGTCATTTCTTGGCATATGCATACGATTATAGGATTTTCAAAGCAGCCAGGCCACATCGTGAACCCTTTGCTGCTTAGAAATTTCTTCCACCAGATACCATAAATCATCTCTCTCAAGGTCAAAGTTCCACAGATCTCTAGAACAGGGCGCAATTCTGCCATTTTTTTGTTTGTTTTATTTTTTTGTTTGTTTGTTTTTTCTTGCTAAAGAATAGCAAGAGTGACCTTTACTCCATTTCCCAATAAGTTCTTCATCTCTATCTGAAACTACCTCAGCCTGGACTTCACTGTCCCTATCACTATCCGCATTTTGGTCACAACCATTCAACAACTCTCTAGGAAGTTCCAAACTTTCTTACATCTTCCTGTCTTCTTCTGAGCCCTCTAAACTGTTCTAACCTCTGCCCATTACCTGGTTCCAAAGTCCCTTCCACATTTTCAGATTTCTTTATAGCAATACCCAATTTCTCTGGTACCAATTTTCTGTGTTAGTCTGTTCTCACACTGCTACCTGAGACTGGGCAATTTATAAAGAAAAGAAGTTTAATTGGCTCACAGGACTGCAGGCTGTACAGGTTTCTGCTTATGGGGAGGCCTCAGAAAACTTACAGTCATGGCAGATGGTGAAGAGGAAGGAGGCACTGTCCTCATATGATGAAACAGGAGAGAGAGGGAGAAACAGGGGAGGTGCCACACTTTTAAACAACCAATCTTCAAGCACTCACTCACTATCACAAGAGCAGCATTGAGGGGGAAATCTGTCTCCATGATCCAACCACCTCCCACCAGGCTCCTTCTCCAACACTGGGGATGACAATTCAACATGAGATTTGGGCGGGGACACAGAGCCAAGCCATATCATGAGTTATTTAAGGGATTTAAATTTTTATCTTTTATAAGAAAAGTCAATAATTATAATGAGAAGTAGCAGTATCATATTATTTAGAAATATAGAACTACATATTAAGGAATAAAGCTAAAATAAACAAAAACAGCTGTCTCTGGGGAATCTGACTTAGGACGGGAAGGTAGGAAACTGATATTTCTAATTCTTATCTACTATTTGACTTTTTATAATTCTGTATATGTATTGCTTTTGGTAACATATTTAAAAGGGAGAAGCAGGAAACCAGAATTTTATTGGAAACTCCCAAGTTTAATATGTGTTGAAAATTAATACAAAATTAACAGATAGAAAGGTAGGAGGACACCTCAGGGTTCAAACAACATACCTCCCTAACTAACCTCTCTATGCCAGACCAGGCATCTGGGCCACAGGAAGGTTTTGAAGGGTAGAAAAGTAATACTTATTGAGCAACTAGCGCATGCTAGCACCATTAGAGAAGATTTTCAGAGATCATTCTGCTTCATCTTCACCACGACCCTGAGGAGTAGAGAAATTATTTTACAGATGAAGGACTAAGTCTCTGAAGGATGAAGAACATAATTGCAAGCACTCGTTTATATTTCCAACTGTGAACTTCAGAGGACTGTGGACGGCATCTGACAACTGACAACTGATTCTCATCACACCTCAGATGTGTGGAGTCATTTTACATATGAGAAAATTGAGACTCACCAAGGTCAAGTGACTGACTTTGTTATACAATGAGTAAGCAGCAGAGCTGCAATGTGGCCCCAGCCTCCAATTACAACTCCCTACTCTGAGCCTTTGGGAGACACAAACTGTGTCTTCTCCCTGTTTGTACCCCCAGCACCTCATACACTGTGCATGGCACATAGGAAATGCTCGCTCAAAGTCTGTTGACTGAAGCAGGCAAGGCTCTGAAGGGGTCTCACCTAGTTCATTAGCCCATTAGCACAGGTTGATTCCAGTAGAATCAAGCTCCCAAACTTCCTCTTTCTAGGTGCCATGCATGTGACTTGTACAAGGGCTGTCTGGATGCAGCTTCTGCAAGGGAAGACCCTTTCTCCAGAACAAGAGAGAACCATTTAGTTCACCTTCAAGTGACCCAGAAAAAGTCAATTTACAGCTCTCCAGTCCAGGACTTAACACTGAAATGTCACACACTTAAATCACAGGACAAGAGCATTTTCACTCTCACGAAATAGCAAAATTAAATCTTTAATGCCAAAAATAAAATAAAACTGTGGAAACAATTTTGGAGCCCACAGAACTTTCAAAAATGTTATTAACAAACTGTGAAATCAGGGAGATAAAAATCAGACACCCTGAGGGGGAACAGCAGGGCCCCCAGTCCAACCTCCTCACCCTGAGTCATGGAGAGACCAGTTTCCACTCTGTGAGTCCAGGAAGCAGGGGGTATGGAGCTAATGCATGTCTCCTGCTCCACGCTGGCTCTTAGGGCAACACTTGGAACATGGGATGAGTAAATTCTCCAACATATGAAATTGTTGAGAAATTGGGTTCATTCTCGTAGTTTCCCTTGGCCGATTCAACACCTCTGGGCAGGAATCGGAATTACACAGCTTATCACTAGGGCTTCCACAATAATAAATTTAAAATTATTCCCAAGAAAGAAGTACTTGTTGTATGGATTAAGTACTGTAGAGCATTCACAAAGAGCAGGGTGGATTACAAAATATTTCCAAAAGTTCCTCTTTCTTGTCTAAGATCTTTGCAGTAATGGTGATGTTAGCAGGATTCTGTTCTGCTCTTAATCAGAAAAATTTGGAGTCAGTTAACTTTATTGCTCACAGAGATGCTTCCTAAGACTAGAGAGATGATGGAATAACATCTAGAGAAGTGTATCTACCCCTAACCATGTGGCAGGGTGGTTACCTATCTAAAGTCTCTTGCCAGGTTTAAGAGGACGAGCATGTGTGAGTATGAGGAGGCTATGGCCCTATGTCCAGGAAACACAGATCTAATACCACCCCCGACCCTCGGATCCTCAGAAAAAAAAACAACACCAAAGTCCCCAAGCAATAGAATAGGGATAAGAGAAAAGGGTACAATTCTACAGACATTCATAGCTTTCCTGTAACAGTCTTCCTTGTTCTCCTGACACTGGCTCACAGGAATTTCTGAAGAACCTACTGCAGGCCCTCTGGAATATCAAATTTTTCCAGCCCTGCTCTCTGAACACAAGTTGCACAAAACTGCAAGGGTAGTTCTATATTTCTAACCATAAGTATTAAACCAGGTGGCTACTAGGCCTCCTTAGGGCCAGCAGGGTGATTCACTTCCATTCCCACTTCTATTCCCACTTCTATTCCCACTTCTGTTAAAAGTCTATTAAAGACCAATAGATAAAGCACCACAAAAATGCACATTTTTTAACTCATTCATACTTGGCATGGGAATCTCTGATTTTAACCAACATTACAAGGGAAACACTTGGATCGTGGGGGCTGGTATATCTTAGAGAAAGTCATGCAAGCAAGACTGAACTGCCTATATACATCTTCACGAATGTTCTCTGTCAATCTTTGCTCAAGAATCCTTGAAATCATGCAGTATTTCCTGGAAAAATCTCTCTTTCCTCCTTACTCAAACTTGAGGTGATGTAACCATCCTGTGTTAGGGCAGAATTATCAGCTTTAGAAATAGTTTGTCTTACAGGGTTTTTGCATTTGGGAGAAGAGTGGTTGCTGTGCTTGCCTGGCTTTGAGGACTGTCAGTCCTTTCACTGTTCTGCAAATCGACAGTCCAAAAGTGCATTAATGCTTCAAATCAAAATTATCTCCATCATATTTTTTCATATTTGCCACCCCCAAAACATCTGAAATGCTGCTGAGTATACTTGACCTTTTCTGGTGCAATTCAAGCTCAATAAATAAAACTCCACCTCTGGAATCTTTCTATGCAAATGCAAGCTTTATAATAAAGGTTGTCTCTATATTGATGGTGGAATCAGATATGGCACAACTACCCTAAAAGAGAATCTGGGACTCTGTAGTGTAGTAAAAGCCTGCAAATAATTATATCTGAGGTCACCCTTCACTTCCAACAACTTATCCTGTGGTAATTAGGAGTGTTCCTAAAGATGCTTACGCCAGCAGTTTTTATGATGGGAAAAATTTGAAATCAATCCAAAGTTTCATTAATAAGACATTGTTTCAATTAATTATTAATCTTTGTATGATGCATGGATATATATTAAAGGTAATATCAGTAGGATTATCTAATGTACTGGTTACACAGTGAGAGACATAGAAAGAGTGAAGTTTCGGCCTGAATAACTTTAAAACATGAGAGTGCCACTTACTGAGTTAGGAAACGCTGGAGGAGGAGCAGCTATAGGGCTAATCAAAACGATGTTTGCCCGAGTTCATGATCATGATCCCAGTTTACACTCAGATGTGCTTACTGGCTCTGGGCCAGGCACAGCTGTACTATTTGACAGCTATATTCACTCATTTAATTATCAGAGTAATTCTTAGAGATAGATTACTATGATTGCACCTGGGATTATGATTTACTTTTTATATCTAAATATTCCAAATATCTAAATATTCATTTACAGTGAATATGTGTACCTTATATATAAAGGCAAGTTGAATGTGTGTGTGTGATCACCCCAGTGACAAATAATGATACATGTATCAATTTTAGTACTCACTGAGTCCCTAGTGATTGCTCAATCTAGGTTGCTATGAGATTCACAAGTGATCTTTTAGTTCAGCAGTTTTCAACTTTTTTTTTCCTGCCAGGCAAGATGAGTTCATATGCAAGACTCAGTCCCATGGAAACCCCCAGAGTAATACATAGTTCCCTGTACCCTAGTTGTAATTAAACCCCCTTTTCCTCTCACTTTTAAAAACACTGGACTTCAAATGAAAGAAATAAAAATATTAAAGGGATAACCTTGAATCTGCTCTAATTGTTTTCATGTGAAATTTTGCAACTAGATTACTTTATCTATTATACCTAATACATCTGAACACGTTATTCACAACACATCCCAAAAAAATGGAGACTCACCAGTGTGTCCTTACATCAAGCTGAGATCCTCTGGTTTAGATGATTGTATGAATCAGATTCCTAGATGGTACTCATTTTTTTTTAAGTTAGGATCTCACTCTGTCACCCAGGCTGGAGTGCAGTAGTGCAATCATAGCTCACTACAACCTCAAACTCCTAGGCTCAAGCAATCCTCATGCTTCAGCCTCCCAAAGCCTTGTGATTACAGGCATGAACCACTGCACCCAGCCTGATTTTCTTTTCAACATTTTATAAATGAGAGCTCTTATTTAGTTCTGTCTTTTCTCTCCAATCACTAGGCTTCAACCACAAGTTTGGCTGTTTTGTCCAACAATTTTCATCTATGTGAACACATGCAATGAAGTACAGAGAGCTGGAGTGATTATAGCTCCTTACACTAACTAAGGAGACATTTGAGACAGGGGTCCCCACTAACTACCATGATACTCTCCCTTCTAGAGACTTGCGCAACTCTACCTGCCATGAGAATAACAGATTTGCATGGAATTCTGACTGTGCTCTGTTGCTATCTGATATTTTCAGGGTACATAAGTGCAAGATGAAACAATCATATCCAATTTAAAATGAAAAATCAGACTGAGACCTCGGCTCATTATGCTCCTCCATTAATGCCTAGTAAGCTCCCTGATTCTGGAATTTCACCAAAAGCAGTCACATTCAATTACTATAACTCCAAAATAAATATCTATTTTTATTTTCTTTTGAGAATGTAGAGAGGAATCCCATCATAACACGACTCTTATTAAATAGAATTGGATACGCCTTGGATCAAATTGAGTCTCCTGAATCATGAACATTGGAAATGGAAAGGAATTAGAGATTACATCATCCAACACTGTCACTTAATAGATGAGGAAAAAGATTCTCAGAGAAATTGAGTGATCTGCCCAGGACCACACAGAAGTGAGGACCAGAACCCAGCTAACCTTACCCTGAGTACAGGGCTCTTTCCACCCACTAGACTATGTGACCTGCCACTGCCACTGCCACTGCTGATGGTCTCAGTTGGCCACACAATCATTCCCAGGAGAGGACTAGGGAAACATCAACCACAACTGTACCCTATGCCTCATGTCCCCCATAGCATCAGAGCTGGATTGTCAAGGACAGAAGAAAACCCACCCAGGCAGCAGAACTAACACCTAGTGCCTCGTGGCTGGGGATCACGCGGGCGTTCAGCTCTACCCTAGATTCCAAGCTAGATATTGTGAAAGGAAATTTGGAAGGACTAAAGAAAAAGAAAGAGAAGGCTAGCAAGAAAATAAATTGTGCTCATGGATGTGTAGAAAATTAAGGCGACATTAAGGAAATACAGGTAAGAAGCATTTAAGAATCAAGCCTTTGTCTTTTAAAAGTTACTTTCAATAACAACTGTATCAGAGAATTTCTCTCCTTATAAATATTTGCTCAATTTCTAAATAAAATAACATGTAAATCACAATTATTTTCTTGCCTTACACCTTCTCTTGCACCCCAGCTCCAATTTCTTCAACAGGCCAGCTAGTAAGAAAACCCCAGCTTGCATAGCAGTCAAGAGTCAAAAAGCTTATAATAGGAATGGTTTTAAAAATCTAAACTTGGCAGTGCTATCAGCTCTGCAGTAATCACGAGCAACATGTTATTACCTTTGAGAGTACATTTAGATGTGGAAATATCATTTAGACTTTATGCCAACCATATAGGATAGCATTTTCCTGCCTATAACTATTTACCACAAGCTAGTAACCAACCACTGACTTTTATATACACTGTAGAATACTATAAACAGGCTGGGTTTATCTAACAAAATGCTTTACCCTCTGTTTTGATGACAAGCATGACAGTTCCCAGGTAGCCACCCTTTGGAAAGCCTTCCTTTAGGGGTGACAAGTCAGACTGCCATGTCAGTTACAGTGGCAGGTCTGTCCTGGAGTTGCATTTTTGCAGGATTGTCCCTGCTGGCTCAAATTCCTGGTTAGCTATTCCTTGGACTTACTGATTCAGTAGGATCTGCAAATAATGCTAGTAGGTCATATGCAAATCACATCACAGAGAAAACTGCCCCTCTGTTTTAATTACTAATAATGATTGTAATTACTAATAATTACTAATAATGACCTTTCAGGGAACTGGTCAGGATCCTCTTCCTGAGGCTGCCATTTGCTGCACCATCTTGGACCATTCTTCCTCTCTAAGCCTCCATTCCCTCATCTGTAAAATAATGCAAGGAGTGAAGAGGATTGCTCCAGTTGTCTCAGGCTCTGACATTCTGCAGCTTGGTTTTGGGAAAAAGTTGAAGTAATTGAAAACAACTAGCTGTGAGAATATTACGAGAGACTCTCGTTGCAGGTCAGGGCAATCCCTTACTAATGATAACGCAGATGCTGCCTGAGCTAAGGCTAAGAGGTTGTTCATTTAGATGTTTGTATGAGGATCTGCAATTCTTTGCAGAAGCATTAACATTTAAGTGTACATTTCTGGGCTATCTTTCCCTTGCTGAGTCTTGAGAGTTTTACACATATTTAACCAAGAACTGGTGTACCTTCTCAACATGCACCCAGATTATGTTTAATTCCAGGACATATCACACAGTTGACATCCTCCTCAATGAGATTCAGAAAGTGTCAGTTGGCCAGATACAGATTTTATTAATGTAACCTAATTATTAATATCTCCTCACTGGAGTCCAGCTCTTTTACTGATTTGGAATCCTGATACTTCATAATTTCTCAAGCTCTGTTCACTATCTGCAGAGTCAGCTGCCTTCATCATTCTCAATTCACCAGGCCTGCTATTGTGAAAGTACCAGCTATGGCCTGTAACACTCCTCAACCCCAGCTTTCCAAATAAGCCTCCATAAAATATTACTGAAAGAAAAGGTAATGGCAATGATAAAATAGCTTGCAAAAGCTGCATTCCATCCATAATACTGGATTTCTGTGGATACTTTTATAGCAAAATAAAACCATGCCATATTTTATCAGGGAAATTGTGCCATATTTTAATTCTAAGTGTGTAGATTTATCTTGTGTGAAGCAACCCCAATATATTAAAATCTGGCAATATTAAGTTGGTAAATTCTAGAGTAGTTACTTAAAAATATTTTTAAATTACCAGTAAAGTTTTTGTAAAGTAACTAATTAATGGTTATTACTTTTTCCACAAACAGAAGAGTGAAATTAATTTAAGCCTCTGCCTGCACTGAGAGCCCCCAAAACAGATCTTAGTAATTTATACAAGTATCTTATAAAGTCTTATAGCTGATATGATCCAAGCACTATTTTAACTTGTACCGATATTAATTCCTTTAATCCTCAGAACAATCATGTGAGATAGATTGGTTAGCATCTCTCTGAGACACTGACAGATGAAGTGGTTTGCCAGAATCATCCTCTAGTTAAGTGAAAGGACTCAGATTTGCACCAAGGCACCCTGGCGCCACACTGCATCCTCCTAACCTCATGGCTAAGCTTACATTTTAAAATGATAAACTTGCTTAGTACATTTACAGGTGATATGATTTTTAATTTTTTTAATGTTAGTTTTAAAACCAAAGTACTTTAACTTAGCCCAGACTCACAGCCAGGTCTATGAGCAGTGCTTCCCATGAGTTTTGAACTAGAGGCATAAATTTGTCATGAGTCAATCAGTTGCAATGACAGAAACTCACATTGAAGCAAAACACAGACTTGTTGGAGATATCAAACTGAGATATTGGGGTGGAGTTGGCCTCAAGGACTACAAAGGACTCAAAAATTATCAAAACTCACTACTCGTAGTTCTCACATCTGACTTCCTTTGCCTCTTGGCCACATTCTCTTCTCTTCTTTTTTTTAAATATTTTGATTATACTTTAAGTTCTAGGGTACATGTGCACAATGTGCAGGTTTGTTACATATGTATACTTGTGTCATGTTGGTGTGCTGCACCCATCAACTCGTCATTTACATTAGATATATCTCCTAATGCTATCCCTCCCTACTCCCCACACCCCACAACAGGCCCCAGTGAGTGCTATCTGATCTTTGATAAACCTGACAAAAACAAGAAATGCGGAAAGGATTCCCTATTTAACAAATGGTGCTGGGAAAACTGGCTAGACATATGTAGAAAGCTGAAAATGGATCCCTTCCTTACATCTTATACAAAAATTAATTCAAGATGGATTAAAGACTTAAATGTTAGACCTAAAACCATAAAAAACCCTAGAAGAAAACCTAGGCAATACCATTCAGGACACAGGCATGGGCAAGGACTTCATGTGTAAAACATCAAAAGCAATGGCAACAAAAGCCAAAATTGACAAATGGGATCTAATTAAACTGAAGAGCTTCTGCAGAGCAAAAGAAACTACCATCAGAGTGAACAGGCAACCTACAGAATGGGAGAAAATTTTTGCAATCTCTTCTATTCTTTTACTGAAGATGGGAAATGAGATGAGAGGCTTGCATGAGGGAGAAACAAAAGAGCAGTTGCCCAGGTCCCCCAGGACTCATGAGCAGAATGATCACCCGTATTGTCTACTGCAGATTTCTACTACAGAGAAATCAATTCCTATCCAGTTTAAGCTGCTGATATTTGGGGCCTCTATGACCTACAGCCAAACCAAATCTTAACTAAGTCTAGAAATGAAGTAATATTTAAACGTGCCAGGATATAAGGAACCTAAGTGAGGGACCGGGGGATGCTCACTTGGTGAGAGAATGGAGAGATGAGAATTTGTTGTTGTGCTTTCATGGAGAGGACCACCCTGGGGCCAAGCACCATGCTGGGCATCTGGACACACTAACTTGTTTCATCCCCAGCATCAACTCTCTGAATTCTCCATAGCTATGACCATTTCACAACTGAAAGAATAGTCAGGTGACTTAAGTCTTTTTTCTAAGGTCACACAGCTAGGAAGAGAGAGAGGTAGGATTTGAGCCCACGTGGAGCTGTCTCTCTGCTATGCAGCCTGCCTCCTCGGCCTCCTGATCCAGGGGTTTTATTGTGTGTGAAAACATAATACAAAAGGTAGTTATTTCACCCACAGATTAAACACAGAAGACGCCTCAATACCAAGCTTGCCAATCCATTGAAAACATTCAACGTTTCAAGTTCCTTTACACCCAGCTTCAGGAATATGTGCATGGCATCTCTTAAGCTTCTCCTCCACTGCGGGCTGCTTTGCTGCAAGACAGTCCACTTGCCTTTGGGTTAGGGGAGAAGGCAGTTTCACTTTGGGAAATATCCTAACAGATAAATTAAATTCAGAGATGAAACCTTTCTTCCCTGACTGCAGAGCACATTAGCAACAGAGTCAAGCCCAGATCTTGTCGCCCCAGGTTTGCTTCCTTGTAAGACTTGCTTCCACTCCAAAAGTCCTCTCGCCCTGCAGAAATCTTGCAAGAGTTCAATGCCAGAGCTTGGTCAACCACTATTATGGAGCTGACAGATTCTTGGCTCTTCCAAGTTTTTTTTTTTCTTTTTTTTTTCAAATGAATAAGTAGGTCTAATTAGGTTTATCATAGGAACAAAAGTTCTTCTGGAAAGTTAATTCTTTAAAATGGTTGAAATGAAAAATAATACTTCTTCCCCACCCTTCAGAGTCCTCTCTGATTTAAGCAGATGAAAACACTAGCATTTCTAAACCCGAGGCTCTATTTGGGATGTGGAATATAAAGTGCCTTTTCTAGCCATTGTGACAGGAAAGGAATGTACAGGTTTCTCAAAAGAAGATTGCAGGACCCATGCTGATCTAATTTATGTATCTTCCTGCCAGGAAAAAAAAGAAAAAAAACCCTCATGGATGTGGCACTTATTCAATGATTATTTGATATTTTAGATATTCAGGGCATATTTGGAAATATTTTTAAATTGAATTTTAAAACTTCTATAAAGAGAAAATACACTCTTTTCAAGTCTTAACTTCTGGACAGCCACACTGGAAAGTACTCCTCACATGCAGAAAGAGATTAATGATTAGAAGACAACACACGGAAATGTGACAATTATTAAGTCCGTGAACCGATTATAATGTTAGTCAAGTATGACTCATGGGATTGTATCTGGCTTTGGGTTTGGGTGTTAGCAATAATCATTTGGAATAGCTCCTTTAGCAAACCAGTCACCTCATTTTGCTCTTTCTTTACCTCAAAGGAGAGGAACAATGAAAGAGGAGCCTTGCCTGGAGTGCATGAGCACACTCAAGCCAATGTGTGATCAATGGAGAGGTGGGGGTGTAGGGCACTAACTGAGGCTCTGGACAAAGGGAAAAAGTCCTTCGTGTCAGAAATCTGCTTTGTGGGAGCTGGGTGGTTTTTAAAGGACTTTGTGCAGAGCTTCTCAAATGTGAATCCACTTAGGAGACACAATATTTTAAAAACTTCTATAACAAAATAAATTATTTATTAATAAGCAAGCATATTAGTGTTTCATCAGTTCTAGGGATGGGTTCTGTTTATCTCAATATCCCACTGCTGTATTAGCTTCCTAGGGCAGTAATTGCCACAAATGTGGTAGCTTAGAACCATAGAAATGTATGCCCTTACAGTTCCAGGGGCCAGAAGTGTGAAGTGAAAGCGTCAGCAGGGTTGGTTCCTTCTGGAGGCTCTGAGGGAGGACCTACTCCCTCCAGCATCTGGTGGCTGCCCATAGTTCTTGGTGCTTCTGAGCTTGTAAATGCATCACTCCAACCTCTGCTTTCTTCTTCTCATGGCCTTCCTCTCTGTGTCTCTCTGTGTCTCTTCCTTTTCTCTTATGAGGACACCCATCAGTGAATTTAGGGCCCTTCCTCATCCAGGATGACTTGATCTCTAGATCCTTGCCTTAATCACAATGGCAAAAACTCTTACTCCAAATAAGGTCACCTTCACAATTCTGGTTTCACATTCTTTTGCGGGGGGTGGGGAATATTTAACCCACTACAGAAGCAATGATGTCAGTCCCTGGAAACTCCTGAGGTTCATCGTCTTGGCTTCATGTCTAAGCTCTCTCCTTTTCTCTTTTCTTTTGTTTCACTTTCTACTTCCCTTCCCCTCTAACACACGCAACACAGAGTTTGTAACTTGATTACTCCTGCTCCATTGCAGTACTTGACAAACTAAAGTAAGATATACACACCAATAAAAATAAACACTTTCACAGACGCTGGTTGAATTTAACTATCTTAATTTCATTTCAATGTGCACAATGTAGAACTAGGTTTAAAGTTCTTAAGCATAAAGTTCTTATGCAATCATAAAACAAAAACAAATCTATGAACTAAACACAATGAAAGTATAAAACCAATAAAATTTTAATTTATTCATTCCAAAAGGTTTTTATTGAGTATCTATTATGTACCGGATACTGTCGAAAGTGCTAGAGGTACAGTGATAAATAAAACAGACAAAAGTAGCTAACCACATGGATTACACTTACACACTTCAGTATATTGATAATTCTGAAAGAACCAGGTAATATTAACATGCCCAAACCAAACACAATTCACAAGGGACTCTATGAAACTAACTGCTACTAACCAACGTCATTTGAGTTCAGCCTATCTATGCCACCGTTTACCACATAATAACCCAATTCTACAACCTTTTGTCTGTATTCCAGTAACTGCAAACATTTCCTCCATATAATGAACTATAATATCATGTGGTACAATCACATCATTTACATATTAAACCCACCCTTTCCTTTTCTCATTAAGCTTCAACATTTTAACAATAGATCACTCGGCCACACCATCCCATTTTCTTGCAAACCAAATCAACAAGTCCATATATCAAATACTCAAGGAACCAAAATTTTGCTCTATGAAAGTTCCTTCTGAGAGCAAATTTCACTGCAAAGGAGAAATTGTGCCTTTGCAACTGATTTTTAAAATTTGACCTTCACACTCTGGTCTTTTTTTTTTTTTTTTTTTTTTTGCATGTCCTGGTTTATAGCTTCATCAGGATTCCCTATATTTCTAGAGTCTTAATTCCAAAAGCACACAAGGATGGAAAACACTGCTCCACCCCAATATTTCATATACTCATCCCCTTATTTTTTCTTTCCAGCATTTAGAAGAAACAATGGGATATGTAAAATATATTTGCCAAATTTCAACTTAACATTTTAGCACTTTTGCTTAGCTGTTACCTGCCAAAATAATGAATATCCCAGAAGCACCACAACTCAATCTTAGACAGAAAGCCAGAGACAAGGGGGTTGTAGGGAAAATGCTATTATTCTATAGTGACCATTTAGTCATTCACACCTCCTTGATACCCTATGCTGTCTGGACCCCTGAATCCCAGGCATCCACAGGAGCAAATGCACCAGAGCTCATCACTGTTACATAAAGAGTTTAAAATATGTATTTTAAAGTCATTTAGGACAATTTTGTTCTTTGAGCATTGCTAGTGTTCAGACTCCTGGGTAAACAGTCATCTGCTGAACAGTGGCAGCCAAGAACGGTTACTATGATTTTGACTTTAGGAGCAACCAACCCAGTGGCAACCAGGCGTGCCTAACAGCACATTAAACGTTAAATGCTGTCATTTTGGCAATTACGTGGTGCCAATTCTCAACTACAAATACAAAGAAAATACAGCATCTAAATCATACAGCAGGTTTAGTTACAATATGGTTTATTCAGATGATCAAAAAGAAAAGGCAGCCTTTTCAAAATCTTAGGGAGCACTTGCTGGGCCTTGAGAAGGTATCTATAGACCCTGATTGGGAAACACAGATCCACACACGTGTTAGACTTCCTTTGTCCATTCCTGGTGTCCTAGCCATGCCCTCTCTAGACCTCTTATCCTTGGCTCATGGTCACATCTCTCTTTGCCTTTGTCCCCATCTACTGCAACCCATCCCCTATGCAGTAGCCTGAGTGATTGCCCTCAGTTCAACCTACATTTTTTGAGACCTACCATGTACCAAATGCTATGTAAAGTTCTAGGGATACCAAAGTGACAGATATATGATTTCTGCATAGAGTTGACTCCTAAACAACACAAGTTTTAACTGCATGGGTCCATTTATACATGGATGTTTTTCAATAAAAGTTATACCGAGAGTGCCTGCCTCTCCTGTCTCCCCTCACACCTCCTCCATCTCCCCACCTCTGCCACCCCTGAGACAGCAAAATCAAAATAAAAAATTCTCCTACTCCTCAGTCTACTCAACATAAATGACGAGGATAAAGAAACTTACCATGATCCTCTCTCACCTGGTGAATAGTAAATATGTTTTCCCTTTCTTATGATTTTAATAACATTTTCTTTTCTTCAGCTTACTTTATCATAAGGATACAATATATAATACATATAACATACTAAATACTTGTTAATCCACTGTTCATGTTATTAGTAAGGCTTCCGGTCAACAGTAGGCTATTAGTAGTTCAGTTCTGGGGGAGTCAAAAGTTATCCATGAATTTTTTACTGTGTGTGGGGGTCACTACCCCTAACAATGGTGTTGTCCAAGGTTCAGCTGTATAAGGAACTCAGAAACATGTATTCTTAAGGGGTTCTCTTTTTCAACAAGTCATGATCTCCTTCCCTCCTTCAAAGTGTTCTTCAAAATGTTTACTTTACTCATAGTCTTCCCAGACTCCTCTCTTCAGAGCCTCCTCTCAAAAACACCTTCAGAACTCACCTAGCCATAAAGTAGACCTCACTCTCTCAGTGTTCACATTTAAGTTCATATTTTTATGCACACATTTTTCTCAATTTGTGCTCTCCTTTCTTCAGACTGTGAGCTCTTCCAAAATCAAAACTTTTATTCACAGCTTCATTCTTTAAATGAATATATCCTAGTACCAACCACTATGCCCCAGGAAGCAAACATCTTCTGTTCTTTGCCAACGAGAGTGAGTCCTTTGTTACCCGATTCAATCTGAAAAGCAACCTCAGACAGTTTCAAAGGGTGAAGTTCTTTGCTCCTTCAGCCTACAGCATTTGAGACAAGCACAGGTAAAACTTGAACCAGAGTCTGGAATTTCAGAAGCCAGCCAATCTACAGAGCTAGGCTGGGCCTTCTGTGCACCCTAACCACCAGGCTTCTTGATTTAAGTCAGCCCTACAGAGCCCCCTGCTCTCCCAGAGTCTGAATTGAGGATTCAGTGCACAGAAGTTTGTTTGCTTCCTTTCTGGGTTTTTTTTTTTTATTATACTTTAAGTTTTAGGGAACATGTGCACAACGTGCAGGTTTGTTACATATGTATACATGCGCCATGTTGGTGTGCTGCACCCATTAACTCGTCATTTACATTAGGTATATCTCCTAATGCTATCCCTCCCCTCTCCCCCCACCTCACTACAGGCGTTGGTGTGTGATGTTTCCCTTCCTGTGTCCAAGTGTTCTCATTGTTCAGTTCCCACCTATGAGTGAGAACATGCGGTGTTTGGTTTTCTGTCCTTGCAATAGTTTGTTGAGAATGATGGTTTCCAGCTTCATCCATGTCCCTACAAAGGATATGAACTCATCCTTTTTATGGCTGTATAGTATTCCATGGTGAATATGTGCCACATTTTCTTAATCCACTCTATTATTGATGGACATCTGGGTTGGTTCCAAGTTTTTGCTATTGTGAATAGTGCCACAATAAACATACATGTGCATGTGTCTTTATAGCAGCATGAATTATAATCCTTTGGGTATATACCCAGTAATGGGATGGCTGGGTCAAATGCTATTTCTAGTTCTAGATCCTTGAGGAAATGGAACACTGTCTTCCACAATGGTTGAACTAGTTCACAGTCCCACCAACAGTGTAAAACTATTCCTATTTCTCCACATCCTCTCCAGCACCTGTTGTTTCCTGACTTTTTAATGATCGCCATTCTAACTGGTGTGAGATCATATCCCTTTGTGGTTTTGATTTGCATTTCTCTGATGGCCAGTGATGAAGAGCATTTTTTCATGTGTCTGTTGCCTGCATAAATGTCTTCTTTTGAGAAGTGTCTGTTCATATCCTTTGCCCACTTTTTGATAGGATTGTTTGTTTTTTTCTTGTAAATTTGTTGGAGTTCATTGTAGATTCTGGATATTAGCCCTTTGTCAGATGAGTAGATTGCAAAAATCTTCTCCCATTCTGTAGTTTGCCTGTTCACTCTGATGGTAGTTTCTTTTGCTGTGCAGAAGCTCTTTAGTTTAATTAGATCCCATTTGTCAATTTTGGCTTTTGTTGCCATTGCCTTTGGTGTTTTAGACATGAAGTCCTTGCCCATGCCTATGTCCTGAATGGTATTGCCTAGGTTTTCTTCTAGGGTTTTTATTGTTTTATGTCTAACATTTAAGTCTTTAATCCATCTTGAATTAATTTTGGTATAAGGCGTAAGGAAGGGATCCAGTTTCAGCTTTCTACATATGGCTAGCCAGTTTTCCCAGCACCATTTGTTAAACAGGGAATCCTTTCCCCATTGTTTGTTTTTGTCAGGTTTGTCAAAGATCAGATGGTTGTAGATGTGTGGTATTATTTCTGAGGGCTCTGTTCTGTTCCATTGGTCAATATCTCTGTTTTGGTAACAGTACCATGCTGTTTTGGTTACTGCAGTCTTGTAGTATAGTTTGAAGTCAGGTAGCGTGATGCCTCCAGCTTTGTTCTTTTGGCTTAGGATTGACTTGGCAATGCGGGCTCTTTTTTGGTTCCATATGAACTTTAAAGCAGTTTTTTCCAATTCGTTGAAGAAAGTCATTGGTAGCTTGATGTGGATGGCATTGAATGTATAAATTACCTTGGGCCGTATGGCCATTTTCACCATATTGATTCTTCCTATCCATGAGCATGGAATGCTCTTCAATTTGTTTGCATCCTCTTTTATTTCATTGAGCAGTGGTTTGTAGTTCTCCTTGAAGAGGTCCTTCACATCCCTTGTAAGTTGGATTCCTAGGTATTTTATTCTCTTTGAAGCAATTGTGAATGGGAGTTCACTCATGATTTGGCTCTCTGTTTGTCTGTTACTGGTGCATAAGAATGCTTGTGATTTTTGCACATTGATTTTGCATCCTGAGACTTTGCTGAAGTTGCTTATCAGCTTAAGGAGATTTTGGGCTGAGATGATGGGGTGTTCTAAATATAGAATCATGTCATCTGCAAACAGGGACAATTTGACTTCCTCTTTTCCTAATTGAATATCCTTTATTTCTTTCTCCTGCCTGATTGCCCTGGCCAGAACTTCCAACACTATGTTGAATAGGAGTGGTGAGAGAGGGCATCCCTGTCTTGTGCCAGTTTTCAAAGGGAATGCTTCCAGTTTTTGCACATTCAGTATGATGTTGGCTATGGGTTTGTCATAAATAGCTATTATTATTTTGAGATACATCCCATCAATACCTAATTTATTGAGAGTTTTTAGCATGAAGTGCTGCTGAATTTTGTCAAAGGCCTTTTCTGCATCTATTGAGATAATCATGTGGTTTTTGTCTTTGGTTCTGTTTATATACTGGATTATGTTTACTGATTTGCATATGTTGAACCAGCCTTGCATCCCAGGGATGAAGCCCACTTGATCATGGTGGATAAGCTTTTTGATGTGCTGCTGGATTCGGTTTGCCAGTATTTTATTGAGGATTTTTACAGCGATGTTCATCAGGGATATTGGTCTAAAATTCTCTTTTTTGGTTGTGTCTCTGCCAGGCTTTGGTATCAGGATGATGCCGGCCTCATAAAATGAGTTAGAGAGGATTCCCTCTTTTTCCATTGATTGGAATAGTTTCAGAAGTTATGGTACCAGCTCCTCCTTGTACCTCTGGTAGAATTCAGCTTTGAATCCCTCTGGTCCTGGACATTTTTTGGTTGGTAGGCTATTAATTATTGCCTCAATTTCAGAGTCTGTTGTTGGTCTATTCAGGGATTCAACTTCTTCTTGGTTTAGTCTTGGGAGGTGTATATGTCAAGGAATTTATACATTTCTTCTAGATTTTCTAGTTTATTTGCATAGAGGTGTTTATAGTATATTCTGATGGTAGTTTGTATTTCTGTGGGATCAGTGGTGATATCCCCCTTATCATTTTTTATTGCATCTATTTGATTGTTCTCTCTTTTCTTCTTTATTAGTCTTGCTAGCAGTCTATCAATTTTGTTGATCTTTTCAAAAAACCAGCTCCTGGGTTCATTGATGTTTTGAAGGGTTTTTTGTGTCTCTATCTCCTTCAGTTCTGCTCTGATCTTAGTTATTTCTTGCCTTCTGCTAGCTTTTGAATGTGTTTGCTCTTGCTTCTCTAGCTCTTTCAATCGTGATGTTAGGGTGTCAATTTTAGATCTTTCCTGCTTTCTCTTGTGGGCATTTAGTGCTATAAATTTCCCTCTACACACTGCTTTAAGTGTGTCCCAGAGATTCTGGTATGTCATGTCTTTGTTCTCGTTGGTTTCAAAGAACATCTTTATTTCTGCCTTCATTTCGTTATGTACCCAGTAGTCATTCAGGAGCAGGTTGTTCAGTTTCCATATAGCTGAGTGGTTTTTAGTGAGTTTCTTAATCCTGAGTTCTAATTTGATTGCACTGTGGTCTGAGAGACAATTTATTACAATTTCTGTTCTTTTACATTTGCTAGACTCCCACACAATAATAATGGGAGACTTTAACACCCCACTGTCAACATTAGACAGATCAATGAGACAGAAAGTTAACAAGGATATCCAGGAATTAAACTCAGCTCTGCACCAAGCGGACCTAATAGACATCTACAGAACTCTCCACCCCAAATCAACAGAATATACATTTCTCTCAGCACCACATCACACTTATTCTAAAATTGTTTGCTTCCTTTCACAATTTGTTCAACATTCCCTAGGAGCCCCAACCTAAGTCACATCCTTCCTTAGTTCTGCTTGGCTCCTACTGTTCGCATTTTATCATCTAGTAGGAAAAACAGGCCAAGGTTTATATCATGACTGCCCGGGGTGATTCAAAAGATTTGTAACACTCATAATGTCCAGAAGACAAAGAAGTCAAGACCCGCCTGAATTGTGTAACAAAGTAATGCATAAAATAACCCATGAGCTTCTAGCAGCAGAATTTGCAATAACAGAGAGAGAGAGCAAACGAGATGTCGAAACACTTGCTTTAGTTCACTATATTCTAGAAATCATTCTCTAAGATTCTGTTGATGGAGCAGAAGCATTGCATACATTTACTTGCACACACATATGCACATACAATAATAGCAGCAAAAGCTCTTGTAAGAACTCTCCAGATAATAGCTCACTTAATCCTCATCATAACCCTATGAGGTAGGTATTATTATTACTTGCATTTTTGATAGACATGGAAATTTGTCACCAAGATCCCACTCCAAAAAAGGACTCACTTCTCAGTTGCAGGTAGCCTCCAGCTCCTTCAGGGTCTGTCTCAACTGCCTAGCTGTCCTGTCCAGAGTCATGTTCTTCAAACAGGAACTCTGTGTCAGCAGAATGAGTTGGGGAAAGACATACCTGGCCACTGCAGCCTGACCTGGGGTAACACCGATGGACAATATTCACTCCAGGACTCCCCACTGAGCTATTCCCTATATTGTCAGGCCTGAATCACTGAATTCTCGCTCGCCCAATTCCCTTCCTCCCTTTTCCTCTTACATGTCCTAATCTCTAATCAATGCCCTGCACACCAAACTCCACCTTATCATCTGCTTCCACACAGCTTAGCCTGGAACATGCATTTTACCCATGAAAGCATTGAAGAACAGGGTTACATAACCAGTAGTGTCAGGAGCCAGATTCTAACCAGGTAGTCTGGTTCCAGATTCCATACATTTCAGACATTTTGCTAATCTACCTTGCAATATGTGAGGGACTTTAGGTTCTTCTCCTCCAAAACTTCAATTAGCCTTAAACTCCTTTAGCTTCAGGGCTGTGAACAAGGACTGAGGACATCTCTACTGGCTCTTCCACTGTCTGTATTAAAGTTATTCCATTTGGATTGACTACCAGATAGCCTTGTGGGTTTTCTTTCAAGAGTCATCTCAGTGGCTCCACTAACACAGAGAAGATATGCTGCCACAGTTGTGAAACCAACTATTCACCGAATTAGAAAACCAAAGAATAATCAAGAACTAGCCTTTCAAAGATCACTCAATGAGCATCAATAAGGAATATACAAAAACAAAGTGAATGGCAGGTGTATGGGGAAGTTTTCAAAATACTATTACTTTCATTTTTTCCATCTTGGACAAAAGAGAAGTAAAAATTATATTCTATGTATTTAGGTCCAGAATAGGATATATTTATGTGTGTGAAAATACATTAGAGATTAACAAAATTTACTATAAAAATGGTTTTTCATTGGTGTTGCTAAATTTGCTTTTCTGAATAAACTAAAGCTTATTTTGAGCAGAGGTAGGGTGAGGGGGTCTAATTATTATTATCTCAATAATAACAATAGACAATAATAATAGACAAGAGACAATAATATTATTGTCTCAATATGTCTCTTATTGAGACAATAATAATTGGACTCCCTCGCTCTACCTCCACACAAAATAAGTCAATGAGAGCTAAGATACCACTTCCCATATGGCAGTCTTAGGGAAGAAAGACCCATGAAAAGCTGATCCCAGTAAAAATGAAAGGAATAAAGGGCAATTGCACTAAGGGCAGAAGCAGTCCTGGTAAAGGAACCCAGCCCTGCTTGTGGGGAGCTGCCACTGTGAGTGCAGTGGAGTGTCCCTGTGGTGTTCTGAGACCCACCTCAGATCCATTTACCTTCCCTCAGAGAAATAGAGCAACCACAAAATGGGCATCACCCAAGTTGTAGTCCAATAGGGGCCATGCATATTCCAATCAATCGCCTAACACATACATCCTAAAAAGAAACACCCAGACTGTAAGAACACTGAGAACTGGGACTAGGAAGAGACTAAGGGTATGTTTTGCAGGATGGGAGGGGACCGGGAGGAGTTGGGTCTGGTGTCACAATGCCATAATGCCCAGACAGCCATGAATACACTTATTTTCTCTTTCAGGGGCCTTGTGGCAAATGCCCCATATGATCATACCAGGTGACCGGGCTAAGGAGAACTGTTCACAGTCTGTGTCCTGATACACAAACTCCTCAGCTAACTCAGAGGAGATATGCTGCCACAGTTGTGAAGTCAACTACTCGCCCAATTAGAAAACCATGGAACAATCAGGAACTAATCTTTCCAAGATCACTCAATGAGGCTACAGTTGTCCTCCTTCTAAACTCTCATACGAATTCACCCTTGCCTCCCATCGGCCTTTTCTCCTTCTGCCTCCTCCTTCAGTTGTGTGTGTGTCCTCACTCTTCTGACAGTCTTTGAGGGCATATGGTTAGAATTCAATGAGTGAAAAATGAAAAATAACTGGTTTTTGTTTTTTTGTTTTTTTGTTTTTTTTGAGACTGAGCCTAGCTGTGTCACCAGGCTGGAGTGCAGTGGCACAATCTCGGCTCACTGCAACCTCCGCCTCCCAGATTCAAGCGATTCTCCTGCCTCAGCCTCCCAAGTAGCTGGGATTACAGGCACGCGCTGCCACACCCAGCTAATTTTTGTATTTTTAGCAGAGATGGGGTTTCACCATGTTGGCCAGGACCTCGTGATCCGCCCACCTCGCACTCCCAAAGTGCTGGGATTACAGGCGTGAGCCACCGCGACCGGCCAAAAAATAACTGTTTTCTAAGTTTTTTCTCATACCACTTCTAAGCTAGCTCTGGAGATAAAACAGAAGCGATATTCTAGAAACATATGGTGGCCATTTTTGCAATAGGTCTTAAAGTGGGACGTTGTCTTTATAAACAAAATGACCCCTTAAACACTTATGGTTCCTTTGAGGTTCAAATGAAGGTAATAAATGCCCCCAGGTGTGACTCTCGACAATAGGCCACGGGGATCATGAACGTCAGTACAGAGCCTGGATAATGCCTCTTTTGTTGTTTGGTATTGCCTGAATTACATTTATCAGTATTGTACGAAGTCCACACTAGATGTTCTGCATACATTGTCTCGTTTGACTCTCACCACTGCTGTGAATGCCACCGCTAGATTTCCCCACTCAGTCTGGCCTTCTGTCCAGCTCTCTGCCTGGGATTCCCTCCTCTCCACTTGTCTAGGTTAAAGCTTCAAGGCCCAACTCACATCTCCCTCTTCCATGTAGCTGTACCTACTTCTGCTCACCTTGAGTGATCTCTCCTGTGAAACTCCACAAGTCTTACATGCTATGGCACTAATTTGACACCTTGTCTTAGTCTCCTCCTTATCTACACGTCCTAACTCTCTAACTGAAATGAAGGCCTCTTTGGCACAGGAATCAGTGTCCTCCATATATATTCCTGCTTATCATATTTTTAGAAATTTAGCCAGGCATGGTGGCTCTCACCTGTAACCCCAGCTACTCTAGATGCTGAGGAGGGAGGATAGCTTGAGGCCAGGAGTTTGAGACCAGCCTGAGCAATATAGTGAGACTCCATCCCTAAAAAAAAAATTTGAATAGAAATTTAAGAAATACAATAAATCCAGAGAACAATAGTCATATCACTCAGAATTAACAACTGTCCCCATTTCAAATTATTGCTTCTAGACTCACCACCAACCCTTCCAATCCTCTCCTCATGGACCAGAAAGCCCTACTCTCATGAAGTTGATATGGCTTTTACAAAAACCTATATGTGATATGAACATTATATGGTTTTTTAAGTATGGAATTTAAATTTTGCACAGGGGGCATCATATTTTACTATTGTTCTGAATCTTGTTTCTTCCACTCAACATTATGACTTTTCCACTACTAATTAATTGCATTCTTAGGACACATACCGAACACCCAAAAAGGATTTTGATAATGATGACAATGGGGAAAGACACCAAGCAAGGAGTGTAGTTACAAATTCATTTGTAATGTTTTCATGAGCTTAAGAGCTCATAGCTAAATATATATTTTTTCATTCCAGGTTCTCAACTTCCTAGTTCTGAGATCTAAGGCAAGTCACCTCACTGGTCTGTCTCTCAGTTTTCTCAACTATAAAATGAAGGATAATACCAGTAGCTAATTTACGTAGTGAGAAGTAAATTAATTAATGCATTTCAAGGTCTTAGAATAGTGCCTGACACATAGAAAGCACTCAAATCATGATTATATTTAATAGTAATCATAATTAATATTATTATTATGAAACTAAATATATAAGCAGAAGAAAATTTGAGTGATACGAATTTTGAACCTGAAGAAAGTAGTTAAGAAAAAGGAAAATGCATTACATTATCAATAGTAATTAATTTTATCTTTAACATTTTCCCAGAAAGCCTGACTCTTAAAGCCAAGGCATTTTGCTTTTTTATTCAGTTAGCTTTAGGCCTGTGGCCAATCAGTTGTCAATCATTTTAACCTCTAAACCTAACTCCATAGAACAGAATATTCTCAGAGAAATATGAAAAGTGAATTTTTTGGCTGCAATTATACCACAGTTTCTCAGCCTGCACTTTACAGAGTTCTTAGCTGGTAAGGAGAAATCCCCTCTAAAACCACTGTGACAAAGTTATTTTAGAGCTTCAGTAGTTTTTCTTTCTTTAAGCCAGGCTTTTTTTTTTTTAATGTTACTTTTACACTCTCTCTATTTATTTATTTTGGCCTCGGTGGACTAGACCACAGCTAAAACTTTATGGACCTAATAAAATTCCCAACATTCTCAGACACGGGTCGTGATGTTTGTGCACTGGGTAGAAAACAAAGGTGCTTTATGAAGAGAATGGGCATGCTCAGAGATCAATGAACTGAGGTCAGGCATGCAGGATTGGGCTGCAGCTGAACTGTGGCACAGGCAGTGTAGGCCCTGGGTGTGTCCCTCACTTCCAAACTTCCTCTCCTCTATCTTCTTTTCCAGACAAGTGACACAGTGCTCTCATGCTGTCCCTAGATTACCAGAACCTCCTACCAGGATACTGCTGAGGGCTTGTCCTCCCCAGAATAAACTTTCCATCTTAACCTGCATGCACAGAACTTTCCATCTTAATCTCACATTCATGCCTTCAAAAATTATCTTTCTTGTGCTTCCCTCCCTCATAAGCTTTCTTTAGGTGAGAGCTGGTTAGTCTGATAAAGTCAGTTCATTTGTTTTCTCTACCTTGTAGGAAAGTCCTTTCAACAGAGGCTTTCTGGAGCCAACATCTCAGTCCAAAGCTGTGGTTCTATTGTTGAGGAAGTGGTTAGAGCTTACGGAAATCTTGAAATTATACCACATCAGAGGCTGTCTCATTTATCCACCTACAGGACTAGCCTCCAAAGCTTGCAGGTTATACAACACTGCGTTTCGCTGCAGCTGTGCACGAGCCATCAGACAGCATAATTTCATCTTGCATTTCATTATGTGCTTTATAATTTTTCAATACACTTTTTTCTCACTTGATCCTCATGATACCTCTTCCTTGTTAGGTAAAACAAATCTGTCTTCCAATTAGTTTTCTATTTCCTGTCCCAAACAGAAGGTCTCTTACCAAAACGACTGGATGATACTGTTCACTTAAGGGGCTACATTATATCAGCTGATAAACACAAACCTCAGTTAGATGAGTAAAGTGGGAAAGAAGTAAGCGGTGGTTCTTAGTCACTTGTAAGGGATTAATCATTTTAATAATTCAGGTAAGAATGACTATTCCTGAAAGAAAATTTCAATCCTCAAATAGTCAGTGAATATGGCCTTTCCATCTATTAAAATCTGAAAACTCGGTGGGAATATATTAAAAGATTTATTATGCCTTGAGCAAATAAACATTGCTGTCAATCTTCAGATAAGATTCAGAATGAGTTTTTTACCCCAAAAATATTTCATCTATGCACCTGCTATCAGGCATAATATTTTAAAAAATTATTTTTAACACTAACATCTTGCCATACTTCCTGCCCCTATATTTTGTCCCTTGGTCCTTATGTCTACACGAGTTTTTAATTTAGATTCTATTTCCAGCAGATGTTATACATTTTAGTGTTTGCTTTCTCTTTCATTAAAAAGGACATGTAATACATTTTATGGTTTTGACATAAAATTATCTAAATAAAGATGTTCAGAAATCCTGAATTGTTATTCCTTTTTAATGGTGTTTGTGTGTGTGTGCATGCATGCACATGCACAGTTTCTAGGAATAGGAGAACTATAGAGAAGAAAGCTGTGTTTCACAAATGCCAGAAGACAACAGGACTATCATCCACTAATTCCTAAAAAGGTAATAGAGACAAGCATTTCAAATCACAATAAAAATTGCTATTGCAGAGCATTTTTAATATTCAAAACCATTCCCTTAATGCTCACTATAAATATTAGCTCACTATTCTAACGAGTAACTCTCTGGGTAGTTTAAGTATGTAAAGATCTGCATTTAGCTGTATTAACACAAGTTTAACTATAGTTCTGTTTAACAGGCTACTAGCTCTTTAATAAAACTGACTTCATCCAAATTTTTCACGTTCCCTTCTGAGTAGAAACACTTCACCCAAATTATCAGTGCCCTCCAGTCCTTTCTCTTCCCTCACTTTTCCAAAAAGGAAAGATTTCAGTTAACACCCCTGTTAGCTTTAAGTCTATTTAAACATCCCCAAAATATGCAATGACCTCAGTTTCTATTTGAGAAATCCATAAGTTTGGGGAAAAAGGAAAGGACTCTTGAGCTCACCTGGTCGCTTGTTCATTTCCCAGCAAGGTTGATCTTGTTAACTGTAACAGAAATAGAAAAAAAGCATAAATGACAACAGAATCTCCATGGCACTTTAAACCTATAAAATTCTCAGAGTCTGGGAAATTGGCACACAGAGTTATTCTTGGCTTCTCACCTCTCTTGAGCAGAGAAGCTATTTTTTCATGCATTATGAGATACTTTATCCTGATTTTCTTGCTTTTCACTGGATGATCTCTAAGGTCTTCAATGATTATGGAATTCTGAGGTTTTACTCATCTTAGTACCCTGAGGGTTTAGCACAGCAACAAGAGCTGACACCCAATAAATATTAAATGCTTGAACTGAGTGAATGAATGAATACATAAATGAATGTCCAAAATTGGGATTAAACTAGGATTGCAGCTCCAGGAGACAAGAGGAGCAGGGTTAATGGACTAGTGCAAATACCTGAAGGAACATTTTCAAAACTGATGTCATTGGACATTGGACGGCCTATTAATGATATTAGAACTCTGGGATGATGAGTCAGCCTCAATTAATAAATATGTCTTGGAAATTGCACTAAGAGATTGAATTTCCTTAGCAAAGTATTGGTGCAGCATCTGAGCAAGTAGTGTGTAGTCTGTGAGACAAATAAGGGTGAAACTGGTCATCAAGAAATGCTGTGTTGAGACTTTCTGTTTTGCAACAGGAAAATTACAATTAACTGCCAACTCATCTCATCTAGCACCTGCACCAGAATCCCCTGAGCACCTAAAGATCACATTTTAGAAATTCACAACTCATACACAAACTTTTGGGATTACATCCTCACTCCAAAGTCAACTTTTCTCCTAAATATATTAGACGAACCAATTTCTCTCCCAAATACCCCCTACTAATTTGGTTAGTAGCAAGCAAAGGCTTTCCCACAGTAGGATCTAAGTCTTAAAATAAAAGAACTACCCACCCCCGTCCCAACTCCAAAAAAAGGCAAATGGTTGATAATAGATTCTTTCCTGAGGTTCCATAGACTGAGCATTAAGACGAGGACCCAAGGCCTGAGAGTTGTGAAAAGAAGTGTTGAAAGGAGAAAGCAAGAGAGTTGGGCACAAAGAAGGAGGCCGCTTACCTCTGAGCAAACCAGGAGTTATATTATCAGGACACCTCAATATTTGAGCACTCCTTCTTCTCCAAAGTTTTAGCAAATGATAGTCACAACCCACAGCCAGGAAACTAGACAAGAACCACTTGCTGGAGACTAAGCAAGAGCTTCCTCCCAAGTGTCTGCATCAAGACTCCAGCCCTAGTCTCACCGACAGCCACACCTCTCCCCAACTCCCAACTTTAGGCCTGTGACAAACAAGAAGGTGGAAGAGCTCAAGGTGTGAGAGCTCTCAAGAAAAACCAAAGTATTCCCCATAAGGTCTCCAGAGGACCTAAATTCCTCTCTTGTTGGCTCCACTTCCTGACACTCCTGGCTTCAGAAGTAAGCACTCCCAGGAGTGGGAAAGAGAGGCCCTTTTTCAGGCTAAGCCCCATGTCAGGAGATCGAGGACTCCACCTGCAGGCTTAATGTCTGTGAGACAGTCACACTCCCAGGGGCTTCACTACCCCTCAGATGCTTTCATTTGCTCACAAATAAAGCCACAAGTGAAAGATCAATGCTACTCTCAAACAAAGGAGGAAAATGTGTTTTTCAAATGGAGTTTGATGGTTGGCTTGATTTGAGAAAAACTGTTCCTGATTAGTTTATCTTGAAATTCTTAAATTTAAATTGAGCATTAATGGATTGGGGTAGAGGACAGCTTTATTTACATTTATGCTATAACCAATTTACTCTATACATTAAAAATTAATATGTTTTACCAAAAAAAGTTTCAAAACATATAGCAACATTTTTCCCTTGAGATAAATGCCCTCGTGTACATGAGTGTATCCAGCTAGCCCTATTTGGGTCAGTGCTTGGATATGAGTATTATCAGAGTGTTATTTGAGCTTTGTCTTCAAATATTTTAAAGCATCCATAGTCTGCCTTTAACAAAATACATATGAATAAACCCAAGATGATGAAAAAGGATTTATAGAATTTTAAAGGAGAAGAAGAAATCTATAAGGATTATTTAAAAACTGATTAAGTAGAGAAATAACAATTTTAAAAACTGATGAAGTTGAGAACAGTTATATAATTTCTAATTATGGAATTACATATACATAAAATCCTGAGACAACTAAACTTTTGACTTCTACAGAAAAGTTACCGTCTTTCAATACTGTTTTTACCTTTCTGTTTTCAGGTTAGCAAGACTGGAGCCTCCTAGGTTACCTCCCTTTGATTTTTCTGAGTTATGTGACAATCTCCAAACTTCCTTCCATCTCTCCTGCCTCACCACATTTCCATTCAGATACACTGTACTAACCAAAACCTTCCTCAAGAAAAAGTATATCACAACTTAAATAGATGGGGTAGCGGTGGGAAGAGAACTCACAAATGAATGCTGTACTAGTAGGTATTGTCACAAAATGGAAATCAGATTTCTTCCTCTAATTTCTCAATAAAACTTATTTAATATGCTATTCATTGTGTATTTGTTCATATTTCTGCCAATTACAATAGATATTTTATCTGGGAGATGGAAAAATTCAATAGGCTCATTGAGAAGACCACCCTCTCCTCATACATCTATATATATTTTTCCTTATTGCCACACTTACATAACTATTCATTACTCTAGCACACATTGTTTCCTATTTGCAATTACAAGTATACTTACGTAGAGCATTTCTGGATTTGTAATCCAATGGGCACACAGATCAATGTGGGGGAAAGATTAGGGGGAAGAAATGAACAGAGCCTCAGACACCTGGTAAACCTAATTGCATGCATGAATTATAGTCCCAGAAACAGGAGAATCAAGAAAAAATGGGGAGAAAACTACTTGAAAAAGTGATAGCCATACATTTTCCAAATTTGATGAAAGACATAAATTTACAGATCCCAGGTACTCCATGAAAACCAAGAAGGATAACCACATTGAGACACATCAGAGTCAGACTCGGAAGTTAGGAGTCAGAGTCAGAAGCCAAATATAAATAGTAAAGCTGGAAAGCAGCAAGAGAAAAATGGGGCATTATATATAGGGGGACAGTGCTTCAATTATGAGTCAACTCCTCACTATAAAACTATGAAGGCCAGAAGAGAGTGAGCAATATTTTTAAGTGATTTTTTAAAAAATACTGTCAATCCAGAAACCTATACCCCACAAAATATCCTTCAATAATGAGACAAAGTAAAGACATTTTAAGTTAAAAGAAACCAAGATAATTTTTCTAGAAAATTGGCAGAGAAAATTAGACTCCATACTACAAGGAATCTAAAGAAAGTTCTTCAGGCTGAATGGAAATGATACGAAATGGAAATTAAATACTCAAGAAGGAAGAAAGAGCAATAAAAATGATAATGGAAAATATTAAATCAAAACATTATAATAGACAACCATTTCAGGCTATGATTGATAAGCTTGTATCAAACTAACCTTCCCCCATTAAAAAATAAAACAAACAAACTTAAGAAAAGAAACACAGAAGGGTAAGCCAGACATTTGGTGCACATATGCCCTCAAGGCATTTGCTCATTCAGAAGTAATGGCTAAAACACTAAGAAGGTGAACAGGATTTTCAGAACTTTCACAGGGCTGGAGCCAAAAATGGAGTTCAAGATTGCATTACGTTGAACAGTGCTCCCCCCACAAAAATTCATGGTGGTGGGTGCCTGTACAGCTACTTGGGAGGCTGAGGCAGGAGAATCGCTTGAACCCAGGAGGCAGAGGTTGCAGTGAGCCAAGATCATGCCGCTGCACTCCAGCCTGGGCAACACAGTGAGACTCTGTCTCAAAAATATAAAATAAAATAATTCATGTCTACCTAGAACCTAAGAATGTTAACTTTTTGAAAATAGGGTCTTTACAGTTATAATTATTAGGTTGATGCAAAAGATACTTGCAGTTTTGGCCATTACTTATAAGGTGGGGCCCTGGTGGGAGATATTTAGGTCATGGGGGCAGATCCCTCATGAATGGCTTGGTGCTGTCCTTGTGATAGTGAGTGAGTTCTCATGAGATCTGGTTGTTTAAAAGACCTTTAAAAACTAAGACGAGGGCATAGTAGAGTAGGGTGGGCCCTAAATTCAATATGATTGGTATCCTTGTAAGAGAAGAGACATGAAGACAGACACTCAGGGCAGAAGGTCGTGTAACAATGGCAGCAGAGACTACAGTGATGCAGCTCCAAGCCAAGGAATGCCAAGGATTTCTGTGACCACCAGAAATTAGAAAGAGGCAAAGAATTCTTCTTCCCTGGAGCCTTCAGAGGGAGCATGACCATGCCAACACTTTGATTTTGGACTTCTAGCCTCTAGAACTGTGAAAGAATAAATTTCTGTTGTTCTAGGCCACCTTCGTGGTAAATATTTTATGGCAGCTAATATAGCTTGGATGTTTGTCCTCTCCAAATCTCATGTTGAAATGTAATCCCTAATGTTGGAGGTGGGGTCTGGTGGGAGGTGTTTGGGTCATGGGGGCAGATCCCTCATGCATGGCTTGGTGCTGTCCTTGTGATAATGAGTGAGTGAGTTCTCATGAGAGCTGGTTGTTTAAAAGTGTGTGGCACCTCCCCTTCTCTTTTGCTCCTGCTTTCATCACATGATATGCCTGCTCCTCCTTTATCTTCTGCCATGATTGTAAGCTTCCTGGGGCCCTCACCAGAAGCAGATGCCAGAGCCATGCTTGTACAGCCTGCTAAAACATCAGCCAATTAAACCTCTTTTCCTTATAAATTACCCAGGCTCAGGTATTTCTTTATAGCAATGCAAGAACAGCCTAACACAGAAGCCTTAGGAAACTACTATAAAGGTCAACCAAGGAGGAAGGATCTAAGAATCAGTGTGAATCATAAGTAGACCAGTCATCGCAAAGAATAAAACCTAGTTTCAAATCAGCTCAATCCTGAATTGAATTAAGGTGAATTCCCTGTAACCTAAATGCCTGTCAAAAGCAAACATAAACCCTCTTAGAAAAAACATAACATTATCTGTCCAAATTATCTCTATAATTTCTATACACATTACCTATAACTCAATTTAAAATCATCAAACATTGCCACAAACAAGGTCTCAGGGCACAGCTTTGTTCAAAAGAGTTTCTACCACTGGCCCTGGGCTTCTGAACTCCCCACATTGTTCTTGCTTGTCGCACCATTTTGGAAGTCATATTTTGCAATTGCTATCTAAGAATTGCCACATGTGGACTCCCAGAGTCCCAGGGTGTGCTCTGAATCTTCCCTCTCTGCCTCCTTTTTTTTTTGTTGAGATTAAGTCTTGCTCTGTCACCCAGGCTAGGGTGCAGTGGCACAATCTCAGCTCACTGCAACCTCCACCTCCCAGGTTCAAGAGATTCTTCCGCCTCAGCCTCCTGAGTAGCTGGGACTACAGGCATGCGCCACCCCGCCCAGCTAATTTTTGTATTTTTAGTGGAGACAGGGTTTCACCGTGTTGACCAGGCTGGCCTTGAACTCCTGACCTCATGTGATCCCAAAGTGCTGGGATTACAGGCATGAACCACCGCACCTGGCCTCTGCCTCCTTCAGCAAAAGAACTTGCTCTGCTTTATCTTGTCCCTTTCAGAGTGGAGACCTCTTGTTCAAAAGGAATATTTGCTGGACAGCTCTGAGAACTTCTAGCCCTTACTGCCCTTTGAAACCTCTGGTCTTACCTGAAGAACAACATGGGCTTCCTGTTCAGCTCTGCCTTTGGCAACACTTAAAAGAAATCTGGAATTTTCTTGGGTTTCTTTTTCCTCTCACTTTTGATTAAATATATTTTGAGGTTTTTTTTTTCTTGTTGTTTTTAGTTCTCCTATTGTTTGAGTATTTTCTAGAAAAAAGAGAAAATTTAGAACTAGACTTTTCAACTGCACCTGGAACTCTCCAAAACACAAAATTGTGTATTCAATATGATCTGTGCTAATACAAACATTATCTATTGAAAAATAAAAACAAAAAGAAATACAATAGAATGCTAAGAAATGATGATTGGCAGGTGATGCAATTGCAGTTTATTTCTTATTCTCTAATATTTTATGTCTCTCATGTCTTCCATAATATATGTATTATTTTATACTCATACAAATAAAGTGGTAATTATATTAAAGTATTATTTATAAATAAAAGTAAAATTTTAAAAATAAAAATGTAAGAGTAAGAAGGTATATGCTCAGTGCTGTAGAGGCCACAAAAGATGTATAAAAGAGTTCCTGTCATGAAGGATCATGGACTTTGGCAAGGTTAAGAAAAGGCAAGTAAATAATCATTTTAATATAAAGTAAATTTGAAAATGCCCTAAATCTCAAACAATAGGCCATGGGATTTTAGAGTAGAAGCTGGCACATTAATTTAGAATGATGAGGAAGAATTTCCACTGGGAGGGGCCACATAGATTTTGACTCAACAACATAGTGAGATGGAAGAGGGATGGGGAGAAAAAGTATGGTGATCAATCTAGCATAGCCCAAGATGTGGCGAGAAGAAAGCCCAGAATGTCAGAATGTGCTTGGTGACTGGTGATTGTCCAGTTTGACTTGAGAGAGAGACCATCGCAGGGAGATGAGGCTAGAAAGATGGACCTTGTGGCTTCCTTGAGTGCCAGGCTGAGACATCTGTACCTAAGTCATGAGGAATGGGAACTCCTTGGTGGTTTTTTGAGCAGAAATGAACACTAAAAGGGGCTATACTCAGGGAAGACTAATCTAGCTGTGGTGAATAGTAAGACTGTTAAGGACATTGTAGCAATGAAAAGACAAGAGGTAAGAATGGTGTCAGTGAACGTGAAAGAGGGGACTATTCATTCACGAAATAAATCTTTACTAACTATCTGTTTTGTCCCAGGTCCTGTGCTAAGTGCTAAGTCTACAGTGGTGAATGAAACGAATATAATCTCTGCTTGCTACATAGTGGAAAAGAGATAAATAATTACAAAATATCATTTTGGAAATAAAAACAACCAGCTGCTGCGTTACCACATAAAAAAGCTGCAGAAGGGGAGTGATCAGGGAAAGGCATCCCTGAAGTGATGATACAAGAGATGTAAAGATGAGGAGTTGGCTCTACAAAGACTGGGAGAAAAGGGTTCCTGGAAGAGCAGCCAGCACAGAAAAACTCTCAAGAAAGAAAGAGCTTAGTTCATTTGAGAAGCTAAAAGGAGGGCTATAAGGCTGAGCTATATTTACTGATGGGGTGAGGATAACGTTGGACAGTAAGGAGGTACCTGGTCATACAGGACTTTGTAGGACAAACTAAGGATAATGAGAATGGTACGCTAAGAAAGCATCCAGGCTGAACAGATGGCAGGAGTACAAGAAGCTCAAGGGAACAAAGGAATGATTAGAAAACTCTGGTGTCATTTTGAGCTCTCCAGGAAGCAAACACACCATCATGGAATCAGAAATGCAAGAGATCTGTTGCAGAGAAATCCCATGAAAAGGAAAGCAGAGATGAAGCAAGAGTAGTCAGGGAAATCCTTCAGACCATGACACAGATCTGACATCTGTGAAAGGAGAGGGGCAAATGAAGAAGGATTGAAAAGGAAGAGCCCGAGGTAGCAGTGCACCTGTGAGAGTCTCAGGCCAGTGCAGGAAGGCAGAGCAAAGCAGCCTGTGAGGGAGTCCCATGTAGGCAGCAATGATCGGTTTGCATGCTCTTCCTGAGCTCAGCCACTGGCTGGAGATGGCCCATGCAGAGCAGAGCTTCAGCATGAACACTGCCACGGATCCTGAAGGTACAGCAAATGCAGGCTGCCAGCTCACTACACTCCTTGCAGCAAGTTCTCACTTAAAGGGACATCTGAGCAGGGCACCTCCCAGGCTCTCGCATTTGGTAAATCTAAATGATCTCTTTGGGGAAGTTATAAAACTAAGTTCAACTAAAATTTCAAATAATAGTTAACAGAGAAGACAGGAAGAAGGAGTTTGGGTTAAAGCATGTTATGATTTGACCTTCTTTCAGAAGAGGATAGAGACGTGGATTAATGTTAGGTCACATGAAACATGCATATTGAAATTTTAAGGGTAACCTTTAAAAAGAATATAAAGTGTATGCATAACTTTTCAGATCAGTAAAAGGACCAGAGGAACAGAGAAAACTTGATCACCATAATCAAAGGTAAGAAAACAGGGAAAGAATTAAGGAAAGCAAAGTGAATAGAAAGCAAAGCGTAGCTCAGAGAAGCTACATGGAGGAAATAAAGTGGAAAAGTACAGGCATGATTATTTCCTGGTCTTTCATAGTAAGGCAAGCAATATCTTCTAAAATTGATAATTTATCTAGAAGGAGTTTAAGTATTTTATAAAGTTAAGCAATAGAACATATACAAATAGCGTAAAACAAAAAATGTGGAGGGTAAAAGTTGGGTAGTATAAGCAAGCTAATTATTCTTCTTTCATTGTAAGGAATAAATAAATGCTATCTAAGGTTAACATGTTAATTAGCAGAGGTATGAATATATTATTCAGAGTATTGGGGTTAAAGCATAAGAATTAAAAATACAAATGGTTAAAAGTAATTGAGTTTAAAGAACTACTGAGGATGGAGGAGTGGAGGTAAACTTTCACATTTATTTTTTGTACTTCTGCGTTTTAAAATTTTCTGCCAGTAGATGATGGGAGCAAAGAAAGAAGAGTGTTCATAGATGGCTCCATGCTGATAGGCCAAAGAATAGGTAGTACCTTTAGCAAAAACAGAAAAGCCAGAAGGAGTGGGTAGGAGATAGAAGAAGATATATTTCTGTCTCACTTGTTAAACCACTGTGTTCAAATTTCTGTTTATAAATCCATTCAGCAAAGAGCTCTTTAACTCATTGAATGCAGAGGCACAGGTTCACAAGCAGGCTAAGAGAGATGGAAGCTACAGAAAATTGGTTTGATTTTTATGATAAATAAATATTGCCTTGACAAAGTATTTGTTAAAAGGTTCTGGATTCCCAGCCCTTATTCGGTCAGGATCATTCCCACACAGGGCCTGTGGTTACCCTTCTTGCTCTGAGACTCAAAAGAAATTTCAGAAGGAAAAGATTGAGAAACCTGCTTTGAATTACAGCATAGCTAGGCAATATTTTTCTTAGCCAGTGGGTTTTTCTCTTTATTGTGCTTTGGAACACATTGGAAGAGGACATTGGAATGCTGGAAGGGAAGGAGGTCTCTCAAGTTCCCAGCTCTAAGTTTAATAACTTGAATATATTCTGGTTAAGTCATCTTCAATAACTTGTATCCATTTTGATTGTGATTTTTATTTTCTGTAAAGCTATTTTCCAAATTTTAAACTCCTCATAATAGCATGATCCTCAGAACAATGGATTTTGTTATTGTCAGTAAGCCTTCATCACCTCCAGGTTCCGACATCACTAAGTTGGAACCACAGATAAAAAATTATTCCACGGAACACTGAAATCTTGGGAAGGCTGTGATCTCTTTCTTTGGTGATTGTAGAAGGCATTTATTCAGAAGTCCTAGGTAAGTTCTGGGCCCTCGATTAATAAACAAATGGATGGGTGGGTAAAAAAGAATGAATTGAACATGGAAAACCACCCATCATGTACAAATGCTCAATGATGTTAATGAATAATGGATGAGCTGGCAGCTCACGCACCGCATGTTAGACCGAGTGCTATGGCATGAGCTCCATGACAGCAGAGACCTCTCCTGTTTATATCTGTGTCCCCAGAGCTTAAAACACTGTAGCTCAATCAACTAAAAAGCAAAATGAAAATGTGACTGTCAGTGGATATTTTAGGGGGCAAATGTTATGAAACAAAAATAAAACAAAACAAACATTCCACCTTAACTCACAAAAGGTTATTTTCCCATCTATCTGGAAAGCTCAGGTTAGATCTTTAATAAAAATCAAAACTTTTAAAAATTGGTTTTAAAAACCTTAAGAGGAAGGTCTGTGAACAGAGAGCAGTAATTGATTTCTTTTTTTTTCTAGCTTTATTGAGGTATAATTATACATAAAAATTGTGTATGTTTACAGTGTATAACTACATATATATATATATATATATATATATATATATATATATATATATACTGTGAAATGAGCACCACAATCAAGCTAAGTGATATATCCATCACCTCACATAGCTATTTTCTTTTTTGTTGTGCTGAGAACATTAAAGATCTACTCTTTTAGCAAATTGCAAGTATACAATACAGTATTATTAACTACAGTCGCCATGCTGAACATTAGCTCTCTAGAACTTACTCATCCTGAATAACTATGACTTTGACCAACATTTCCCCATTTTCCTCAGCCTAAATCCACCAACCACCATTTTACTTTCTATTTCTTTGAGTCTCTCTTTTTTAGATTTCACATATAAGTGAGATCACATGGCATTTGTTGTTATGTGCCCAGCTTATTCCACTTAACATAATGTCCTCCAGGTTCATACATGTTGTCACAAATGACAGGATTTCCTTCTTTTTTATGGCTGAATAATATTACATTGTGTATATATGCCACATTTTCTTTATCCAATCAACCTTCAATGGACACAGGTTGATTCCATATTTTGGCTGTTGTGAATAATTCTGCAATGAACACGTGAGTGGATATACCTCTTCAAGATATTGCTTTTATTTCTATTAAATATATACCCACTCTGATTTATAGTAACCAGTTTACCTCCAGTTCATACCACACTTCACCGAGGAAGACTCGTTGACTATCACATCCAGACTACTCTAATAAGAAGCATCATAAGACCCTGGAATAATTTGCCCAAAGAATCTTGGCTATTTTCTATCTGCTTTTGGTAATTTCTATAAAAAGTAATTCTGGAAGATGCCAAATTTTAACTTCTATGCAATTCTCATAATTCTATTTTCACTGTTCACTTTACAACAAAACAAGCCAAGGTGACCACACCACTCTCCAAAGGAAGAAGTTAAAACCCCTTCCCAATAGGATCTTGGATTAAACTTAAGACCTGGACTTTGAGAATGTTCAGCTCAGGGAAATCTGACAGTATATGTATCTCTCTGCTGGATTCCACATGTCAACATATACATTTTCCATACAGCTATGAGTATATTCTACCACTATATGCTTAAAATCTAGCACTGTTTTTATTGCTCAAGAAAACCAGAAGATATTTATCCTCACATGATAATGGCTTCAGGACACAGGGGGCATTGGTGATGACCTCCAAATGAAACACACCCAGTGCTCCACGGCCACCCTTCCCCAGCCCAGCCCTGATGTTTCCCAGAGCATCTTCTGGTTACACTAACTGACAGCAACTTCAGACTCGCACATGGAAACTTACTGTTGCAGTTAGACTTTATCATCCCGTTGTTTCTTCCTGTGTAATACAGATAATCAACCACATGAAAACAGGGGCTGTGCAGAGCAAATACTATCAGATGGTCCATCAAAACCTACACTCATCAACTCCAAGAAATATAGATCAGCCTGTATTTCATCAATCTAACCTCGCAAACCCAGCCAGTGGCTATATATCTGGATTTCTTCCTCAATTCACATTGCTTTTTTATTGCTGGTTTGGGCAGTTTTTTCCACTGGATAAGTATTTGTGCTTATATATATTTTTTAATTTGATGAAATTTCTTTGCATGAAGTCTGATTTTGTATTTCATCATCTAATTCTAAGATATCTTGCTTTATGAACTTGAACATGCTGCTTTTTAAGGGAAATTAAAAAATAACATTACCTACTATTTCCAGGGACTTTATAAATATTAACTTGTTTATACATTTAAAAAGCCTACATGATATTGTTGTCTCTATTACATAAATGAAGAGAATGAAAATAATAGAAGTTAAATAACTTGCTCAAAACATTACACCACTGGTAAGTGTTGTTACAGGAATGTGAATAGAGATCTATCTGGTACCAAAGCCATGGTCTTTCCACTCCACCACACTGCCCCATCACAGATCTGGTTACATTGGGAGAATAGGAAACATAACAAGCCTATGAAGTACTAAGTGTTATCATTAAATTAGAATTCCACATAATACTTATAACAGGAATAATCAGGGTTCTCCTTATATTTTCTCCTAAATGTGCACAAACACAACTGTCTCAATGTCCTCGGGATTAAATGAGAGTCTATTTGATTTAGTAAACTATTATTAGACATTATTAGATTACATAGAGAGATACTATTATTAGATTATGTAGAGAGACACTATTGTATATGTTCATTGGAACTGGGGTTAAAAGACCTTTGAAAAATCCAGCTTCTCCATTTGATATCTGTGTGAATTTGCACACATTACTGATTATTCAGAGTTCTCTTATTTGTAAAATTGTGTTTGACAGAGAAGGACAATGCTTTCCAGATATACCACTCCACCTCCCTGCAGTCAGGGTGAGACCATGTGACTAACTCGAGCTGGTGAAATCTGAAAGCACACGACTTGAATCTCTACAGGTCAAGGAAGGTACAAACCAGTGTATCTCCTCCAGCCCTCCCTCAGCTGAAGCAACCTCAGAGGCCACATGTGTCAGATGTTCTATTTGGTATAGCTGCAAGATCGAGGTGGTTCATCCAATTACCATCACACTTTTCCTGAGGGAGAAAGAAACCTCTGTTGTGTTAAACCACTGACATTATCAGGGTTTCCCTGCTATGGCAGCTACAGTTAACTAACCCAACTAGTGCATGGGGATAATAGTTTCTGTCATACTACTTTAGATTATTGTAAGACTAAAAGAAGAATATTGAAATAAATATTTGTTAACCTTATCTTTACATGGATCTATGTAAGCCTTTATATAAGCCTTTACATAGGCTTATGATTGTTATTACACACATTTTTAAAATCTGACTTTATTACTCTGAGTTTTTTATAGTGTAATGATAATGTAAAAATTGTTTTAATTATCTTAACAATTATTTGTAAAAGAAAGTATGCTTCTGACCTGCTTAATATGTTGTTTTAAGTAAAATAAATGTTTTCTTTACCTTGTGGACACTATTTTCTTGTTCAACAAGCTTCCACAGAAGATAGTATAAACACAAGCTTTAGCTCAATTCTTATTGAACTACTACAAATATGCATGATCTTCTTTCTTAATTAATGAGGCCTCAATGGAGTTTACTTCCTAGGGAATTGCTCTCTTTTTCCTGATCATGTAGACAGCAGAAGACGGGAGAATTGGCATGCCCAATGGTTTTCACGAGATTAACACCTACAGAATAAATGCCTTTCATGCATATTAACATGGTACAGGACCTGGCTTTCAATCCCACTAACTATTGGCCTTGTTTGAAACAATGCCAATTCATTCACTAGGTATCAGAAAAAACAAGCCATGGCAAGTGAATGATGTCATGTTCCCTTTCTCTCTGTCCTTACGTATTTTTACTTGAATTTAGTATTGAGAATAGAACTAAAGTCAGAGACCAAGGTACAACAATGACCTAAATTCATGCACAAAAAGATACTACTTAGAGCTACAAAAAGGGCTTGTCTGGAGTTTGGGGAGGAGGTTGCTGCATTGAGAAAGAAGATAAACACAAAGAGAGCGAAGATAAAATATACAAAAATAGGTAGCAAATATTCCCTGTGAGACTGGGTGTGGTGGCTCATGCCTGTAATGCCAGCACTTTGGAGGGCCAAGGCAGGCAGATTGCTTGAGCTCAGGAGTTTGAGACCAGCCTGGGCAACATACCAAAACCCTGTCTCTACAAAAAATACCAAAAAATTAGCTTCTCTTAAGAGGCTGAGGTGGGAAGATGGCTTGAACCCAGGAGGTCAAGGCTGCAGTGAGCCGTGATCATGCCACTGCACTCCAGCCTGGGTGACAAAGTGAGACACTGTCTCAAAAAAAAATAAAAATAAAAAAATATACACACACACACACACACACACACACACACATTTCCTGTGAAACTTCTCCTCTTAAAGCCTTCCTTGTTTCATTTTGAAGAGGCAGGAGGATTCCAATATGAGGCAACAGTCAGACACGAAATTTGCTTCTTTCTCATGTTTCAGTTATTGGTTCATATAATTGAGTAAATAAGGGAGACGACACACATATGACACTAAGTTGTTATTATACACACATGAAGTCCCAGAAAACACGCTAGATGCTTGCTTTCAATGACTCAGTTTTAAAACTATCAAGAGCCACAACAAATCACAATGAAAGGCAGCAGAACCAGTGAGAACTGAAGAGAAAAGAGCCATGGAGAAGGGTGAAGACAGGGCAGGGAAGAGAAGGGGAAGGAGAGCACGGCAGGGAAGGGGCAGAATCCGCCACAGCACAGGCTGGGCTCTGCCAGCACCGAGGTTGAGCCCCATTCACAGCAGAGTTAATAGGAAGGTAGGAAGATAAAAGCTTCTCTGAGAAACCATGTTTTCTCTCAACAAGAATATCTGAATTAGGAATAAAGACATTCTCTGCTTCCTAGACTATTTTGCAACTACAAAAAAAGAAGAAGAAGAAGCTTCTATAAGCCTGCCAGAAATCTAGCTGACAAAAGTTCAAGAGCTTTTTTTTTCTGAATTATTGTGCATACACAGTTTTTTTGGAAAAATAAAGCAATCCATTAAAATTAAAAGGGTTTTAAAATGTTGGCAGAAGAAACATTTCATTGTCGCAACAAAGAGAACGCTGTTGAGAAATGCTTTACAAAGTGGGAGCTAAGGCAGTTAAAAATTGATTTTCAAAGTGGTTTGATTTTGGTCTACGTCACAAGCCGGCCCTCACATCCCACTTCCTGCTTTCCAATGTTCAGGCCTGGCCAGAGAAGCCAGGTCTCCTAGGGTACGTTTGGTGCAGAGCTTGAAAGCTCAGGTTCTCTGGGCCATTAGCCTAGCAAGCAGCCTAGGGGCAGACAGCACCTACAGGGGAGGCTCATTCAGGGCTCATGTCTGATCCTGAACCGATAACCTTTGCCTTGTACCCAGAGCTGACCCCTCACATCCAGAAGCAGCTGGGGCTCCCTTCAGTAGCTCCTCCATAATACCGCTGGACAAATTTCAGCAGAAAACTCAGACACAGGAAAAGGATACAGCAGCTTAACCTGGATTTTAAAAATAACTGCCGTTTTAGGAGTGGGTACGTGTTCTACTAGCTAACAAAGTGGGAAGCTTCCATTGCGAAGCCCTCTTAGGCCACCTAATCCCTGAGGAATTTGTCTAGTTTTTCCTCTTCCTCCTTCAGATCCCTGTGCAATAGCCCAGCTTTGAATCTGAAATGAAGCCCACAAGCAAGAGCCCTCGCCCATCTTTGTATAAGAAGGTGATTGCTTAGTACACACAAAACCACTACAGCTGGCCCCCTGCTCAGCCCTGTCCTGCCCTGAAACATATCCAAGCCTAAACAGTGGACAGTGACACATGATACCATTGATTGATTGGCCTCTAATCACCTGCTGTCTTATTTCAGCCCAGTTATGGCCACATTCACAGCCATAAAGCAGCGATGGCAAATAGGTTTCCTCTTGTGGGACAATTCTAATTGTTAGCCTCTTACATCTAAAATTTGTGTTGAAAAGTGTTTTGAGGACATATCTGCACTCAGGGAAAAGCATAACAAATAGGGGGAAATATATCACTTCACTTGAAAATTAGGGGTTGCAATTTTGTGACGAAACATCAAACTAAAAGGGAGAAGCGGCAAACCAGTTGCAGGTGAAATGAAGGGAAGGCAAGGAGGAGATGGCTGGTGCAGGTTGTCACTTGGTACAGCTTTTCAGGAGGGAAATTTGACAACACACATGAAAAAGACTTAATGATGTTCTCTAACGCAATCCTTTTACCTTTAGGAGCTTATTCTAAAGAAATCACTATGAATGCACTCAAAGATTCGTCTACAAATATGTTCATCGGAGTGTTGTTTATCACAGCTGAAAATTAGAATCTACCTAAATGTTTAAAAAGAGAGTACTGACTAAATTATGCAGCATACATACAATAAAATACTATGCAATCTTTGAAACTATACTATAGAGAACTACTTAAAAGATATGGAAAATACAATATATTTTCATGAAAAAGCATTCAAAAATAGTATGCATAGTGTGATTCAAATTTATTTTAGAATATAAAGCTATATATGTATATATGCTCCAAAATTCTAGCTCTGAATATCCTAAATTTTCTACAATGATTAAGGGTCACTTTTGTGATAAGAAAGTAAATCTTACCTGTTTTAAAGACAATAATAGACAAGCTATAGAAGCCCTGAATATGAGCATCCCACTTTATTTCCCAAAACTGTAACTTAGGTGGCTGTAAAGTGGAAAATGTATACAAAATAAATAGAAAAATAGGTAAGTTATTCAATGTATGCTACTAAAAACCGTGGTGCTACTAAAAGCCGGGCGTGGTGGTGGGCACCTGTAATCCCAACTACTCAGGAGACTGAGGCAGGAGGATCACTTGAACCCCGGAGGCGGAGGTTGCAGTGAGCCGAGATCACGCCATTGCACTCCAGCCTGGGCGACAGAGCAAGACTCCATCTCAAAAAAAAAAAAAAAAAAAAAAAAAAGAAGCCTGAAAGTATCCCAGAAGCATATCCAGGCTCCAGCTGGCTGTCTCAGCACACATAAGCAGTTAAATGGAACAAGACCAGTTTCATCGGTGTCAGAATTAATCTTTTTTTTTTTTCTGGTGCTTAACTGTCTGAAATAACCACCATAACATACTTAGAATAATGACTTTATCAGGATCACTGCTAAGTGACTTAATAAAAAATAAATTGTCCATAACTGAAGGACTCTGAGTACACATTGCTAAGAAGTGGTTATGCAATCACTCAAATGTGAACTGCAAGGTTTTCCTTGAGAAGACTGTCCTGCCTTTTTTAAACAAGTGAAATTACATCATACAATCTAACAGACTAATGGCATTGCTCACTATATAAGATGGGGAATTTGCATTCCATCTTGAGCACCACTGAGCCCTAGGCTGCTTGGTGGCATGCAGTTCCTACCTCAGCCCCAGCGGTGTGATTTCTAAACTGTGGCAAATAATTCTTGGTCACCTACTTATTCTGCCCCTGAAAGATTAATATGGTTGAGATCATGTCTGAAAAAATGTTATTTGGAAATCTATCAGTACTGGGTGCCTTTTTATCAATCAGAAAATTCTCTTTTCCTCTTGTTGTAGTTTGTACAGTAAGTTCAATCAACAAAATTCTTCTTCTAGTTTACTATTATCTCATTTTCCAGGAAGATTTAACCCTTAAGTAATTGATGCAAGTGTATTTGTACATACCTATTAAAAGTTGTATTGAGTCTACTTATGAAAAAGCATGAGCTAGCTTAACCTAAATTTTCCCATAAAGGGGGAAAAACAGGCACATTGATTTAAGATCAGATTCCTACTAGATTATCTGCAAGTGAATGGCTAGTGTATGACCTGCAGTTAAAGTGAACAGTCATTTTTCTAATTAAAATATCCAGATATCCAAAATGAAAGGTAAATTAAAGAGGGAAGAGACTTCTAGTCCCACAATCCCAATTAGCAGAAAAAAAATAGAATTTCCAGACTTAAAGAACTACAAGAATCTTAATTTTGAGAATGGGGAATTTGAAAGTCAAATAAATGAAGTTAGCTTTGTGGGCTACCAATTTATTCTTGGCAAAATAAAATGTCTTGAGTGACCCATCCACAACAGATTTCTTAAAGCTGACATTTTATCTGAAATGGGGTGTTCTAGAAGAGAAGAGAGAATTGTTACCCCAAACCCTGAGACATGATATTGGGTATCCCTACAGGGAAGGACCTCCAACAGCCCAAAAGTACCTATCTCTCCTTCCAAAGACCCTGAATGCACTACCGAGTATCTTCAGGATGATGCTCCTGCAGCCCTGCCAATATATTCACTTCCAATGTCTTTATTGGAAGGGGGCTCTTCTGGTCACAAGTTTGTTGAATGCATCCAGTGATATTATTTATGCTTAATGCCAGACTGCCTGGAATCAACAGCTTAAGTGCTGCAACACGGTACAGATCATAATATTCGGGAGCAGAGGTGCTACCTGGAATCTAAACCAAACCTAAACCCTTTATTTTACTTCTATGCCAGGCGCCAGCTCATACTACTCAGACATTTAAATGCTTTTTTTCCATAATAACACATACGACAGGATTTTCATGCTTGTGTCCATGTGTACATTTACTGTCATCTTATAAGAGAGAAGTCTACTTGTATATATATTTATACTTGGCTTCTTGATTGCCAAATCTAGAAGCAAATCTGTATACATGGCATATAATTCAGCCTGTAATCATTTCTAAAGCTAAATTCAGCTTTAGCTCCATTGGTTGCCTTGTAGTCGTGCTTTTGTTTTGTTTTAAAATAGCACTGATAATTTTTAAATATCTGATATTAGTGTTTCATGAAACTGTTTTCCCTAACCTTCCTTAAAAACATGAATTTCAAGGGTAACAGACAAAAATAATAGAATTTATGCACAACAAACAGAAAAGCATGTGAGTATGTGTTTTTGTGTGTAAGTGGGTGGGTAAGTGAGAAAGAGAGAGAGAGAAAGCTACAGGGTAGAGAAACGCCCTCAGACAAATATCTCAGCCTAGTGCTTGCTCCGAAAGATATCACTTGAAGAACTTACTGAGCAGTTTGTCATATGTTTCTGTAGGTAAACAATGGAATTCTACTGCTGCTATGGAAAAATACCTGAGTCCATGTGGCTTGGTTTTCATAGAAAATAATAAACAGGGCTTCTCCTCAAAGGAGCATCAAAAAGAACATGAAGAAACATTCAATTCTCCTTCTATAAGATAAATCCCTATGAAAGCGATAGTTCAGCTTGCCGATGCTGCCGCTTGTGCTGGTTCAGAAACTGCCATCACTTCAGCAGACGGCCAGCCCTTCCTAAAAGGGAATAAATCAGAAGGCATAGGTCTTTTCTCTTTGGCAGCCTGACCCTTGACCCCCTTTCCTTCTCCCAGGCAGAGGTCTTTTAAAATTTCTTTTCATTTTTGTTCTGGATCACTGCCTCCATTTGTTCTGACTCCAGAGTGGCTGAGCTTGTCGCCAAATCCAAAGGCTCCAAGAGAAAGCCTGAAGTTTCTCTAGCCTTAGAGGATTTCCCCACAGGCATCTCTTTGTAAAGAGATCAACACTTCAAAATTATGGTAATTGCTAGCCCTGTTGCTAGACATTGTTATCGGATGCCTTAACAAAGAAGAAACATGTTAACATAGCACAAGTTTGTTTTTCTTAATATTTCAATAATTCCCTTCCAACATGTCTTGTTTTTTTTTTCAATTTATGTAGTTTATCGTATGCATTTTAAAAGATCGTTCTAAAAGGGTCTGCTCGACTGCCAAAGAGGTCCATGCCACACAAAAGCAAGAAACCCTGGCAGTGAAAGATTTCTGACCAGAGTTTGCTCATGGTTTAAATGGAGGCTGATATGGTTGGAAAAATCTATTGTTTTACTTAATCTCTTTTTCTGCAAGTCGTTTTCAATATTGTCCAATGGATGTTCCATTTTATATTCAAATATGAAACTTCCATCTTTTTCTGGTGAGATACAGAAACAAAAGCAGATGTTTGCTTCCTGAGTTTGGATTAAGAAGTAGGTTTCTTAAAGCAAGTGCTTCAAGATGCACCTGAGAAGTACCCCCATCACCCTTGCTGCCACTTTAAACATGGCATGCTTTCTCTGTTCCTCCCGGTTTAGAGGTTACAGCTAGGTGTCCTCATGGTCTTCTGAGCTCTCCTATTCTGCACAGTATCACACAAAGATGGGCTAGATCCCCTCTGAGAGGGGAACAGACATGTCTTCATTTACTGGGACAGGCTTCAGTTAAGCCATGCTGCTAAACTTCATGGTAACTTCTAGGTTAAATTAACTGTTTACTACCTTCCTTTTACAGGCTTATAAATATGGTCAGTATGGATTTTTTCCCACAACACTTGACTACAGGAAATTTCCGATTCATTTGTTTTTCTAAATCAAATTAAATCTGCTCTAAGCTCTTACCCAAAGAGCCTAGTGACAAACTGGGCGCTCAGTATTAAGAATCCCTCCCCACCCTCAAAAGAATCACACTCAAATATGGGGCGCTAAGGAATCATACTCAAATATGGGGTGCTCTTAGTGCCAGCAAACTCTGAGCAAGGTGTCAGTTTTAGGGTTGCCATCATTCCCACTGTTCCTTCCCCTAGCTGATGCGCCTTGGCTCCCAGGAAGCCCAGAGATTGCCCCTCAGCGGGCATTCCTCTGACCATAGCCTCGACCTCAGAGAGCCTCACCACTGAGGCTGAAGGGCACAAACTACCCCATTGTCAGGCCTCTCATGCCCCCACAGACAGGCTGCTGCACAAACACAGACAGCCTCCAACCCAATCGATCCACACTCTCCTCTCAGAAAATCTACCCTCCGTGCAGTGTGCCTGCTATGACCTCTGCCTCCTAAAGTACCATCGTCCACCCTCTCCCCCCAGCAGAAGAGCCAAAGATATCCTCTCGGTGAACCCAGGCTTTCAAAAACCAGTGATGAGGTGGGTGGTTGCCTTTTGGGTGACTGGAAATTTCTCCTTTTAGCCTGTAACCCCAAGGCCCCTGAGCTATGGGAACATAAATGCCTGGCTACATTACGTGGATAAAAGTAAAACCCTACAGCAATAGAAATGAAACCCAAATTAATATTCCAATATGCAGATAGCTTGCATACGAAAGAAAGCACACAGGCTAGAGATGCATTTCTAGAGAAGATTAATTAGGTATGAATGTTTAGCTATAGAGATAGAGCTATCGTAGGTACAAATTGTAAATTATATTTTGGATTTGAATTGATTCATTATCTGTTAAGCATGTACACACACACACACACACACACACACACACACACAAAATACACTTTGGTTTTTACCAGTCTCAGAGTAGAGACCCAGTGAAATCCAGTTAGCAGACAAAGGTTACCATTATTTCGAATGAAGCATCTTGGAGAGGCTATGCAGCCAATGACGCATCTGGACATCATACTAGGTAACACAACAATTGTTTAAAGATAGCAACAACAACAAACCTCATCATGCCCATTCACGGATCTCTACTATTCTAATCAGGCCATGATGAATTTCTAACTGCATTCCCACTCACAGACGAAAAATATTTCCACTCTATGGTCATTACTCACTCTTAAAAGATTAACAAAAACGAATACCCACCACAGTTATGAATGTAATTCACTGGAAGAATGGTTTGAGAAAGCTAGCCACACTGGAAGATATTACTTTTTAAATTAATGACAGAACTGAAGATTATTTTCAGATTTGGTCAGCATTTTTGAGAAGTAATGTTTAGCCGGGGTGGGAAAAATTCAGATTAATATAAAGTGTTTGCATGTTATGAGGCAGGATAAGCTCAACCCAAGGCTGGGACTTATTATTCAGCCTCTCACCAACCGCTTTACTAGCCAAAAGGGACACACAAGGTCAGACTATGCTGTAAAACTTGGGGGATTAATAGAACTGCTACATTAAGGTCCCAGTTACATAGACTCATCACAAATAAGAGCTACTAATAACAGCTAACCTTCACTGAGTGCTGACTACACCAAGCCACTGGGAAAAGCACTTTATATATACTATTGCATTTATGCCACATAACCACCCAATAAAGGAGGTATTATTATTATGGGGGTTGTTGTTATTAATCCCACTTTACAAATGAGGATATTTAGGTACAGAGAGATTGAGTAATTTCCCAGTGGATACACAGCTGGTACATAGTGGATTCAGGATTAGATTCTAGAGTATATGTCTAAGAGCCTATTCATTTTAACCACCATTCAATGCTGTGGCAAGGATGAAAAATGCACCCACTTACACATACTCGCTTGAAACTCCTCACAGATATACACAAGCATACATTTGTGTAATGTTATGCATCACTTTTCACAGGCTTTATACTTAATCTTTGCCTAGTAATAGGTCGGTGAGTTCATTATCATAGTTCATTCTCACCTAGTGACAATGACAGCTAACCTTTATATAGCATTATATGCCAGCCTCTGCTCTAATACTTCACATGTATTCATTCATTGAATTTTTTTTTTTTTTGAGACAGAGTCTCACTCTGTTACCCAGGCTGGAGTGCAGTTGTGCCATCTCAGCTCACTGCAGCCTTCACCTCTCAGGTTCAAACGATTCTCATGCCTCAGCCTCCCAAGTTGCTGGGATTACAGGCGCAGGCCACCACATCTGGCTAATTTTTGTATTTTTAGTAGAGACAGGGTCTTACTATGTTACCCAGGATGGTCTCGAATTCCTGAGCTCATGATCTGCCCACCTTGGCCTCCCAAAATGCTGGGATTAAAGGTGTGAGCCACTGTGCCCAGCCTGAATTCTTAAAGCAATCTTATGAGGCACTTATTATCATCCCCATTTCACATATAAGGAAATTGAGGCATAGAGAGGCTAAATGACTTGTCCAAGGTCATACAGCTAGAAAGTAGCAGAGACAGAATTTGAAGCCACTAGGTTATACCACGAACCTGAGGAAACAGGCACTATTATGCCTGTTTTATAGTTGCAGAAGCAAATTCGATAAGATTGGAGGTGACTTGTCTCAAAAAGGTACTGTCAATTTATTATTAGTTTTAGAAAGTTACAGAACATTTAATAAAATAACATTCCATTCTGTAAATGTGTGTGTGTGTGTGTTCTCTGTGTTTGTAGTAGGACTAAATAGTGGCTACATGTGTATGTGAATACATGCAAACATCTCCATACATATTCTCACAAAACCCTGGCTTTCTCTCCACTCTGTGTCCCATCTCACGCTGTGCTGCTACTAAACCTTGGCCATTCTTTAAAGACTGGCTCAAAATTCTCTTCTTCACAGAAGCTGTGCCTGGCTATATAAGCTCCCCAAGTTCCATTCCTAACCCCACAAAGAAAAATCATCACTGTGTCACATGTATTTGAGCAGTGCTATCAACCTAACCAAAAGGTCTTTGAGAGGAGGGCCTTAAATGTTTTTTAGACACTCACTTTCATCCCCTGCACACTCCCGCAAAGCCTGTCTGGCACATACAGTGCTAGGGCCATAGAAGAGAGCTGTAAGACCCTGATAATGCATTACTGATTTCAGGTAGGCTTGCCAATAGTACCAAGTATAAAATTCAGTCAGTCAGTCAGTGATTTGACAAGCAGAGAACCAAAAAAGCCCTGCCTCATGAGTGTATAATAATTCCAGTGAAGGAAACATATAAGAAAATAAACAAGTAAATGTATCTCATGAATGATGATGACAGGATTGGGGGAAAACACACAGTAAAGAGGATAGGGAGATGAGGGAGGTAGATGTATATATATACACATATATATAAACATATATAAACCATATATAGAATATATAGTTTATAAATATATAAACTATATGTAAATATATAAGCTATATATTCTATATATATTCTATATATAAGTTTATATATATGTGTATATATATACATATACATATAGTAGTCAGAGAGGGCATTTCTCGCAACATTGAGCAAAGATCTGAAGGAAGTCGAGGCATGAGACATGCAGATCAAATATGTTCTTACCTGCAAAGTGCTTAGAACAGACTTGGCCCACAGTTAGCACAGTACAAGTGCTATCTCTCCTTATGGGGAAAGCGTCCCAGAAAGACGGGTTAGCAGGTACAAGGGCCCCAAGGTGGGAGCATGCTCATATCTTTAAGAAATTGCAGGGCAATCAGCATGGCTGGTGCTGAGTGAATGAGGATGAAGTAAGGGAAGTGATGTGTTCACAGAGGTAATGGATTCAGGGGAGGGAGGAGCAGATTCTAGTTGTTGACTTCTTCTTCTAGTCCTTCTAGAGTAAGGACTCTGGCTTTTACTCTAACCGAGAAAGAGAGCTGTTGGAGAGACCTAAGGCAAGCAGTTATATGATTGACTTATATTTCTAAAGGCTCACTCTGCTTGCTATACAGAGGCTAAAATGAAGGACTAATAAAGGCAAGGACTGAAGCAGGGAAATGTGTTGGGTGCCAATAGCAATAATGCTGATGAGAGATGGTGGAGGATTAGACCAGAGTGGTGGTTGTAGAGGTGGTAAGTGTCAGACTCTAGATATATTTGTAAAATAATTCAACAGGATTTGCTGATAGATTAGATGACCAGTATAAGACAATGGGAGCATTCAAGGATAACTCCAAAGTTATTTTGTTTTGTTTTGTCTGTCTTTGTGTAGACAAATAGAAAGAGGGCATAGCCATCTAAGAGATGCAGAAGATGGCAGGAGAGCAGAATTTGGGGTCTTAGGGGGATGGGAAATGGAAATCAGAAGGTAGTCTGGGACGTATTAAGTTGAAGTTGGCAATTAGGCCTCCAAGTAGAGGTCTTGAGTGAGCAGTTGTATACACACCCAATGGGCAAGGGAGAGATGAACTAAGCTGTTGCTAGCTGATGAGTAGTGTTTAAAGCCATGAGACTAAATTAATTCACATAGGAAGTAATTATGGGAAAAGAAATGGAGAGGTTCAAAGACTAATCCCTGGGACACTCCAGTACTCAGAGATCTGAAAATGAGATGGAAGAAAAACTGAGAGGAGAGGAAGTGGACACAGCCAACACAGAAAGCTCAAGGTCTTTCTGGAAAGGAGCAGAGGAAAGGAGATGAGGAATCAAGAAAGGGTCAGAGCCCGGCCAACATGGCAAAACCCCGTCTCTACTAAAAATACAAAAATTAGCTGGGCATGGTGGTGCACGCCTATAATCCCAGCTATTCGGGAGGCTGAAGCAAGAGAATCAGTTGATCCCAGGAGGCAGAGGTTGTAGTGAGCCAAGATGGTGCCACTGCACTCCAGCCTGGGCAACAGAGTGAGACCTTGTCTCAAAGGAAAAAAAAAGGAGAAAAAAAGGAAAGGGTCAGGCTGCTGAAGATGAGAGAAATGGCAGCACATTTGTAGGGCTGTCTCAGTCTGCTACAGCTGGCATGACAAAGCACCACAGACTGAGTGACTTAAACAACAGACATTTATTTTCTCACGGTCCTGGAGAGTAGAAGTAAAAGATCAAGGTGGCGTCAGGGTTGGTTTCTCCCGAGGCCTCTCTTCTCAGCTTGCAGATGGCCATCGTCTTTTGGTGTCTTCACATGGTCTTCCCTCTGTGCGCGTCTGCATCCTGATCTCTTTATTAAGGATACCGGTCATACTGGATTAGGGCCCACTCCAATGACCTCCTTTAAACTTAATTACCTATTGTAAAGACCCTGTCTCCAAGTACAGTTACCTTCTGAGGTACTGGGGGTTAGGACTTTACATATGAATTTTCGGGGAACACAAATGAGCGTGTAACAACTGTTGAGAAAAATCCCAGAGAAAATTTCTGAAATGATATTCTTTTTTTTTCAACGTTTATTTTAGGTTCAGGGTGCATGTGCAGGTTTGTCACATGGGTAACTTGCGTGTCGCTGAGGTTTGGGGTATGAGCGATCTCATCACTCAGGTACTGTGCATGGAACCTGATAGGTAGTTTTTCAACAATAGTCTGGAATAGGCAAAGAGGGATGGGATCGGGTGCAAGAGAAAGAAGCAGGCTGAAGACAGGACATGGGTGGTTCCTCATAATAACAAGAGAGAAAGCAGAAAACCTTGATACAGATACGGGAGGGTGGATGTGCATGGTGGGGAGCACACAGAAGTTCTCTCCCAATTACGTCCATTTTCTCCATGAGCTGGGCAGCAGAGTCATCACTGGATCAGGAAGGTGGGAAGGAAGTGCCGAAAGGTTGAAGAGAGAGAAGGGCTATAATGATCATATCAGATGGCAGGAGAGAGAGCTGACTCTAGGGAGAGGTAGCATAGTAGCTGGGCAACACCAAGGGCCCACTTGAGGTTAGCCAGCCTGGGCAACCTCAAGGTAAGCAAGACCAGTTTGCAGGGATGTGTTTCCTTCCCATGATGTTCTGTTGCAAAAGTTCAGCCCCAGAGCATGCAAATAAATGGATCTCACCAGGATGCTACAGGAGGGAATGCCAGGCAAGTATGACAAAAGTGGATATGGGATTTGTGGGGTGGCTATGATGTCAGACCATGGCATCTGTGCTGAATGAAAGGCATGTTTTTCTCCCAGGGCTGCTATAACAAAGTATGATGAACTGAGTGGCTTAAACAATAGCACTGTGTTGTCTCACCATTCTGGAGGCCAGAGGTCTGAAATCAAGAGGGCGTAGGGTGGGTTTCTCTTGAAGGCTGTGAGGAAATGGGGAAGTGGATATGGCCAAGAAATTGGAAGTTTGGGGTGTCTTTTTCACAGAGGAATTATTTAATAAAGTATACTAACAGAACTTTGGTTAGGAAAGACTTACATAGAAAGAGATGGAAAAATTGGTGACAGAAGTCAGAGGGAAAGTTAAAGGACAGGAAGAACTTGAGGGACAGATAACATCAATAACGTCACATGCAGAAAAGACACAGATGCAAATGAGAGCAAAGTGCTGAATGGGAAAAGAGGAAACCTCAAGACTTTAATAGACAATCCTGTACCTTCAATTGTAGTCTGTGCCAGCCCAAAATGGGCCAGCTATATTTCAATGAGAGGCTGTCAGTCTCTGATTAAGAGCATGGAAACTGTCCATAGGCTGTGTGGATTCAAATCCCTCTCTGACGCTTAAATGCTCTTGGCCCAGCAAGACAAGCTCCCTTCATTTTATAAGGAACTCTTATCTAATACAAGTCTTATCTTCCCCATCTATAAAAATGCAGGATTTGTTCTGTGGTCTTAGAGAGTTTCCAGAGCTGCCTGTACCCAAGAGAACTTTCCTATAGCCATCACCAATCCACCCAGGACCATTGCTGGTAATCTCTATATACTGTACACATAAGAATCACAGACCCTGATCCACTTCCTCCAAGCATCTTGACTGAAGATTGGTGTTCCCAGAGGATAGCAACCTCATCTGAACCTGGCATTTGTGGTCCTTAACTTTGCAGGGGGAGGCATCAGACCACCCTCCTACCTGGCTTCCATCCCTCTGTAGGGTCAGAGCAGCCTCCATGAAGCACAGAGGCCAAGCTGGACATGTTCCTGAGTAATTGAAGAGAGAGGGCCCTGTAGCGGGGTCATTTATAAGGCACCCAATCCAGTTTCTACATCAGACATTCTATATGCTGGTAACATCCTGTGAACATTTTCAGGCTGAAACAGTTATCTGTTTGTGTATCCATCTCCCTCACTCAGCTGCGAGCTCCTTAAAGGAAGGCACTGTATCGTTCGTCTTTCCAGCCCCAGCCCCTAGCCTGCCTGCAATCAATGCTTACTGAATGGTGAGGTACAGTAGCTTCATGGTTCAGTGACAGACTGGATTCTACTTCCACCACTACCACTCAATAATCAGTTGATACCGGCTTTATTTCCTAACTTTTCCAATCTTTATTTCCTCATCTGTAGAATGGGGATAATAATAGCATCTTCCCCATGGGGTTGTTCTAAAAAATTGTTTTAAAGTAGATGATATAAAGGAATAATTCAGCACAAAGCTGGCATGTTGTAGACATCAGAATGTCACATATTATTGATAATGTTCATTGTACTGAATATGCTGAACATCTGGATGTTACATGTAGTTTATTATGTCAAGTAGATTAAAAAATAATCTTAGAGAAAAACTACCTAACACAAAGGGAACCCACACATATTTCTTACAGGTTAAATACACATTTCATTCAGTGTGTGTGGCATCCTCTCATCTCTCTACTTGCTCACAATCCCAAACCATGGATTTTTTAAAAAGCAGAGCACAAAGGCAAGAAATTCTAATTTACTAGAAAAAAAAACAATAGATCACCTTTTAAAGGAGTTATAGGCTATGTGGTTACTATGGAAATAAGAACAGTCCAGACCTAGGAAACTGGTACTAACATAACAACTACAAATAAGCATTTCAGAATACAACAAAGAGACAAATACATTTTTTCCTTTTCTATTCAAGTATGTGGGAAAGGATGAATATGCTCCAATCATCAGCTAAACCTGGACAATGTGCAACTTAGAAATTAGGTAAAGATGGTTGACGTTCCCCTTTTATAGTAAACTAGGTGGTCATAAAATGCAAAATCCTTTATTCTAAATATGCTACAGTTTAACAGGCTTAAGACAAGGAGGAGAAAGGAGTCTCTTTCCTTCTCTTTTTTTGTTTGTTTTGAAAGACTAAAAGGCTAGTGATGGTGCAGGCTGACTCTGGTATATTTGTGGGAGGTGAGAGAAGGATAAGGGTTCAGCCATTTTCTTTTGCTTTTTAAGTAATTCTTAGGTGGTGCTTTTTGAAGTTACAAAGTGTGCTTAATTTCAGTGTTTGTAAAATGCCAGTAGAGGATCTAACCTCGCAGGAGGATGTTTTGAAGAGTCGGGAGGAGACAGAGGGCTTGCCTAGTACCACCTTCTATGATCTATAAAATTATACTTTGAAGAACATTGAAAAGATGGGCTTGGCATGTGCTGGCCTTCAACCATGGTTGGTGTATAAATTAGAGTTACCAGGCCATCACGAGTTATGCAAACTGTTAATATTCTAAGAAAGAATAAAAAATTATGATATGCTTCTCAACCTCAGAAATACTGACATTTAGGACACAGAATTCTTTTTTAGGGCAAAGTGCTACATGTACATGTATGATATTTAGCAACATCCCTGTCCTCGATCCACCAGATGCCAGTAGCATCCTCCACCCCAGTCATGACTACAAAAAATGCCTCTACACATTGCCAAACATTCCCTCCGGGGCAACTTTGCCCCTAGATGAGAACCACCGAAATATAGATATAAACTCACAAATGATCAATAGAAATTTTCCTTTTTTCAAAGTATTTTGCAAAAAAAGTTACTTTTTTTTTTACTAAGAGGTTTCATAAACTATGAAAATCCACATTTCTCAATACTTGCCATACTGGAGAAAGCCTTATAATGTTTCGTCACCAAGTAGAAGCAATATTCTTGGCAGATTTCCCAATCCCAATATTGTCAAGAGATTCACCAAAGTTTGCATCATTCCATAACAAAACCCAGATACTTTATTAAGTTTTGAACCCCACCCTATCCCACTTAAACATCAAATGTCCATGATCAAAATAACCCAAACTGCATAACTTTAAGATTTGAGTTGTGGGGCAAGCAGTACGAGGCAGGGATTATAGAAATAAATCTTATGAAATTTATTGAAGTCTATAAAGTACTTGCTGCAGGAATAACCTTGCATATTTTTTCCAAAGAACAGCACAAAATTATTAATTAGATAATCATTTGCATTATTAGCTCTTGAGATGATGCCCTTAGATATCTGTGGAGTACTGGGATAAACAGAGATTATGGATCACTGACACTTATTTCCTTTCCCTCTTGGAGTAATCATTATCCTTTGGATACATCCACAAAAGTCCCCAACCAAACATGAACACTAGGAGAGTTTGTGAAACAAATCATTAGGCTTCTTGGTTCTAGACTCAAACTGCTCTAGATCTTTTGAGTCTAGAACCAAGAATCCTAATGATTTGCTTACAATTAAATAGTTAAAACAATTAATGATTCTTCATCATTAATTGTTGGAGGTTAGATTGCCTTATATCTATGGTCCCTTCCCACACTTACACCATGTGTATTTTGTTTTAGAAATCCAAGTCACCAAATAGAAAACAGTGGGAATGGTAAGAATTCTTGAGACTCTATGTTCCACTTTGACACTCTTATCATACTCATATTCAGATTTGCCTAGGCCATGAAGAGGTACTATATTCATTTCAGACAAGACAAAAAATATCTCTCTGGAAGGACTTGGGTCACAATGTCATCTATCACAGTACAGAGGAAAGTCCTCTTAGTCTATTATCACAGGGCCATGAGTTTATAACCCCGCGGGGAAAGAGAATTCAGTATAGAGAAAGGGCAATCCCAAAACTCTGGCCTGGAGAATTGTGAGAAGATGTGAAATAGAGACAGAATTATGTTTTCATCAAAAATGTTATTTGTATTGGTTCTGTTACATGTATAAGAATTTAATAAGCAACTGTATTTTTGAAAAGGGGAAAGGAGATTATGTACCCGATAACCTAACTTTTCACATGAGTTGGCACATACGAACATTTGCCCTTTTAAGAGGAAACCTCCCAAACTGAAAAAACTAGAAGACTCAACTCAGATTCCTCCTTCTCAAGGTTTAATTCTTTGGTAGGTTGTGCCAGTGCTATTAGAAATACCTAGGATATGACTTTATCCAAAGGCACAGCCACAATATCATTTTGGCCATAATTTTGGCCAAATTTATCAGTTTCTTTCTTTATAATGAAATGATATAATGAAATAAAGAGAGATTATTTCTCAGATTCCTTGGAAACCGACTTGATTGCAGAAAAACTCTGCTTATAAAAATAAAAATGTGACCCAAGCTAACAAAAGCAGATACTGTGCTTTTCACTACATGGCATTACAGAAACTTTTAGTTTTTATTTCCCTATACAAGAGGGTCACACATACTTCCAAATAAGTTCTTAGCTTATAGCAGACTCACTGATGAGCCCCAAAGGTAAAGAAATCAAAACTGGCAAAGTGTCTTCACATATGGTATGGAATTCAGAGACCCTGCCTTTAAGGTTTCTTCCAGAGGTTTAAGGAAACTCCTTATGATTACAATAGGACCTTACTCTTTTCTACCTTTTTATACTCCTTCCTCACCTGGCCAGATGTCCCACAGCTTTCAAAACATCCTATTACTTTATGTATATCTATATATATATATATAGTACTACATATTTTTATTGGGATCTTTCAGTATACTAGGTCTTATTTAGAGCTCTTGGATTTTCATTGTTTAGGTTGGGATTTTACTTTTATGAGGTGTTAGCGCAGAGAAGGAGTGTGTTCTGTTTTCATTTTGTTTTTGTTTTGATTGCCACACACTCTTCTAAACCTTCCCCTGGTGCTGACCCCTCTGAAAAGATGATAATCTCATTTCCTGCATCTTAAGAGAAATTCTTAACAGGTCAAGAATCTTTAGTCAGGGTTTAGACAGTTATTTTTACCTTCCCTTTCCTACCAATGACATTAAACCCATGATGAGACAAAATGTGATACAAGCTTTTTCAAATATGCTTGAAATAGGCACATGGTTTCAGTTCTGTTCTGGAATATTCTGTTCCAAAGAATTGCAGCTTTCCAGTCCTCTTTATTTGTTAGCATTATATTTCTAGAATGTCGAGCAAATAAAGCTTTTCACTGGGCCAGTTTTAAAAAGATAAATTTAACTTGAAAGTAGATGAACTGAATTATATTTTCATTAAACATTAAAATCTTCCTCCTGAAAACCCATGAGTTAAAGAAAGGGACAAGGACAAAGTATAACAATAAGTATTGTCAAAGCCACTTGATTTCAGACCCAAAATGGGAATCTCCTTTCTGTTCTGATTCTGAAGCTGAAGAAAAGGACCAATTTAATCGTGTAATCCCCTACTCTACCCTTGTGGTTGAATCTGGATCTGTGTGTCAGGTAAGATGTCTCCAAGGAGAGCAGAACAGTAGTTTTCTTTATTCTTGCAACACCTGTTAAGAGGTTATAGGGAGTTTTATATACAGCAAGTAGAACTCCAGTCTTCTCTCTCAGGGGGAAAAAAAAAGCCTCATTAAAACATATCCTTTGCCAAAGTTTCATTGCTCAGAAGAGTCAATGAAACTTTCAACCCTTAGGCACTCTGCAAATTTTGCTTTCAACCTTTCTAAGAGCCTTCTTGTAAATTCTAAGCTTAAATATATTTAACATTATTTTCTAGGCTAATGTGGTTTCTGAATTAATATCTGTTTAACTACATAATTAAATAAGTTATTTCTTAATGAGCCAGCACATTATAGACATAGTTTTCTATCAAAGTATATATATAGTCATCTCACAAGTGTAACCAAGGTTAGAATAACAAAATGTTCAGGAAAATCAACAGGTAACTATAAATAGAATAAAAATATCACACTTTCAGTAATGGGAAACCTCCCATCAATATGGTAGACTGCATTGACACAGTACATTCTACTCCAAAACACATAGAAATGCTGAATAAAAGATAAAATGACCAAAAAATAAGCTGGGGGTGAAAACAAGAAAGAAATTTCCATGTGCCAGAAATAGAAAAGACCTCAAAACAAGAGTGAGGAGCTGAAGGCCATGACTCACAGGGTTTCAGTCTCAGATGTAGGCCCAAGAGGCTGGCATCTGGGGTAACACACTCAGAGAGACAAAACATGAGAAATTAAGCCCGAGAAAAAGGAGGGCTTGAAATGAGTCTTCTGAAAACTCCCAAGAGCATAAGGACCATCCATATTTAAGATGGGAAATAGAACACCTCTGTTCACTGGCCTGGACAAGCGTCACAAATCTTACCTTCTCCCTGAGCCGGTGGATGAAAGAAGTGATCTCTGAGTCATTAAAGCCTGAACCCCAGCCCATGCTCAGATGTGGGGTCTAAATTCTACTGCTAAGTGGAACAGACAAGCCACAGAGTGGTGGTTTGTTTCTCTCCGTGGCTTGTGCACTGACGAGAGTAAAAGACATTGAAATCTTCTCTGACATTTTGGCAAGCCCCAGGCTGAAAGTTTTATTTGCCATATACCAGCTCGAATCCTTTTCCAAAGGCAAGGCAAAGGCCTCAGAGATAATTTTCTATTCTTTTCTCTTCCTTTCTAGTTAAATTGCTCATTTGTTATCTTTTATTTTCAGCACTGATAAACTCTATAATATAATTTTTTTTCAAATTGTGATGACCAAGTGGTTTCCTCTTTCCCTTGTTTCTGGTAATCTTCAAAGTAGAAATTCCCTAAGCAGAGGCAAGATTGCTATTCCTAAACAAGTCAGCTGTCTTAATCAGCTCAGGCTACTGTAACAAAATGCCATAGACTGAGTTGCTTAAGCAAGAGAAATGTATTTCTCGCAATTCTGGGGGCTGGAAAGTACAAGATCAAGATGTCAGCCAATTCGGGGTTTCTGGTGAGGGCTTTCTTGCAGACAGATGCCTTCTTGCTGTATCCTCACATGGGGGATGGAGGAGAGATGTTCTCTCTCTGGTCTCTGCTTATAAGGACATTAATCCCATTGTGGGGGCTCCACCCTAATAACCCCCTGTAAACCTAATCACCTCCCAAAGGCCCCACCTCCTAATACCACCACATTGGGGATTTAAGGCTTCAACATATGCATTTAAGGGAGACACATTCAGTTCATAGCAGCATGCCATAAGCCTGGATTATAATCTTACTCTGGTTTCTAACTCAATGCCTGATAATGAGCAAGTTATCATTAGTTTATCATCAGTGACACAGGAAAAAGTAACATTTTTCCTTAGAAGGTTGTTGAAAGATTAAATGATACAATGATCTCAGAAAATGCTGGTTTCCTGCCTACTTGCACACTTTCAATTAATAATCTTGAATTGGTTTGGTTCATCTATTAATTATAAACTACTTTTCACCTGAAGAACAGTCAAAAATATATGATAGAGTAGATGACTTTGCAAAATCTCTTTGGACCACCTCAATCCAGTTATTTTATTTATCACCTGCTCTCAAAGGCTGGGTAATTTGCAGTTTGGCCATAGCTTAACAAGACATGTAGGGAAAAGTGGAGCCTCCAGAAAAATCCTTAAGGACTATTACATAAACTGCTTCTGGAATAAAAATTGAATGTTTCAGAGGGTAGGTGATTTTCACTTCATCTTATGAACAAAATATATAACAGAGGATTAAATTGCACCATCTACCTAGGAAAGTAACTCACCTAAGAAAAGGTTCTGTTCCTGTCATTATAAACATAATTATTTCCTTCAAGACAGAGAATAATCTAACCCCTCAAAAAAAGCCAAAAATGAAACCTCTGTGGAAGTGGTAAGTACAGACCCAACATTCAGCAAAACAGGCAATGTTGACAGACAATAGTCCATTAAATAACTAGTATGGTGTTATTACATAAACACAAATTTCCATTTAGGAGAAAAAACCCTTGAGACAGGATGAAGCCTAATAATAATTAGGAACCTGTGTATAGAAATAATTAGCTGTCAAGAACTAGACATATTCAGTTGAATCTCATAAAACGTACAGAGTAACAGTGCTTCAGGTTCAACCTAAAACGTTTCAGAAAATTCACAGAGGAACCCTGGAATTAACAACCAAACAGAACAAGAAAACAATGGAATTAGGTTAGAAGAAATTATTTTATAAATAATTTCAATATTATTCCCCTGAGAGATACATTGTGTCATGCCATATATTCACAATGTCATACGTCATACCACATCATTCATAACACCCAAGATCCAAAATAATCACATATCTATAGAAATTCTTCAAGAGTTCAGCTTAATTTCTATTGTTGTTATCACTTAAATATTGTTATGCTACCTTGATAGACCCTAAAGACTTTCTTTGAAACTTTACAGATTAAATATCAAAGAAATTCCATGTTCTTCCATGACACAAAGTAAGATTAATCGAGGGATTTATTGAATATGTAATGTTCCAAGTAAAACTAGGCCTACAACTTCCAACCAAATCTCTGAGGAGTCAATGCAGAACCAAAAAAGAAAAAAACACTGAAACTATTTGCCTATTCACAAAATGTTTCCATCAAGAGTTCTTAAATGATCAGGCTTTACCATCTGGAACCAACTGTCTTGTGATGGCGAAAACGATGTTCTAGAAAGGTTGCTTTGTGATCAAGTGGATCGAGAAGAAAGGTAGGACCAACTCTTAAAACACGTAGAATCCTGTACAGAAATGAGAAAGGGGAAGGAAGATAAGAAAGCAGATAGTCTTTGGCCAGAAATGAAATGAACAAAACTGGAAGTTATATTCTAGCCCATTCAAGAGCCATCTAAACTGTGGTAGACCAAAAATTACCACCACATTTACTCCTTGGGTTTCTGATACATAAGAGAAAGATAAGCATATTATTATTGCCATGAGTAATCCTCTTAGAATATACATTCCAGGAGGGCAGCAGCTTCTTTTCTCTTGTGCCTTTCACAAGGTAGATCCTCAGCTATTTATTACACGGATGAATGGCTGGAGAAAGGGAGGGAGGGAAAGAAGGGGGAAGTTGCTTTCCATTGAGCTGCACCCCTGATTTGGACATCTCTCTCATCTTTTTTTAGGTTGACACCAGCCACATCCAAAGAGGCCCTCAGACCCCAGCACCTTGACTTGGACAGATGTGGGAGCTCACTTACCACAGGCTGAATGTGGACGTGCAGCAAAGGAAAAATGCATTCTGTGGGTGTGTGTAGTATGGACGACAGATCCATTCCAGATCCAGTTGAGGTCAAATCTGACCCCTACTATGTGAGCAATTAGGATTTTTATAAATTTCACTCTTTCTGCCATTTTTAAAAAATTAAGTATAATCTTTACTTATAAAGAAACTAATCTTTAAACAGAGTTTTAAACTAAACTATAGAGCTTGTCTTTACTTTTGTTTTCCTTTTTTTATTAAAAAAAAGTGAGACAGAAAGTTTTTAAAGGGCAATACTTTATCATGAATTCACATATATGTAAAGAAAAGCACATAGACAAATTTGCATTTATGAAAATGATCATTTAAATTTTCTCCTTTATTTTGTTAATATGGTGAATTACGTTGATTGATTTTTAAGTATTAAATCAATCTTGCATTTCTGGAATAACTTCCACATTGTTATTATGTAATATTCTTTTATGTGCTATTGATTTAATTTGTTGATATTTCATTGAGAATCTGGTCCCTATGTTCATGAGAAATATTGGTCTGCAATTTTCCTGTCTTTTCTTTTTTTTTATTTTTGGTAATATCTTTGACAGGTTTTGGCATCAGGGCTGTGTTGGCTCATAAGACAGGTTGGGACACATTTTCTCCTCCTCTATTTTCTGAAAGAATTTGTATAAGATTGGCATCGCTCCCTTAAATATTTGCTAGAAGTTACCACTGAATCCATCTGTACCTCGGGTTTTCTTAAGGACAAAAACCAGTTTTGATATCACACTCTATTCTGTCTCAATTACTCAAAAGAACATACAATAAATGCTTTCTCCTAGTATCTCATTTAGGACCTTTGAACCACTGTTATTCAACAGACAGAGATAGTAACTGTGCACAATAACTGGTGAATTACAAGACCAAAAATTGACCTGATTTTCATAGGAAAAATGTTCAATCTCTTAATTTGGATAAAAGATAGCCTAATTGTGCCAGAGAAGTAGAAGCCCTATTAGGTAATCCATACCTCTGTCCAGCAAATCAAGGCTTGTACATCAATGCTCTCAATGTTTTCCAGAGCACACTCAGGATAATTTGTCTTTTGTGTCCCTGGCAGTCATGACTACTGCCCTGCTCCTATTTTCCAGCAAAAATAAAACATCACTGAACCTGCCAAGGCACTGAAACTGGTTCAAGAAAATAAAAACTGTCAAGAGCAGGCAGATTTGGATTATTACAGATGTCCAAAATTTTTGTTTTTAATCTCCAATTCCCAAATCCAAGTGAGATTTTCAAGACTCTATGTGCATAGTTAATTTATGGAGATGACCGCACACACACACCAAACACACACATTTTTGATTCGTCATTTTGTAGTTTTCCACTCTCTATTAAAAGTCTTCACAAAAAAATATACATTTGTTTCACCTAAAGAACAATGAAAATGTCTTAGTTTGAATGTATTAAAAGTCATTCACATATGTTCCTGTCAAAAGCTAAGACATGGCTGTAAAGGAATAAGGTAAAGGAATAAGGCTGAATCATAATGAATGAACTAAAGCATACTCATTTCCCCTGTTGGCTGCCTGCTTATTCCAGTGAGTTTCCATTTTCCATTTATGTAAGGGACCCTTCTCTTAGAACTGCCTTCCACAGCTACACCCGTCCTCCTGACAGTCTTTGGTGGAGCGATGAGGATCACTGTGAACAGGTGAGCCAGGAATGGCTGTGCTGGGTATTCTCCACTCGCCCCTCCAGATCACTCTCCATGCTTCTCTACTCTGCTCTGTGTCCTAGCAGACTGATCTGTATGGGCTGAAGAAAGGAGGGTCCCTGGCTCTCCAGCTTTCCATCAAGAATGGACAAAAGGAAGCACCATCAGAGTTTTGAAGGTAAAGAGGAGAGTGAGCTCAGAGGTGTGGCTGCCTTCTCCTCTGTAGTCCCCAGGTGCAGTGGGAAAGCTCTTACGTAACATCTGACTCAACATGCCAATAGCACCTCCCTACTTTTATCCAATCCAAACCTAGGAAAAATAAAGGCTCCCCCATCCCTTATTGGTTTCCCATTATCCCTTCCACATCTTTTATAAATAGACCTTTGTTAAAAGGTCCTCAATTAAACACACACACACACACACACACACACACTCACATTATGTAAGTGAGCAATATATTTCTTGCTTGAACCCTGACGGATAAAGAAGTCAAGTCTGCATGTGGGTGATTATGCTGGGTAACATGTCTTCTCGTACAAAAGATAGTTAGTCGGTACAATCTTGAAATAATTTTTGGCATTGCCCATTCCTTACTCCAAAGTTCTTTCCAAAAGAAAAGTTCCAAAATTGTTTAGAGCAGGGGCATGATCATCCAAGCATCTCGTCTCCAAAGGTGACTACTTTGATGGAAGCCTTATTCAGTTAGCGATTAAAGTTCTGGACGCTTATTGTTTTTAATGTCTCATGACATTAGCATTGCATTTTATGACATCTATCCATCACTTCCCATAAGAAAATACGTACCTTGGAAATTTTGAGTTGATAATCAAATTTTTTAACTACCCAGGTCCCAATAGCAAAAACAACAAATGTCTGTTACACTAAAAAGGAGAGAAAGGAAGAGATTGATTTGAGGAGAGATTTGGCTTCATGGGATACAGGGAAATAAATAAGATTATTTCCAAAAAACATATTTCATTAAGTAGACACATGTAAAATTAGTTTCATGTTGTGAGGAACAAGTTGCCTATGATTTTAGTCACAAAATATGCAAATGCTTGAAGAATCATTTATTTCCTTAGACTCCCCAAGAATCAGCTTTCTTTTTTAGAATATTGACATTTAAGAAAAACTTGAAACCTGACCGGCTCGTTCTCTACTTAGAGTCAGTAAGTTTCATAAAGTTGGTGATAAGCTATTCTCTTTCTTTTCTCTATACATAGTGTACTATATTGCGCTATTATTGTTGCTTAAAATACTTCATGAACATTTTGAATGTTCTCGGTGTTTTTAATATAGATTTGGACTATCATAGAAATTAAAGATGGAAAAATAAGATTCTTCCTCTTACTATGAACTGTAGTCCTCAGTCCAGGCTTCATTCTCCTTTTCTGATTAATGAAGCTAAAAGAAGGGAAAATAAGCCTTCTAGGCAATTGCTTCCATTATCTCAGTATTTCTGGACTAGCATTATCTTTTTAATGGAATGCCATTACTCCACTGATTTACCCCTCACAAATTATGTCTCTTGCTCTTGGCATTACGCTTCAAACTTATTGATCAAAAGAGGCTGTGTCTCTATCAACTGCAGTTTATTTGAACAAAAGATGTCATTGCAATTAACTATGATATCAAGATTGGCTTAGAAAAGATAGAGATGTGGAACTCCCCAGTCCACTCTGTTTGAGACCATGGAAACAAGGAATTTCAACCTTTTAGTCATATTTAATTTATATGATAGAATTATTGGTACAAATATGGTTTTTTTAAACAATTATATATATACATATGTATGTGTATGTATGCATATATATATATACACACACACACTTCCTTTAATCTTCTCAATAACTTGATGTTTCTAGTTCTTTTTGTTTGCTTGCTTTTACCCAAAAGACAAAATGGATTTTTAAATCTAATATTATTTTGAAGATCCTCTTAATTTTGCTTTTCTGTCTTATGTACAGCTCCATATTAAACTCATGGAGCTAAGAGTAAGAGAGATGGTGTAAATCATCTAGTTGCTAACCACATTTCACACATGAGGAAACCAAACCCGAAGGCTGATTCATCATTATCCCTTTCAAACTTTCATCTAATATTTACTAACAAGATATAATAGACTGTGCTTTTGAGAAGAACATTTGAAAAAATATATAATCTATCTCCCAGGAGTTAGGCCAAATATTTTTTAAACAATTCAGAATTCTACTAAAATGTCTCATTTGTTTCAAATCAGAGTTATTTCAAAACCAAACTCAATGATGAGTCTTCCCCAGTCCAATGTAAATAAACTGAGAATAATGCAAGACTAATTTGCCCTTATCATATGCCATGTTAACTAACTATATTTTCATATATTTCTCTTTTCTTCCTAACCAAATTTTAAACTCTTTATTCTTTCTTTCTCCCAATAAACCTTGCTCCTGGCTTTCCATGTAATCAGCTAGACTTCATGAAGAAAGTTATTGGCAACCTGGAATCCACAGCTCTTTATTCCAATTCCTTAAACAGTGATGCCAGCATTGGTTTGGGGAAAAAAATGCATTTAATTTGCTTTAGAAATACACAGAGGAATAAGGTGATTGATCTTAGCAGAAAGAAGCCAACACATGCCTGATGAAAATGTAACAGAACTTAAAAGCAAACACATGATTTGAACACTGGCATGGGAAGAACTCTAGTGAACCCCAACTACCCTCTTTGAGTGGTCAGAATTGTCCTGTTGAGTGTTCAGCCTAAGACTAGCATTTAGGATCAATCAGTACGACAAAGAAGGTAAAATCCTTTCACTTCAACTTAACCTATAAACTCACAAGCTGAGAACATTTTCTCATTTTGGCTAGAAAAACTACATAAGGATGGTTCTGAAGGAATAGACTTATTATTAATTATAAATGCCTCATATATAGGTCCTGTGACATTTATTTTTCTGCTTCTTTGTTTAAATAAACAGTGGGGTCTCCATCATAAGAACCTTAACTTGTCTAAAATATTAATTAGTTAGACCTAAAAATGTTTCCCTCTTTATTACTTTCTGACATCCTTTGGAAAGAATTTTTAACCAATAGGAAAAAATTAAAGTTTATATTGGAGAACATTTTCTCAAGTCCATTTGGCGAGGTCAGTAAGTTTGGAATTTGGCAGTGCTTGTAATTTTTAATTTCACTGCACTTTGAAATTTTGCTGACTGAATAGAACTAACTAAAGGAATCAGAGAATGAATGATTATAGGAATTTTTCAAATATTGCCCAAAAGATGGAGAAAACGACATCAGAGAATAATAGTAGGTTGAAAGACAAGGGAACCATTCAGCAGATTAAACAGAATTTTAGAAAGACAGGTACTGACAAAATAGACAGTATGAAAAGAGAGACCCAAAAAGAATTATTTTATTCCTCATGGTTATAACTGTTACTTCTCTCTCACAGAGCATAGTCAATATTTAGATGGACTAAGGGATATTTTAGTAATAAAAGTATAAATCAGGATTAAAAGTGTAAGATGAAAAGTTTGAATGATTTACAGAAATGTTTCCATGCCCTGACTACAAATGAATATAATTTTTTGCATTACCTGAGATATGAGACCATTTCCTCTCACAATAGACATCTTCATTTCCAAGGTGGGCTTCTCAGGGGGGTCATGAACCTCATAATTTTTCAGAAAACTGAGAATGTCTAAGCACAATGTGACATCCTGGAGAAAGAAGATCAACCATATAGAAGTGTCAAGGGTCACATCAACATGGACTAAATCACTGTTCCAACATATAGAATATTTTGGTAAGAAAAGACTTTGGGAGAATGATTGATTTGAATCTGAATTTCCCTCTAGACATATTTGGAGCAAGTGCTGTTTGGCTCTGGGGAAGGAGCTTCCTGTTACAAATCAAGTTTGGTCAGAAGAGTGAACTCTCCGATAAACATGGGATACCTACAATGTCAGAGACCACAGCAAGTGGCCAAGGAAGCTACAGCTTCTCTTCAACCCCCTTCAATCACAAGCTCAAACACAAAAGTAAAGGATAAATACCATTTCCAAGGAATTTTTCTGTAGGCATATTTACATGAGAAGGAAGTCTTACAGGGTAGAGAACACAAAGTAAGAATTTGCCATTGTGAGGAGCTAGCCTTCGCATAGCTTAAAAATTCATTCTAATTTAGCTCAATAGACCTTTTTTTGAGCCTCTACTATGTGACAAGCTTTGTAGTACAATTTGAGGCTCAGAGAAGGAAGGAAATCAAAAACAAAAGAGCAAGAGGAAGGGCAATTTGCACCAGGAAATGGAGATAAAGTCAGACAAAATACAACCTGCACAGTTTCAGTCTTCCAATGGAAGATCATTGCTAGGGGTACAATGTTTTGGGCTTGAATAATTAGCTCAGAAATGCCTATTCTACTGTTTGGTTGGGACCCCTGGGCCCAGACTCCAGCAATAGTCCCCTGGTGCTCACTAAGCATGGTTGTCCTCTCAAGGGAGTTAATGAGACCAAGAACAGCTTTCTCATAGCTGTGTCTGGAATCTTCATGGAGAAAAACAGGGAAATTTAAATGCATAATAGGCAAAAGGAGACATGAAATTGGCAATACTCTCTCAGAAGTAATTGTAACTCTGAACTAGGGAAAGGGTATCTGACAATGTAACTCATGAAATTTATTAGTCAAATTCATTCAATGTGGCTCAGATATGAGTGTAGCCACATGAATGAAAATAACTAATAAGCAGGAAGAGGAAAAAAGAGGGATGTCTCCTGCAAATTTGAAATAATGGCTACTAGGGTGCCATAAAGTCTTAAGATTTATTGGATTTTCTTTATGTCCTAGAAGTTATGTACCCTGACTCTGTGGGACTGCCTACTGAGTATTTCTTCATGGATGTGCCTCAAAGCATCTAAAACACATGTCCAAAACTAGATCCATTATTTTAAAATTCCAAAATAGAGTGATATAATTTATGTTTGCTCAAAGGTCTCTAGAAGCTCAAACGTGGGAGAACTGACTACATTGTGTGTAGGTGTCAAGGAAGGCTTCATAGAAGAGGCAAACCTTGAGCCACGTGTTGAATAGTGAGCAGGAGCTCACAAGAGGAATGGGTGCAGGAACAAGATTGCAGGCAGAGCAGAGCACACAGAAAGGCAAGCAGGCAGGAAGGGCATGAGGTGTTTTAAGAATTTCAAAGAATGTAGCTGGTGTACGGGTGGTGATAGAAGATGCAACAGGAGAGGAAGCAGGAGTCATATTAGAAAAGGCCTTTATTAAATTGAAATTGTATCCAGTAGTCAATGGGAAGTTACTGAAAGATCTAAAGAAGGAGAGTTAAATGGTCACATTTGTGTTCCCAAGAGATCCTTCTGGGAGCACTGTGGAGAGTGGCTCAGAGGCATGCAAGACTGACAGCCACACTCAATAAGAACTGGAATAGAGCCATGTAATTGACACTTGAGAGGCATGGGCAGATGGGAGCAAGAGCACTATCTGTGGGACTTCACAAGATAGCAGAATCTGGGAATAAAGGAGAAGGAGCAATTAAGAATGACACTCAAAATTCAAGCTTGTGTAAGTGGTTGGCAATGGCCCAAGGTGCCAAGGCCTCCAGAAGAAGAGAAGAAGGAGCAGGCTTTGGAGTGGGGCTGGAGGCAATGAGAACTCTTTGGGACATATTGAGGTCCCAGTGGGTCTTTCTGGTAGAAATGTCAAGGAGGAAACTGGAGAGGGAGATACGGAGAGCAGAAGAAAGGTCTTACCAGAGGTAAGGATTTGGGAGTCATGGGCCTGGCTAGGTCAGGCATGGGACTAACAAGCACTCCTAAGTGAGGCTCAAGTAAGAAGAGGGCTGAGAACAGAACTCTGGGGGCAAAAGCAGTTATGAAGCAGTCTCCTTGGGACAAGTTTGTATAGAGACCCACCTCTTCACCCATAACAAGCTGGCATAATCGGAGGGAGAAGAGTGTGGATAGTGGTTCCAAGAGAGGGTTCCCACTCTGTGAAGTTCTGGGATTAGGGAGATGGAGCCTGGCTCTACTGTAAGGGGTCTTTCAGCAACACAACTATTAGAAACTAGGTGCACTTAGAAGAATGACTTTTAGGAAGCCTGTGTAAAGGCTCCCAGCATAACTGCACCACCAATGTAGGATTGAAAGTGCTCCACATGGAATCAGAAGTGAAACCTAAAAATTAATGGATGAAATTATAATGTGTGGTGATATGTGCAAGCTTGTGTGTACAGTCGATCCTCATTATTCACAAACTCTGTATATGCAAATTCACCAACTAAAAATGTATTTTTAACACCCAAAATCAATACTCACAGCACTTTTGTGGTCACTCATAGGTACGCGTGGAGTGGCCAAAAAACTGAGTCCCTGACGTGCACGTTCCCAGCTGAGGTGGAACAAGCCAACGCTCTGCCTTCTTCTTTCAGCTCTCATGCTATAAATACATCTCCTCTTCACAGTCTATGCAATGCCAAGCTTTTCATGTGTCTGTGCTTGTTGTTGGTGACTTCTCTGTGTAAAACGGCCCCTAGGCACAGTGCTGAAGCACTGTCTGGTGTTCCTAAGCACAAGAAGGCTGTGCTGTGATGTGCTTTACAGAGAAAATACACGTGCTAGATAAGCCTCATTTTGGCATGAGTTACAGTGATGTTGGCCATGAGTTAAATGTTAACAAATCAACAACATATATTAAATAAGGTGTCTTTAAGCAGAGACACATATAAGCAAGGTTATGTATTGATTGCTTGATGAAAATGTTGTGACCAGAGGTTCACAGGAACCTAACTGTTTCCTCTAGGAGCAATGATATTTATGGAAACTTACAGAACATAACTACTACAAATAACAAGAATTGACAGTGTAGGGATAAGGCTGAAATAAGCCAAGAACTCCTAATTTACTCAAAATGGTTTGTTAAAAGCACAAAAATTTAGGGGATGGGCAAGTTTTTGAAGTTTTGTTTGGGTTTCTCAGGCCTAAACCAAGAAACAACAATGAAACAATTTGAACCACCTGATCATTCATTGCAGTCGCATGAACTGAAGATGGAAAAGTACATCATGGAGTCCTGGGTCCTAGCTCACCTTATATTTGCTCTGTGACCTTGGACAAGCATTTCCCCTCTCTGAATCCTCATGCCTCACCTGTGAAGTAAGGCAATGACACCATATGAACTCTCAGATCCCTGCCAGCTCTGACAGTTCATGATTCTGCAACCAGTCTCAATGCAAGAGATAGTTTGTCATGAATTATGGCTGCAGGACTCCATAAGGCTTAGAAAGAAGTATTTACTAGAAGTGCATTTCCTGCATTTTCCAGAGCAGTGTGAAGACCGAATCATTAGATTCTTGATTTAAGGGTTCTGGAACTCTTATCTAGTTTTAACTTCAATGACAGAAATGAACCCAAAGGAAAACTGTAAAACTGACAGAGTAAAATAACCTCCATTATTTCAAACTTAATGGAATTAAAAATAGAAACAGCATAAAAAGAAGAGTGTCTAATTGTAATTATTTAAAACAAATGGCTTGAGCGATGGAAGCTGGACCCAAACGATGTGCACGCCAGGCTGCTCTGAGTCCCTTGATTCTCTTTTAGGTTTCCCCAGAGGACCTCAGTATATCTCACCAACAATTGCGTGCTCCATTAAGCACTTGGCAAAGGACTGGATGGACATGTGTAACCCAGACGTTTCTGTGGAAGATTAGTCCTCCCAGATGGAGTCCTCATCTTAAGAATGTGTGCAGGATTAAGATGTAATCCATTGCTTCAAAGAACATGATGATGCACAAAATAAAATGCTCAACTTTAGTTTTCCTCTAAAAGAATTCTTTAACTATAGAGGATACATTAATAAACAGAATCCTCTATTTAATGAAAGGTCACCTCCCTTTCATCTAAATTCTCAGAGAGTAACTCTAGGAAGTAATGGGAAATGTTGAAAAGATTAAACGCATGCACACACACACACACTTACGCACACACACACCACCTTGCTTTATCATTTTTTTTAACCAATGAGAAAATTTCCATAGCTACATGCAGGCCCATACCTAACATCAGTGGTGGTCCAGCCACCTTCCCTTTTCCCATCTGCATCCTACTTGGATGGGGTCTTCTATGCTTGGGTGCACACCAGCACATAGTGATAGCAGTCAACATTCAAAATGGCAGACCTACAAGAGAAGCCCTCACAGGCTCTGATCATGGACTCAGAGACTCTGGGCCAGGGAATCTGAAGTTCTGGGTCCTCAGAATATGGTCTGAAAGCAGATGTGGGCTCCAGATAAGCATTTCCCTTGGTTCCTCAAGCTCTTCATCCCATGGGGTGGGACACGGCTAACCTGGCATATGTGCACCTCTCTGAAGATGCCATTTTTTTCTCTCTCCACATATGATAATGCACATGTCTTTGCATCAATTTCCTAAACAGCCCTCCAACTTTAAATGTCTCAGCACATCAAAAGTGGCCCCTCTTGGAGGATTTGAAGCACAACAATATGTTGCAATATCTGTGACATAGCTGTAAATTCATGAAAACACATTGGAATGAACTTCTGGGGCTGAAAATAAAGTTTCTCTTATACAGAAGCAGCTGAAGCCCTAAAATAAAGAAAATTAACATTTCGCTGAGAAACAACTATATACTCTTATTCACATTTATGAAATAAAGAAAAGCATAATCACTGCTCTGTCTCCATTTAATAAATTTCCCCGGAAGCACCATGAAACCTCTATGACCCATGCTTGTCTTTGGCACCTGGCTCAGTGTCTGGCATGTAGTGGATGATCAATAAATATTTGTTGAATAAATACATTTAATTCATTCTTTTAATCTGCAGAACTTCAGCGCCTTTACTGTAAACAATTGGTTTAATTTCAAAACCCACAAAATAAAATAGACCTGTGTTTCCTATCCCATGTCTGTTTCTGTAACTGCAAATGTTTTTAATCTTAGGAAATGCATGTAGCCACATGGTGTGGCAGTGTTTACTCAGCTATTCTTCATTATGAGAACTCAATTTACTTATGTAGTACTCTTCAAAAGATTATGTGAGCTTTCAGCTTTTGGCTTCAGGCAACAAACTGGGCACTGGTAGCAGCAGCAGTGAGAAGACAGTCACTAGTCAGAAGGGCCCAGGAGAGTGAGGAGACCCCGTCAACGTCTTTCCTTCAGAGCATCTTCACGACACGGCATCTGTTGGCATCAACCAAGATCCACGGCCTTTCTTGTTTGTTTACTTTGCTCTTGTCATCTTTTCCTCTCTAAACTTCATGGCATTCAGACATCTACACACCAAGCCAAGTAATTGCTGCAGCAGAGGCAAGAAGACTCTTGAGCCAGCTAGGATCTGGGGAACAGTGGAAAGGTAGGATCTGTGGTGTTGCTTTGCCCAAGATAAAAGACTTTAAAAGCATTTAGATATTTTTTAGTTGATACTTATAGTGCCATGATGAAAGTTAACATTTACAATAAAGACATTTTTAAAATTATAAACTTAGTTAAGAGACTTGTAATCACACTGTGATTGTGCTTTGTTAGATGAAAAGAAGTAAGGTACAAAACTACATACAGTACACTCAGGGCTGGTGGTCACTCCAGATGTGCTGGTATGGCCAACCTGGCCTAGTACTAGTAAATAGTGTCCTCCTGCTGCACTGGCCCATCCTCTAGAGTCCCTCGACCATCCCCACCATCCAACCACTGAAGGGTTACAGTGGATCAGTGTCTCTGATATACAGGTCATTCAACATTTTAAATATTACTGAATATGATCCTATGTTTTAACTTATATGTGTGTGTGTGTGTGTGTGTGTGTGTGTGTGTGTGTGTGTGTGTGTGTATAAAGAAAGAAAATACACCATAATGCATGGCAGTGATTATACTGAGAGCTGGAATTGTGAGTGATTTTTATTTTCTTCTTTATGTTTGCAGGGTTTCTACAGTTTTGTACAGTAAGCATATATTGCCATTATGGCCAGAGGAAAGAAGAACAAGAATGTTATTTGTTAAAAGAAAGAGAGGCTCTTAAAAGAAAATAAATCATCCCACTATTCACTCATACCTAATTCGTTCCTGGTAGCAATTTACTAAATTTCATATACACTAAGTTTAATAAATACATCTGGGTGCCTACTATGAACACAGCATACAGAATGCCAGGTAATATAAAACAGGACCTCTGTCGAGGAGTTCACGATCTAGTTTGGTGTTAAGACACATCACATCACACACACACACACACACACACACACACACACGCACAGCTCTTCCTATCTTTCTTCAAATATCATGGTCCCCAGGAGGCCTACCCTGACCATCGTGTGTAACACTGCAGCCCCACCTCCACCTAGGCACACTGGCTTCTCCTTACCCAGTTCTAATCTGTCTTTCTCCATACCACATAGCATCTCCTGCAAGAGCCCTGAAGCAGCAGTGCAAGCAAGTGTATTTTCAGTGCCCAGTGAAGCTATAGGCTGTCAGGGGAAGCGAAAGGAACAGAGAGACCTAAATGCTGCCAAGAAAGTGCTATGGAGGAAGTAGGACAAAGAGATGAGGAGGAAACAGTCAGCCTTGAAAAAATTAGTTTACCTAATCCTCAAGCCCCTAATCTGGAGGGATAAATCACAAACAGCAAGCCAATTTTTTTTTAATTGAAGGGCACCTTAGTCATCAGAATAACAACCTCACTTCATTGTAATTTCAGGTACAGGGAAATTTAATCCTATAATTCTAGTGGATACAATCTAAGGTTCCCTAACCAAAAATTTGACCTGGACTTGAATTCAGGCTTCACATGTGTTATCTCTGTGACCCGGAGAAGGTTATTAACACCTCTAAGCCTCAGTTTCCCCACCCATAGAGTGAAGATAATAGCAGAGCCCACTGTAAGGGATTGAATGGCAGGGTGACTGTGGAGCCCTTCACTCAGTGCCAGGAAGAAAGTCAGTGCCTGACTTGGCAAATGGCGCTTTGTTGAGAGGGAAGGAGCACAGACCTGAGGCTGAGCAAGTGCAGCTCTGCATGCTTGTCCTCTCCCTCCCTCTGCCTGAGAAGAGGCAGGTGTGTAGAAGTGGACTGAGCTGTCTCAGTGCAAAGCTGTAATGACATAGCATGCAGAGACAGTCCCATTATCTGCTGCTGTATAAGACATGCATCTTTACTAACTTCCACTCCCTCCCCTCCTGGGAGAGCCTTCCTTTGTTTCTCCAGTCCCTATAATCTCACCGTGCATGGTTGACACATGCTAGCAGGGCAAGCGACGAAGCTTGGGCGGACTCACATGCTCAGTGAGTAAAGACGTCCTCTGTGTCTCAGGGACATGGAAAAACCCAATTGCAAAAAGCTGTGCTTTCCTCCTACCCCCACATTTGCAGAATATCCCTGGAAGTGCTCAGTCTGTAGAAAGAATAACCAAAGTGACAACGTTCCCCTTCAGCTATTCAGGAGAGCTTCAAAACAGTCATTTTGCTGTGAAAGGGGGAAAAAGCCTCCTTAATCATACCAAGCTATGATGGATGTCTCTGGAGTTGAGGGAGTTTCAAGTGCTCTTAAGAGACAGTTTTAAGGTCACACAGAAGAAGGTAGTAGTCTTTTTAAGAGGTCAATTTGACCCTAACACCCAGGTCTCAGTGTTTTCCTAAGCAAGACACCACTCTTCTTGGTAGTCCTTAGAGACATGAGCAGAACACATGTTCCACAGATCTCTTGAAATCAGTTTCCCCTCTGTGCGACAACAAAGATCAACTGTCTTCTTTGGCCCAAAGGGGAATGGTTGTTTGTGGCGTCATGTCACATGTGTTAGCATCTTCTCTGTCCTCCCTGTGCTTTGGATACAGGACTGTAATCTTGTGGAACATTTATATTACACAGTGCCACAGCCGATCACTTAGAAAATAAATTTTACTCCTACCGTTGCATAGCCCCTCAGGTGACATGTCACCTAGTTACTACAGTCTGCATATCCATCTTGTCTTTGTCCTTTTAATCCAAGCAAAACCCAAACAATATCATGAATCTAAAACTAAAAGAAACCATTCTCATTTCCTGGCCCTAGAACTAAATGCATTTTTTAACCCAATTTTGAACCAAGGCTCTTTTCTAAGCTCTCTTGAATCTATCTAAAGCAGAAGCAAATCTAGTTTCCTGATTATTAATCTGGAACTAAACTCGAATTTTATTTTAATTTATTTATTTTTTATTTATTTGAGATGGAGTCTTGCTCTGTCGCCCAGGCTCGAGTGCAGTGGCTTGATCTCAGCTCACTGCAACCTCCGTCTCCCAAGTTCAAGCAATTATCCTGCCTCAGCCTCCCTCCTGCCCAGCTACTGTTGGGATTACAGGCACACACCACCACATCCGGCTATTTTTTGTATTTTTAGTAGAGACGGGGTTTCGCCATGTTGGCCAGGCTGGTCTCAAACTCCTGACCTCAAGTGATTCACCTGCCTCAGCCTCTCAAAGTGCTAGGATTACAGGCAGAAGCCACTGTGCCTGGCCTTAAACGAGAATTTTTAAAACTCTTCTCTAGCCTGGGTGACACAGTGAAACCTCATCTCTACCAAAAAAAAAAAAAAAAGCCAGGCATAGTGGTGCATGCCTATAGTCCCAACTACTTGGGAGGCTGAGGTGGGAGGATCATTTGAGCCCAGGAGGCCAAAGTTGCATTGAGCTATGATGGCACCACTGCACTCCAGCCTGGTCAACAGAGCAAGACCCTATCTCAAACAAAACAAAACAGGACTCTTTTCTGAGCTAAATGTGCCCCAAACCAACTCTTCATGCCATTTGAGTAAAGCAGTTATGAAACATCCTGGTGTCACATGCTTCTTTTGGAGACAGTGGGGCATGGAGGCCTGAAAACAATTTGATATTACTAGAATAAAAAGTACAAAGAGTGGTGGAAGATGGAACTTTAATCCACTGCTCAAAGTTTAGTCAGTGATCTGAAATAAATCGGACTAGAGATCCTTGGTAGTAATATGCCTCATTTGGGTAACATCAGAAATAGGTCAGGAGTCAACACCAGGTAAGTCCATCAGAGGCCAGACACAGGCAAGAGTAAGGATCCAGTGGAAGTTATGGGCTGGGTGGGCAGGAATGAACCAGGCAGATTATGCAGGAGGCCAACTGAGGCAGGATTCAAGAGACTGGATCAGGAACCTGGAAGCTAGCAGGAAATGGAGGAAGAAAGAATAAAATGTAAGAAAGTCATCAAAAAAGGACCAATGTCCAAAAAGACCTTAATAATGATGGGACATTCTCTGGTTACAGAGAAGATGAGAGCTGAATGGCCTAGCCAGGATAACTTAGGCTGAGGTGCCAGGAGATGGCTGCCACAGTTTTCTAAAGTCTAGCCTAACCCACAACTGGGCTTCCAGAAAATATGTATACCCCATATGTAGTATATGCACTTACATGCTTTTGTATGAATGAGTTCCTGCAGATCTGAGGTATAGGTTTGCTATTATTTTCCTATATGTATGATGTACAGCTCGCTCAGACAAGAATAAGTCTTGTAAAATAATGTCTCTAAGAAGTGCTGCACTATTCACCATAGCAAAGACATGGAATCAACCTAGGTGCCCATCAGCAAATAATTGGGTAAAGAAAATGTGGTACATATACACCAGAGAATACTACACAGCCATAAAAAATAATGAAATCATGACCTTTCCAGCAACGTGAATGCAGTTGGTGGCCATTATGCTATGCAAATTAATGCAGGAACAGAAAACCAAATACCACATGTTCTCATTCATAAGTGGGAGCTAAACAGTGGGTACACATGGGCAATAAATATGGCAACAATAGACACTGGGGAATCCAAAAGAGAGAACAGAGGGAGGAGGGCAAGGGCTAAAAAACTACCCACAGGGTTTCCATCCTTCTACTTAGGTGATGGGATCATTTGTACCCCAAACCTCAGCATCCTGCAATAAGCCCATGTAATAAACCTGTACATGTACCCCTGAATCTAAAATAAAAGTTGGAATTATACAAAATAAAAGAAATGCTACTGATCTGGGTTTTTTCCCCTTTTGACATTAGACTCTTGACTCTAATAATTGGAAAAATACCACCTGGTATTTCTCTTTAACACTACTGCAAGGGTTCTTTAATCCTAAACTTAATACGGGTAACCAAAGGATATTTTAAGACCAACATGAAATCTAATCTTCATGCGTCTCCATACCCCAGCATAAGACACACGCAGAAGGTTCTGATACCAAGCAGGCTTGAATTCACTGAGGAGCAGCTAAAGAAAACTTGTGGTGTCATTGGGATCCTTTTCTGGATGTCTCACATATTCTTGTCCCCAAAGCGGGGTGTGTCCTACACATTTATTTTTCTGGAATCACAATTCATATCAAATCTCCTACCTACTCAGAAAGAAGTCAATGATCTCCCACCAACAATTAGAGAAAATCCATACTCTGGTATACCTTTGGGCTTCTTTTCCACTATCACCTTCCACAGATCTTTCATATTAGCCATGCAGAGCTACCTGCTGTGTTCAGCCGGATCTCACACTTTCCCACCTGTATGCTTTGCTCATGCAGTTCCTCAGCCTGGAATATCCATTTCCCATTCTGTTCCCTGGGTTTAAGTCCTACCTATCCCAAATCATAAGCCCTTCCCTTGACTATTGCTAGTTCCTAGCAGCTTAATCCCTTGAATTACAATTTGCAACACTACTCCAGTAACATTTCTGCATGTCCTGCCTTTGGGTCAGATGATCATACTCAATTCAATCCCATTTAGTTTTGAGGAAATTTGTCAACTGTATAGGACTCTCGGGGAGGAGCACTTAACATATAAACAAACGCCAAAATGAGAGCAAAAGAGATAATACACTTTTACAATGGTTTGAAAGTGTCGTGTTTTGAACATGTCAAGTTAGGGACGTGTCTCAATGACATCTCCACTCAAAAAGAATGTGACTTCAGGAGGAAAGTACCTGAAGGGAGTTTTTAGGGGTGATGGAACTGTTCCATAACCTGATTGTGGTAGTTGCAACCCAAATCCATAAATGTGTTAAAATTCATATAACCGAACACAAAATGAATTAAAAAGCCCATTTTACTATACGATTTGTTATAATTGTTTTGCCAGAGAAGTTAACTATGCATCATTAGTCATTATTTTTCTGAAAATAGGGTCAACCAGGGTCTGATTTTGCATTCACCCACTCCAAGGAGATAAACAGTATTTGTTGTGTGTTGGGAAGAAAGAAGAGGGGGCTGGCAGAAAGAAAATGTTTTATGCCAAACAATACTGTACAGTTTTAAAACTTGGGCTCTTAGTATACGTAGCACCAGACTTAATTTGCAATTTCCTTTCTCACATACCTTAAAACAAGACCTTAATACAAATATAACATACAGATTTTATATACAGCTTTTCTTCATCTGACCTAGACCTTTATATTTATTTTCATTCATTATTTCTTATCTAATTAGTTTAGTTATATCAACTAAACCTGCTGCAGGTGATGCAGGCAATTTGCTTCAGAGCCATAAAACTATACGTGCTTTTATTGTTACTACAGGTTTCCAAAGTATGCAGTAATTTCATCAATTGCCTGACATGTTTTATCAGGTTAATAATTCGTTTCTATATTATTCATGGTTTGATGACTATGGTAAAATCTAGATATGTGAATCATACATTTTCTAACATAGTATCTTTGCTGTTGTTTCTTTACATTAATCTAATTTCCATCCTCACCTAATTCTATAACAATCCTAATTGAAACCCACAAGGGGTAGTTAAAATTCAGGCTCAACTGAAAAAGGATTTAAATGAGTTCTTAATGGAACCCAGAGACCTGCCAAATTTAAAAGCTGCCTAATTCCTAGCCAGGTTATAAAAGACTTTCAACAGTAGAAAGGTGCAGCCCAGAATCTCGGCAGATCTTACTGTGCTCCGTGGTGGCCAGACCAAATTTTGGGTTTTTTGTTGTTGATTTTGTTCTTTTTCTCTTCAAAAAAGCAAAGACAAACACAACGTTAAAACTTTCCTCATGTTACTTTCCTAAAAAGCACTTTCTCTCAGCCAGGTTATACACATTGTATGTTTTATGCTATGTCTCTATTTTGCATAACAGCAATTAAGGTGCAAAATCAACAACAAAAATGATGAAAATGTGGGGTTTGGAAAATTCTTAGCAAAGTGCTCATGCAGAATTAACTTCCATAATTAACTTCCATATGTACTCTTTGCATATGAAGTCACTGGGCTTTAGAAGGATAAGATTCTAACTTAACTCTCAAAAAAAAAAAAAAAAAAAAAAAAAAACAAGAAAAAAAGTTTCTGCTAAAGACGAAATTATTACCTCAGTTCTCTGCTTCAATTAAAATTGCATTAATGGAGGGCAATTTGACCTAGGGAAAATTTAACACTGGCCAGGCTAAAACCAAAAATCAATACACAAAAGTGGGGGAAGGGCAGCTTTTTCCAATCACTCATATCCAAACTTTCACAGCTTTAAAAGTACTTCACCATTTTTTCCAGTTTTGGCACAGTACTTTTCTTTCTCTAGGAAAAAATTTTAATGGTAAGATACAAGAATTCTCTTCTGTGACAAATAATTGTGTCTTTCCTGGATTTCTTCTATCAATTTCTCACTGGAAATTTTTAGATAGAAAGTTTGAGGAAATTCCTGCCCAGAAAGGAATATAACTATGGAAACTTTAAAACTCACAGTTTCACAGTAAACCATACAAATAATCACGACATACAAACAAGAGAGAACTTTCTCCAGTCAAGACATTGCATCGTGTAAAGCACAATGATGAATGATCACTGTAAAGTAGAGATTACATTTGGGGCCTCTTTTCTGTTGCTGCCACCCCAGATAGCTAGCATACTGCTCTGTTAGAGCATATGAGACTCAGTCATTGTCAGTTCAGTAAACCAGCCATCAAGCATGTCCCATGTCCATCACCTAGAAATAACCAGACCAGGAAACAGAACTGAGAGGTGCTGTCTCGTTTGATTCTCTTTTCCAGCCTTCTGCATGTGACTGTCACTGGGTGATATGGTTTGGCTGTGTCCCCACCCAAATCTCATCTCAAATTTTAATCCCCATAATCCCCATGTGTCAAGGGATGGACATGGTGGGAGGTGACTGGATCATGGGGGCGGTTCCCCCACACTATTCTCGTGATAGTGAGTGAGTTCTCACGAAATCTGATGGTTTTATAAATGGCAGTTTCCCCTGGGCTTTTCTTTCTTTCCTGCTGCCTTGTGAAGAAGGTGCCTTGTTTCCCCTTTGCCTTCTGCCATGATTGTAAGTTTCCTGAGGCCTCCCCAGTCCTGCAGAACTGTGAGTCAATTAAACCTCTTTCCTTTATAAATTACTCAGTCTTGGGTAGTATCTTTATAGCACTGTGAAAACGGACTAATATACTCAGGGGGGTGCCAAAATGGTTTCTTCTGGCAGACTTTCATATTTTCTTAGCCTGACAACAATGATCTCATTATTACTGACCCATCATCAGGAGAATAAAGCCCACTTTAAACTGTTGTTTCCCACAGAGGTGATGGATTTGTGCAGATCCATCCATATTCTCCTGGGCTCATTTGTGAGTAGCTGGTAGAGAAAAGGCATAAGCTATGGCCAGAAGAGGGCAAAACAGGTGACCTGTGTGGAGATCAAACCTATAGTCTTTTTAGCATGTTCTACACCTAACCCCTCTGAGAGGCCTCAGGGAGCTGAATAGAAGATAACAGTAATAAGACTCGGTCATCAAGAAAGACAAGGAGCTGGGGAGATGAACACAAATGAATAGGTACTTGATGTGGACAATAACTAACTATGTCTTTGGGAGATAACATGGATATTAAACAGATGATTAAATCTTGTAAAGTATGTAATAGTTCTGTGAATGTTATGATCTTTGTTTTCGAAATTAAGTCAAGAAATAATTATATAGCAATTTTAAGTAAAACACACATAAACTCTCAAAGTGTCTTTGCCTCAACTAACAGCAGTTAGAAAACTTTTCTAATTACTTAATTAATAAGGAACTCGAAATTAACTTTTAAAACTAAACTGCTAGAGCTATTTTTATGCCTTGATGTTTATATTTCAAGCAAACAAGTCTTTGGACATAAATTTCCTTTTGGAATTGCCTCGGTTGTCTGCTTTGTTGTGTCGGCATGGTGTTGTTGAAAGGGAACTTGGTGATTCTCCACTTCAAACTTTCTGTTTTATAGAATGAGAGGACTTGGATGGCTATGCACTCTGGTGAAGGAGGACCAAAAGCTTGAACACAGCATCTGACTTCCAAGCTGGTGCTCACTGCACTACAGCAAGCTGACTGCACTGATTTATAGTAAATTAACAAAAGAGAGGGAAAAGGAGACAAATCTGTCCTTTGACTTGACTACCATGAGAATGTCATTTTATTCTCTTACGGTTTTTGTAACTCAGATCACAGATAGATCCATCCATGCCTGTTCAGCTTGAAGTCAAGAATATGTGGCAGTCTACTTGAGAAATAGAAGCAGCATCAAAATAGATACTGGAAGTGTTTACTTTACAAATCATGTCTTAAGTTAAAAATTGAATAATAGCTGGGGATCCACAGTCCTTCAACCCAGTCATCCCTTCAATGTTTCTGAGAGCAATGCATGTTCAGAAAGGAAGACCAGGAAAATGCACCTTTATTACCCAGAGGCCTTTGCACCAAAGCCCATGATAGTTCCACTTATGTCAAGGCCAGAGAAAGATTAAGTGGTCTCTTACCCCTCTATTTATTGCCCCAGCCTACACTGAAGTCTCCTCTTCATCTTATCACTCTGATGGCAACCAAAGCTTAGTCCAAGGAAATATGCCAAGGGAAATGAAGGGAAAGCAAGAATTTGCCTGTGGGGCCTAGGACTTGTCTAACTTCCTTCCACGAGGCCTCTTTAGGAAGGAAAAGTCTAAAACAAAACCAACACAGATTCAGACCCTGAACTCACTCTCCAATTACACCAAAGCTCCACAGCCTCGTACTGTGGGCCAATCAATATCCTTGACCCTAATTCATTCTCATCAGAACTCCTCCCCTTGACTTGCCCTGGGGAAGAAAAAGCTAATACAAAACCTTGTGCTCCCACTAAAGTCAAATCCCCCATTGAACTCTGTAGAGTGTAAACACATTCAAACTGAGACCAGAGTTAAATAGAAGCCTACAGGCTAGACACCCAGCATCACCTCCTCCTGATTGTGAGTGATAGAAATTATCCCTGATTGCCTTCAGATAGCCATTTGCTTTTGCTCAGGCATAGGAGATGAAGAGCACCTACCCTGTCTGCAAATATATAATAAAATCCTTTACCTGATCTGAGAACCCTGAATTTTTGTCCTAATTTTCTTAGCCCCCAGAACATCCATTTGGAAGCAGGAAAAGAAATTTAGTTCAAACCACTGGGGAAAAGAAATATAGTTTAAACAACTGAGGGAAAAAAAAAAGACAACAACAACTACAACAAAAATAAAGCCCTCTTATTCCTTCTCTTGGATTGCAGTTTACTTTCAATCTTCCTTTGTTAGCCTTAGTGCATTTTGGCCTCTCTCTCCCACAGGAGTTCAAGCTACCATGATACCATGATAGACTAAACAAGGAGCAAGAGCTATTAGGGTCCACACATGCCACTTGGTCCAGAGGGCATTTGGCCAGGTTCCATCCTCCCCTTTCACATAAACCTACTCTTACTTCCTGAAACCTTTTTCCATTCGTGCTTAGATCCATTTGGGGGAAATTTTCTAAGTAAAAACTGGATTAAAAACTGAGTAGAAACTGACAGGGAGGAAAGCCAACATATAAATAGTCTCACTTTGCCAATTTCCTGTAAGAAAAGTGATTTTTTGGCTGGATGCATGGCTCACGCCTGTAATCCCAACACTTCAGGAGGCCAAGGTGGGCAGATCACCTGAGGTCAGAAGTTTGAGACCAGCCTGGCCAACATGGGGAAACCCCATCTCTACTAAAAACACAATAATCAGCCACGTGTGGTGGTGGGTGCCTGTAATCCCAGCTACTCAGGAGGCTGAGGCAGGAAAATCGCTTGAACCTGGGAGGCAGAGGTTGCGGTGAGCCAAGATTGTGCCACTGCACTCCAGCCTGGGCAACAGAGCAAGACTCCGTCTCAGAAAAAAAAAGAAGAAGAAGAAAGAAAGAAAAGTGATTTCTCACTTTAAAAGCTCCAACATTGTAGAGTAAAAGCCCATATGGTGTAGGTTCTGGGTTTGTATGGGTCATGTTGGGTCTGTGACCCTCCAACGGTTGCTGCCAGCTGAGGGAAAGGGCAACTTCATTGAAATTTGTTATAGGTTGACCAGATTTTGCCTCTTGCAGCCCCGGAAGAGCAAGAAAACTTCATTTAGGTTTCACATTAATGATAGATAGCCACTGATACAAGTGTGGGACCAATCATATAATGCAATCTGGATATTATTTGGAAGAATTGAATCCAGCCTATTCACATAAAGAATTGTCTATTTCCCTGTCTGATTCATTGGCTGCCATTACTCCCACGTCTCAGAAGAGTTATAGTTTAACAAACTTTTTCGATCCGTGAGATACAAGTACATTAAAACCACCAAGATGGCCATCCTTCCTAAGAGCTGAAATGACCCTTTTTACCCATTGGTAGACTCTTACCCATTTTCAACTTAGGGGAAAATTTCTTACTGGCTGCCCTTTTCTAAGAGGTAGAGCTGAGAACAGGACCCCAATTTCCTGGCTCTTGTGTTCCTCTTGGTTTTAGAATTACATATACCCTTTTGGTGTGCCTCTTTGGCTCCAGCTATGTTATTAAATTATTATTACCTAACAATACTCCCATTAATCACCGTGACAGATGGACACCAGCCCTGGTCGTGTTCTCTGAACTCAATGTCAAACAGTCCCAATGCTAATGGAGATGACGCCAGCCATGAATTAGCTCTAAAAGCTTCTGTTTATCCCTCCACCCCCTTTCTTATTACTTTCCATTGCAATGCCTTTTTCTTGTCACAAGACTCCATACTTCTATATGGAATGACTCCTTGTGGAATTCTGAGAAATGGTTTTCTGTTGACAGACACCATATAATGATGATAAACGATGGACAAGTCAGCAGTCTAAAAACTGTTATTCCCCTAGCAGCACACTTCCAAATACATGGAGTATTTCTACAGGCTTAAGCAGCAGAAAGCTGCAAGCCTGGAAAAAATTCTCCATTCAGCCTCCTTTCACAGACTAAGGAGCAGAAGTGATACTAAACAGAAAACGTAAATCACCTGTAAGGTAATACGCCCCAAATGATGCCTTAAAGTGTTGAAGGTACATAAACAGTTTCTTTACAAAAGAGCTTTGTCCGGACTTAACTATGAATGGGGATGTTAGTTCTTGCTTCCTCTGAATAAATTACAGCTTGTAGTAAGAGTGCTACATAATAGTGAATGTCTTCCTCTGAAAAGATGCATATACTTTTTAAACTTTTAGTTGAAAGCCATTTGACATCCTACCTCTTAAGAAACTACTAAATATGTAATTCTTCACAACTAACAGGTTATTAGCAGAAAAAAATATATATGATAAATATGCATTTCAGCAGCCCAGAAAAGCGTAGGACAATTAATTAAACTTCCTCTACTGCTCACATCGAAGGATGCTAAAAGCATTTCAAAAGATGGCATTTCACAGTCTTGTTGGATGAAGATTTTCTACCTCACTGATCCCACTGAGAGAGAAAAAGAGAAAGTATCATGAAAGAGGAAGAGGACACTCCAAAAGTTGCTGCTGCTCTTGCTGTTGATATCACTATTGATATCTTGCTACTGATTGATTCAGTTACTAAGTACCATAGGCCAAACACAGCTTTAAGATCCAATACGGTAGCCACTAGCCACATGTGATGATTTAAAAATTAAATTAATTAAAATTAAATAAAACTTCAACTTCAGTTTTTAGTACAGTAGCCACATTTCAAGTGTTCAACAGGCACATATGACTAGAGGCTGCCATATTGAATAGTGCAAATGATAGAACATCTTCATCAGTTCACTTGGACAGCACTGGCAGAGAGTAATCATTTATTTATCCACTCAGTAAACAGTTGTTGAATGCAGTGGTCACCAAAACAAAGTTTGCACCCTCAAGGAATTTACATTCTGCAAGAGGTAGACAGACAAGAAACAATAAGACAGATAAATGGACAAGATCATTTTACCTAGCATTAATTGAATACAACCAGGTGATAGGGTAGACAATTGACTGGACTGGAGGTGAGGTGGAGATGGGGGCTAGTTTTAATTTTTTAGTTTAGTTTTAATTAGGTAGCCACTGAAGCCCTCATTTAGGAGGTAACAATAAGCAGAATGTCAAATGACAAGAAAGAGGCAGCCATGGAAATCCAGGTACAGGGCATTCCATTCAGAAGCAAGAGAAAGTGCTCAGGCCCTAATGTAGGAACCATCTGGAGCATCCAAGGGACAGGAAGAAGGCAAGCTGGCTGGCATGTAGACAGATGCATGGTAGGAGGTGACATCAGACCTATCAGCATGAGCCAGGTCCAGTAGGGCCTCACCAGTCATGAGGGAGGGTTCAGATTTTATCCTTCAAGGAACCAAATTATCACTCCCTTCAACCTCTCAGTTTAGAAAATATGCTTTGAAAAATAACTCATTCTGTTATTTCTCACCAAAAGAGATTGCCCACTGAACTATAGACTTAAAAATTATAAAGATGGTGGAACTTATTAAAAAAAAAATTACCCTCAAAGGCATGGCCCAGATTTGCAGGCAACTGCTGCTAGGAATAATCAAACCTTATACTTATTCAGCACTTGCTCTGTAAGTCATGCAGAATTTTATGAACATCTCATGACTTCCTCTAACATCTTTTAGGAAGTATTAGTATAGTTCATAGAGAATGAGTAACTACAAAAAAATAAAAAATAAACGACAGCGAATGGCTTAGAAGCAAACTCCACACCAATAGCTCAGTGCTTGAGATTGCACAACTTGCAAGACTACCCAGATAAATAGCAGAATCACCCTTCCCATCTACAAGAGAGAATACGATCATTTACTTCAGTTAGTAACAGAATAAGAATAGACTCATATATTTCAGTGATGGAAGGAAACCTGTCAAATCCCTCTTTTACAGTTGAGGAAATTGAAGAGAAAAGGTAAGCTACTTTTCATTGGCACATGGCAAAGAGTTTTCTACTATTATGTAGATGAATTAATCATTTTCAAAAAGAGGTAAAATTGGTTTTATTCATGAACTAAGCAAGTACACGTGCACTTTAGGGATGAAATTGATTGTTCAAAACTCCATGAAAGAGCACACTCTCTGTCTCACCTTTTCTTCTGAGTCTGTGAGCTGGAATAGTACTGTCATACTTCCACAGACATGAGGCTGCCAGACAAAGTGCTCTGAGAGTGCAGGTAAGTGTGAAAGGATAGAGTAGACACCAAAGGGACCCCTGGATTTCACATGAAATCTCAAGGAACAGTTGGAAGGTGTACACAGGCAAAGGCGATCCTTATGAAAATCTTCCTAAGATATACAGACGAGTCCTGTCTACCACTAATCTTGCCTTCTGCAAAAAATCGGGGTAAAACAAAACAAAACAAGCAAAAGTGAGTTTCTACCTTATTTCTCTTTTCTCCTTCTCTCCTGACTGTGTCTCGCACAATCAAACCTCAATGCTTCCTTCATTTTCCTTTTTCAACAGAGGGGCTAATTAGTGTTCAACTTTTAGCACACTTCTTATACTGGCTATTTCTTTTTTCAAGCATTTTATACAAAACTCTCAAGTTTGAAATTACAGAAACCTAAAGTAAATAAGAAATACTTGTTCTGCTTTTAAGAAACCTTGTTCTAATTAGCTGGTTCATTTTTAGGTCCAGATGCTAAGTTGAAAGTTTTTTTTTTTTCCTGAAAGAATAAGATGTAACAAAGTTATGATTTTTGGAACATTTTCTCTGTCTGACTCCCTGTAATGTTTGTTACCTGGCTACTGCTTGTGGAGAATGAGCTGAAAGAGATCATGAAGGGTACATTGTTAATGACTAAAGTGACAAGACCTAAAAGACAGGGACCCTGACCCTTCCACAGGCTAAGTGGCTAGGCTGGGCCATGAGGTAAGATGATCATGTCTTCAGGCTTCTGGTCTCCCTCACTAAAACAAAGATGACACTGACCATTGGCTAATGACTAGAGTGATGTTTGTGCACAAAACATAAATTAAGATCTTTAGAAATGTTATGAAATGGATAAACACATCAAATGAATTAGCTCTTCCCACTTCTTTGCAAAATATAATTAATCTCTTCTAGAGAAGAGTTTAGGAACCCTAAACATGATCTAAGTGAGAAATCATAGATTATGGGTGAAAAAATATAAAGTGTTGATTGCTCAATATTTCTAGGCAAGGATGCTGTGCTGCAGAGAGCCAGATGGATTCCAGTTAGGACTGACTCTGGCAACTGAGGATTACTGCCTGTTGGTTAAAGAGCAGACCAAAAGAGAAGCAGCACCTCAGTGCAAACCATACACATGTGTATGATGTCAGACCCAGAACTGGAGTGGCCAGAGACAGCAGACCCCCAAAATCTAAGTAGATTATATACACAGACTCTGGACAAAAACAGAATAGCCCACATAAACAATCAAACCTCTAACATACTGAGAGCAACGCCACTGGGACTCTTGAAATGGTGAGAGAAATACAAGCTGTCTTACTATACATAAATTTTATCCACAACAATTCATTATTTTAAAAAAAAGATGGCCACAGAATGCACCTTGCAGTAAGTCCAGTAGAAATCGTCCCTTTTTTGCAAAAGAGTACCCAGTGCTAATAATCCCAAATTAAAATGTATGAGCATAATGAACAGTCATCATCATCATAATACATCTTCCATCACAAAACATTTCACCAAAATCATTCTTGTCACAAGCTCTAAAATCCTGACGTCTGGACAAAGACATAAAACATAGTCTAGTCCCAAGTTTAATATTTTCTGTGGAGGATGTGGTTTTATTTGCTGTTAATCCCAACTCTTGCTGGAACACACTTTTCTAATTCATCCAGATAGTTGTCAATGTGTTGCCCAAGTTGCCCTTTCCTTCCTCAGCTGCTGTTTCTTGTGGTATTTTGCAATAACTCATAAATGACTTGCCTTGTTACTATCTCTGCTCAAAAAAGCAAACTGCGTTTTTCTGTCTGTTTTGGAAAAAATAAAAGTTTTTCAAAATAACAGAGCCAACAGATCAAAGAGGCCTGATCATGTATACAAGCCCAAGAAAGCCACTCCTCACTGAGTCAGAGTTATGAATGAACAGCTTTGGCAAGTTCCCTTTGCAATGGATGTGACAGAACATAATGAGACATGTCCATTTCCTCAAGTCTTGTGTGTGTGTGTGTGTGTGTGTGTGTGTGTGTGTGTGTGTACATGGAGAGATAATATTCAGCCAAATGCATAACCCTCACACCTTATAAGATAATAACACTTGAGATTTCTAACTTCTACTTGGAAGATGTGTTTATTTATAGAGAAGACACAGAAAGATATTCTAGAGACAGGGAAATTCAGGCAACAAACATGTCCTTCCAGCTTTTATAATCCCTCCACCAGTCAGTACCTTTTCATGTATGCCTGAGAGTCTCTAGCATGGTATAGAAATGAAGAGAGAGAGAGAGAATACAGATCTGGCTGATGCTGGGACAGGTCAATAGTAGACTCTCCCTCAAAAACTGAGAGGAGTTTCCATGAATTCCAGTATGAGAATGACCTCTGGGGTCAAAAGTGTTTCAAACCTTCTACAGCTGAACTCCACTCCCTTCCTCATGCAGATCTCTTCAAAACCCCTGCCTGTGCCCAGCTGACCTTGTGACAGTCTGCATCTGACAGTCGCAGGTTCCAAGTACTGTGCTTGGTCCCACTGGTGGATTCTCTTCCTACCTTACTTTCATATTCAGCCTCCCCGCTTGGTAAAGTGCTTCATTCTTGCCCCTGTATATTTTTTATTAAATATTTATTGAGTACCTACCATGGTCAATTACTATTATGTTAGATGCTACTGTCGGAGCCATAAAAATAAAACTCTTTAAGAAGCTGACCATCTATTAGGGGAGGAAAACAAGTTAATAATTACCTGAATGAAAGACAGAAAAAAAGTGCAAGTGAAGTGGGTAAAAGTGATTTATTCCGACTGGGTTAATTTGAGCATTTCTTGGGTAGTGATTGGCTGAACTTTGACAGAAAAAGAGGATTTCCATTGGAAAAAAGACATGAAGAATGAAGGACATTCCAGACTGAGGAAGGAGCATCAGCTCTTAGCAAAATAAAGTACCAAGAAATGGCCACAAGTCCAGGAAGGGTGGAAAATAGTGAAATGAATGGATAAATATAGACCAGGAGATTTAGGGACAGAAGATGGAGAGCCTCAGATGTAGGCTCAAGAGATGTGGAGTCAGAAGGATGAACACAAGGGTGCTGGTGCCTATATGTAAGAATATTTTGGTGAATGATGTGAAGTTCTGTAATGGGCATGTTGAATTTGAGCACAGGGCTTCTATTTTTTTTAAAGTTCCAGGAGGTAGCTGGAATTTTGGAAGTCACCTTCATGGAGATAGCTCTGTCTGAAGGGAATTGGATGAAATCAGAGAAGCACACTTGACCTGTTCACTGTTGGGTCACAAGTGACAAGCACAATTCCTGATGCAGATTAAGTACTCATTAAATATTTGTGTAATCAATAAATGTAATACAAAAGAAGTAAGTAAGCAGAGGTTGAATATTGAGGAAGGCTTCAATTTATCAAGGAAAAGTTAATGAAAATAGAGGGGAGAAATTAGTAAAAGAAATACAGGAAGACTACAATATCTCAAAAACCAATGAAAGAGCAAATCTTAAGAACAAGCAAATGTATTCAATCATTTATTCAACAATATTTTTTGAAAAAACAGGGTCTCACTGTCACTGAGGCTGTGGTGCAGTGACACAAACTCAGCTCACTGCAACCTCCACCTCCCAGGTTCAAGCGATTCTTGTGCCCCAGCCTCCTGAGTAGCTGGAATCACAGGCACAGCCACCACATCTGGCTAATTTCTGTATTTTTAGTAGAGATGGGCTGGTCTCAAACTCCTGACCTCAAGTGATCTGCCTGCCTCAGTCTCCCAAAGTGCTGGGATTACAGGCATGAGCCACCATGCCCAGCCTTATTCAACAAGTATTAACTCCTCCTCTGCATGCCAGGTATTATTTTGTGTGCTGGGAACACAGCACAAAACAAGACAAAAAAAGAACCCTGCTCTTAGAGAGCTCACTTTCTAGACAATAGTTAGCAATGCTCAATGCTCATTGCTTCTGGAGATGTTAAATGGGATAAGAATAACAAATAGCTACTAGATTTGGCACTTAAAGGACCTTCAATAGTCAATCTTCAGTAACCTTGAATAAGTAGTTTAGCGGAGCAGTGGCAATAAAAGTCACATTTATCATGTCTGTTTTTGTCTTTGTTTTTGTCTTTTTCCATTAGCTTTTGAGGGCAGGCACCAACTCTATTCATTGTTGGATTCACACAATATGGCAAACAATGATTGGATGCATATATGAATTAGTAATAAGTGATTAGAAAACATGTGTTTGGTAGTGAAGAATAAGCCCAGAATGAACTTTTAACTCTGTTAAATGAACTAGAAAGATAGGCCATTACCTTTTAAGTTATATTGGTCAGAGTTTGGTTCAAAAAAAACAGAATTCATTTATTTTAGTCAAGGTTTTAGCAGAAAAGCAATGCCAGTGTGAATGATATGGAATAACGGAATTATTAAAGTGACTGACCTTATGCAATTGTAGAAACTGCTAAAGAATTCAATGGAAGACTGTTATTGCCCCGTGGGTCTGGTGCAGGCCACCTCAAGTTGTAAATCTGTGGACTGGAAAGCAAAGAAAAGGTAAGTGTGAAGTAGGGGAACCCAGAAAGACAAACTGTAACGTGCATCTGTCTCTCAACTTCCCCAATCTCAATGGGGATGTGCAGAAAGTGCTGGCACACTTCACCACGAAACTGTAAACACACCTGACCTAAGATTCAGAAAAACTGAAGGATGAGGTCTGACAGGAGCTAGGAGAATGTGGGCCCAGTGGCTGCCTCGTGTGGAGGAGCAGCAGGTGCCTTGTACCCTCCACCAGGCTTCAGAGTGTAACATCTGCTACTGCACTTCCACCTTCCAAACCTTGCAAATTTATTTTGTAGCCAGCCCCAGCTTTATCCTACCAAAACCCATACAGGAAACAAATTCTGGGAAACATAGTTCCAGCTTAGTCGACACATAACAAAGGCATTGCAGTCTGCCCCTTTTCCACCTCCCTCTTTTAACTATACTTACCACCCAAATAAAAATAATAACAATGTCATGCTTCTACCTAACATCATAAAACTCTCCTCCAACCTGAAACACTGACCCTGTTTGTATCAAAAATATTCAAAGCCCCTTTATCTGTCTTTTGGTGATGCTCATTCCTTTTCTACTTGAATCATACTTCCCCCTTTGATATTCCATAACTTGGCTAGTAAGATACAAGGTTAGGCCAGGCACAGTGGCTCACTCTCATAATCCCAGCACCTTAGGAGGCTGAGGCAGAAGGACCACTTGAGCCTAGGGGTTCAAGACCAGCCTGGGCAACACAGGGAGATGTGCCTGTGGTCCCAGCTACTTAGGAGGCTGAGGTGGGAGGATCGCTTGAGCCCAGGAGGTCAAGCCATGATTGTGCCCCTGCACTTCAACCTGGGCAACAAAGTGAGACCCTGTCTCCAAAAAAGAGAGAGGTATGAGGTTAGGTGGTAGAGAAATGGAGGAGGGCAAGAAAAGAATTTGTTTATGTGTGTGTTCATATCAAAATAAGAAAGAAACACTCGTAATAGTATGATGCTTTTATTTCAACTAGTCATATGGTCTTAGCTGATATTTATACTTTTCTTCTTCCATTATCCATTCCATATTCCTTTTGCCTCAGCAGACATCTTAGCTCAGACATATTTCTCCTTGCTGCATTGTTTAGCAGCAACCCTCAACAAGCCAGAATCAATCACTCCAGTCATTATAGCAATGCTCCCTCCTCCCTCAACCACTGCTTATTCATTTGATGGTATGAGGGCCCAAGTGAACAGAGGGCAAATTCAACTCCCAGTTTAAGGGAACCATGGGTGTATCCCCTGGAGGAAATTTTCCTCCTTTGGGAACTAAGTCTTCTATGTTTGTGGAATACAAAGTCACTGAGATGGGAAGCAAAATTTTCACTACTAAAACTCTAGGGTTAATAGTAAGTGGAGCTACTCTTATTTCCACTCCTTGATTTCCTGGATATATAAATCCTGGTTATGGAGAGATTAGTTGCTGCTTTATAGCAACCACATAAGGTGTTCCCACCCAAATGGCATTGTAACTGAATCTTCAAAAGGCCACTCTACCATTCTATCTGGCCAACTGCTTCAGGGTATTGGGGATTTTCTAAGGCCAGTGAATTGCATGAGCAGGAACTCATTGCTGCACTTCATTGGCAATAAAGTGAGTCCAGTGGTCAGAAGTAATATTGCATCAAATACTATGATGATGAATAAGGTATTCTGAAAGTCCACAGAGAGTGATTTGGGCAGAAGCAGGAAAGATAAATCTGTATCCAGAATGTATTGGTCCATTCTCATGCTGCTATGAAGAAATACCCAAGACTGGGTAATTTATAAAGAAAAGAGGTTTAATTGGCTCACAGTTCTGCATTGCTAGGGAGGTCTCAAGAAACTTACAATCATGGCAGAAGGCAAAGGAGAAGCAGGAACCTTCTTCACAGGGTGGCAGGACAGAGTGAGCACAAGCAGGAGAAAAGCCAGATGTTTATAAAACCATCAGATGTCATGAGAACTCACTCACTATCATGAGAAGAGCACAGGGGAAACTGACCCATGACTCAATTACCTCCACCTCGTCTTGCCCTTGATATGTGGAGATTATGGGAATTACAATTCAAGATGAGATTTGGGTGGAGACACAAACCTAACCATATCATTCTGCCCATGGCCCCTCCTAAATCTCATGTCTCCTTCACATTTCAAAATCAATCATGTCTTCCCAATAGTTCCCCAAAGTCTTTATTCATTCCAGTACTAACCCAAAAGTCTAAGTCCAAAGTCTGATCTGAAACAAGGCAAGTCCCTTCTGCCTATGAGCCTGTAAAATCAAAAGCAAATTAGTTACTTCCCAGATACAATGGGGGTCACAGGAATTGGGTAAATACACCCATTCCAAATGGGAGAAATTGGCCAAGATGAAGGGGCTATGGGCCCCATCCAAGTCTGGAATTCAATAGGGTAGTCATTAAACCTTAAAGTTGCAAAATGATCTCTTTTGACTCCGTGTCTCATATCCAGGGCACACAGATGCAAGAAGTGGGCTCCCATGGCCTTGGGCAGCTCCTCCCCTCTGGCTTTGCAGGGTACAGCCCACCTATTCTCTGCTTTCACAGCTGGTGTGAGGTGTCTGAGGCTTTTCCAGGCACTTGGTGCAAGCTGTCAGTGGATCTACCATTCTTGGGTCTGGAATATGGTGGCCCTCTTTTCACAGCTCCACTAGGCAGTGCCCCAGTTGGGAGTCTATGTGGGAGCTCCTACCTCACATTTTCCTTCTGCACTGTCCTAGCAGAAGTTCTCCATGAGGGCTCCACCTCTGCATCAGACTTCTGCCTGGACATCCAGGCATTTCCATACATCTTCTGAAACCTAGGCAGAGGTTTCCAAACCTCAGTTATTGACTTCTATGTACCTACCGGCCCAACGCCATGTGTAAGGTGCCAAGGCTTGGGGTTTGCACCCTCTGAAGCAATGGCCTGAGTTGTACCTTGGCCCCTTGTAGCCACAGCTGGGATGCAGGGCACCAAGTCCTGAGACTACACAAAGCTGCAAGGCCCTGGGCCTGGCCCATGAAACCATTTTTCCCTCCTAGGCCTCCAGGCCTTTGATGGGAGGGGCTGCCATAAAGACCTATGACATGCCATGGAGATATTTTCCCCATTGTCTTGGTGATTAACATTTGGCTCCTGGTTAACTTATGCAAATTTCTGCTGCCAGTTTGAATTTCTCCTCCGAAAATGGGTTTGTCTTTTCTATTGCATCATTAGGCTTCAAATTTTTTGAACTTTTATATTCTGCTTCCCTTTTAAACATAAGTTTCAATTCCAAACCATATCTTTGTGAAAACATAAAACTGAATGCTTTTAAGAGCACCCAGCTCAACTCTTGAACATTTTGTTGCTTAGAAATTCCTTCTGCCAGAAACCCTAAATCATCTCTCTCAAGTTCAAAGTTCCACAGATCTAGGGCAGAGGCAAAATGAGCCAGTCCCTCTGCTGAAACATAGCAAGAGTCACCTTTATTCCAGTTCCCAACGAGCTCCTCATCTCCCTCTGAGACCACCTCAGCCTGGACTTTATTGTCCCTATCACGATCAGCATTTTTGTCAAAACCATCAACAAGTCTCTAGGAAGTTTCAAACTTTCTCAAATCTTCATGTCTTCTTCTGAGCCCTCCAAACTGTTCCAACTTCTGCCTGTTACCCACTTCCAAAGTTGCTTCCACATTTTCAGGTATCTTTACAACAGCACCCCACCACCTTAGTACCAATTTACTGCATTAGTCCATTTTCATACTGCTATAAAGAACTTCCTGAGGCTGAGTAATTTATAAAGGAAAGAGGTTTCATAGACTAACACTTCAGCATGGCTGTGGAGGTCTTTGGAACCTTACAATCCTGGTTGAAGGCAAAGGGAAATCAAAACACCTTCTTCACAAGGTGGCGGGAAAGAGAAGTACAACCAGGGAAGTTACAGATGCTTTTAAAACCATCAAATCTCGTGAGAACTCGCTCTCATGAGGACAGCATGGGGGAAACCACACCTGTGATTCAATTACCTCCGCCTGATCCCACCCTTGACACATGGGGATTATGGGGATTACAATTCAAGATGAGATATGGGTGGGGACACAAAGCCTAACCATATCACAGAGTAAGTGTATATTCAAGTGAGAATGAGTGCTGTTCCTTCCACAGTTGAAGTAGTCCAGTGTAATCAAACTGCCAATAGTGGCCAGCTGGTCCCTGGATAATTCTGCCATATTGAAGGCTAGGTGTTGTTCTCTGCTGTTGGCAGGCTGGAAAATCTGCTATTCTATAGTTGCATTCCCTTTAGTGCATGGAAATCTGTGTTGCTGAGAACATACCTAACCCCTATCCTTGCTGCTCTGGCCACTTTATCCATAAGCACACTGAGCAAGGACAAAGGTGGCTGGGGAGAACCAAAGGGAAGTTCACCAAACTTGTCTACCCAATTACTGAGTTCATCCTGACTAAGGCTGCTCTTTGGTGAGCATTCATACAGGACACAAATATATTTATGTTCTGCCTACTTGGAAAGATCCATCCACATATCTCTTCCCCAGATTGCTTTGTCACTGGGCTACCAATTGTGTTCCTTCCAAGTCTTTGAGAGTCTAGTCAAACCATTAATCCTCATCCATTAATCAGGATACCTCTTCTTCCAGGCCAAATGAGCAAGTGTGTACAACCCACTGGGAGGCCTTCCCTTCACTGCTGTTCCTTCAAAGCCACCCAGAAGTGGGGCTGTAGAACTGTCAATATCTACATTCAGGTAATGCCAACATATCATATAAAATCTTCTGAAAACTAGGCCCAAATTTTCTAGCCAACTTAAGTAGAAAGGGAATTTTATAAGAAGTTATAAAATGGCTTGCCAAGTAAATGAGAAACTTGAAAAGACAGACTTAAGGCTAAGCTTCCAGGAATGACAGAACCAGGCCACCAAGGAAGCCAATACCTCTGCCACGACCAAAATGCTGTAAAATCAGGAAGACTCCAGGTGAAATTGGAAACCATCACTTTAGATAGTGGACACAGAACCATGCCACCTTTGTCACAATCCACTCCAGCAAAATGTATCTTCTATCCTCTGCCTCCCAATAGCCATGAAGCCAGGAATAAGGCACTGGAGCCTCTACTACAGTTACTACAGAAAAATCAAATACTTTCATGGCCATTCCTTGCCACGAAAGAAACAGAAATATGAGTCTGGTCTCATGAGGTTTCATTTTATTTCCATTTTCCAAACCTCATACAGGTACCTCTAATTGAATGAACCTAAATTACATCCAGAACTCTGGAAAATGGAAAATGTAGGGATGCTGAGTTTATGCTAATGAGGTGACTCAGGGTGGGGCCCCCTAGATAGCCTTGGAATGCGGCTGATCACCAGAATGACCAAGTAATTAGAGGGTTGGAACTTTCAGTCCCACCTCCCAATCTCCAGGAAGGCGAAGGGTGGGCATGCACTTAAACTCCATACAAATTTGAATAACATGATTAGATGGGCTTCTGGTCTGCCAAAGAAGCCCGTGGAATTGCTGTGAGGTAGCACATCCTGGAGACAGCCTGGAAGCTCTACTGCCCTATCCATACTTTGCCCTCTACATCCTTTATAATTAATCAGTAAATGTAAGTGGAGTGTTTCTCTGAGTTCTCGTGAGCCATTCTAGCAAACTATTGAAGCAAGGAAGGGGTCATGGGAATCCCCAATATACAGCCAGTCAATCAGAAGTCCTGGATTTGCAATTGGCATCTGAAGTGGGAAAAGTCCTGTGGCACTGAGCCCTTAAGCTGTGAGGTCTGCACTAATTCCAGACAGATAATGTCAGAATTGAATTGAACTGTGGGACACCCAGCTGGTGTTGGTGAGGGAAAAACTTGCACATCTGGTGTCAGAAGTGTTCTGTGAGAGAGTATGGAGAAACACTCTACAGTATGCAGTTTTCTCAGAGGATGTAAGTCACTCCTTAACTTAGAAACTTCCTAAGCAACATGACCCTCCTGCTTTCTCTTCCTCCTTAGATGTGGAGTGGGGGTTATGAGTTGAGGTCCAGGGCCAGAATAGAGAAGCAATTTCAATCCTATGGAACCACAAGAAGAAAGCTTTCTTGGAGGGTTTCTTGGAGAATTCTGTGTTCTGCCTAACAGAATTTTGTTTAATCAAGAAATAATTCTTTGTGTGTTAAGCCTCTGAGGTTAGTAAATACAAAATGTTATAATTTTGTCTATCTTGACACAGATATGGATATGCAGTTGTAAAATGCTGATGTTTAAAAAAAAACTTAAAATAGGTGACATTCGTGGTTAGGCAGCAGGCAGTAGAAAACTGATATGAGAAGCTTTAAAGATAATCACTGTTGTCACCTTTGGTAACTGTTGCCTGCAGTAATCAGGGAAGTAGACCACGTACTTAATGCACTTGGTGGCCTAAGGGGGAACAGGTTAGAAAACAGAAACTTAGTAATGTGTGTTAGTTGTTATTGATTGTGATTGACAAGAAATTACAAGAAATAAATGTATTCAAGAAGGAATTGCCTGGTTTGCAAATAAGCCTTTCAGAAATGCAGGTGGTGTTGCAAAGATAGAAAAGTCTACAGTTTTTTCAATCCCAGATTTTCTTCTCCCAGAAATAGAGAAGGATTTTGAGAGTCAAGGGCCCACAGTGACACAAAGTAAAGACCAGCCTAAGAGTATGGTACTTTGTAGAACCCTTCAGAAAAAAAAAAAAGGAAAAGAAAAGAAACTCAGAGCAAAAATTAGTGCCTTAAGGATGTGGCCTTCTCATCCATTTCCCAGCTGGTGACCACTGTTACACAAAGAGAGAGAGATGGGGTATTTGTGAAAAGCAAAAAAGTCAAGTACATTTGAAAGTCATGGCTCAAAAAACTTAGATAGTGTTACTCTCTTATACAACTGACTAGAAGTAAATAGATGCTAATTAAGTAAGTGATAGGTGCTGAATGAGAGTGAGAATGTATTTTTTAATGTTATAAACAGGAAGCACAATAATTAACCTAACCTTTTCATGGATTCTATGTCCAGAGCAGCAGTTCTCTATTTCACCCAAGTTGAATGCTTAAGTGATTACAATTTCTCCTTTTATGCAGAGAATGAATAAATCATCAGTGTGCAGTTATCCACCCTCCCCTCCCCTATGACAAGGACTGAGCTACTATGTCTCCTGCACCTCTGATTAGCGTGTGTGAAATAGAAATGTAAATACTATACTTCAGATATATTATGAGTAAAATAGGCCTCATCAACTGGCCAAAGACCTCAGACTCAATGTATAACATTGCTTCTGCTGGGCGCAGTGGCTCACGCCTTGTAATCCCAACACTTTGGGAGGCTGAGGTGGGCGGATCACTTGAGGTCAGGAATTTGAGACCAGCCTGGCCAACATGGTGACACCCTGTCTCTACTAAAAATACAAAAATAAGCCAGGCATGGTGGTGGGTGCCTGTAATCCCAGCTACTCGGGAGGCTAAGGCAGGAGAATCACTTGAACCCGGGAGGCAGAGGTTGCAGTGAGCCAAGATCATGCCATTGCACTCCAGCCTGGGCAACAGGAGCGAAACTCCATCTCAAAAAAAAAAAAAAAAAAAGCAAAAACAAACAAACAAAAAAAACATTGCTTCCAAGTGAAAATGTACACTGAGAACCAAACATCGACCTGCAACAAATTTTGCAAATTAAGTCTTTTGGAATCTGTGCCTATTCTAGCTTTCCAGCTAGAAAAGAGGGCAGAGAGAAGAGGTGAGGGACAGGTGCAATCTGATGGTTCAGACAGAAGAAAGGAGTCCCTTCCTACTGATAGGAGCCACAGGAAGCTAGACAGGAGTCAGGACAAACATGACATATGCAGAAACTGGTGGTTAAACTGATGCATTTATGAAGTAACTTGGTTTTGAAAATGTGGCAAAATACATAGGAAGGCAAGCGAGTCTCCATCTCATCCAAATCTGGGAACCATAGACACATCGCCTTTTGTGCAAGAGTTAGAGCAAGACCCTTTCTCAGGGACAAATTAAAAAGTTTGATGGTCTCATAGAGAGGATGTTACTTGGAATCTTTACTGTTCAACTCACTGAGTCTCTCTTAGTCCTGCTGACACTTTAAATCAATGCTTCTAATAGAAATACAGTGCAAATCTCAAAGGTAACTTTAATTTCCTAGTTGCCATATTTTAAAAAGTCAAAAGAAACAGACAAAATTAATTTTAATAATATGTCTTATTTAACTCAATATATCCAAAATATTATTTCAAGACATAAGTAACATAAATATTAATATTTTATATTCTATTTTTCATATCTCTTCGCTCTCACTGGCTGTGATGCTCTAGAGTTTAGAGAAAAGCCCTAAAAGAATTGAGAGCTTTTGAGAAGCAGAAATTGGAATATATATCTTAAATGTGTCTCAAAAAACATGTTTTCAACATTTGAAAAGGGCTTCTCGTAGTTTTATTCAAATGTTGACTGACATGAGTCAATGTATACATCCAAATCAAAGTGATTAAACAAAATATAACCAAAATAGTGCATATCATATGACTCCATATACAAAACACAACACAGGTAAAACTAATCTATGCTATTAGGAAGAGGACAGTGGCCACCCTCGGGGAGGGGTATGACTTAAAGGAACACAAAAGGGCTTCTAGGGTATTGGTGATATTCTATGGCTTTATCCAAATGCTGGTTAGATGAGTGAGTTCAGTATTAAACATTTATCAAGCTGTTCACTTGTGATATGTGATAACTTAGTGCATATATGTATGTGTGTGTCTGTATATGCACATATGTATGTATAGACATATACACACATATATATATTTATAACACACAAGTATACCTTGGAGATATTGCAGGTTAAGTTCCAGACCACTGCAAAAAAAGTGAATATTGCAAATATTTTGGGTCACACAAACATTTTGGTTTCCCAGTGCATATAAAAGTTATGTTTATACTGTATACTGTAGCCTACTAAGTGTGCAATAGCATTATGCCTGAAAAAAACAAAGTACATACCTTAATTTTAAAATACTTTATTGCTAAAACATAAAAGCCAATTATCATCTGAGTCTTCAGTGAATCATAATCATTTTGCCAGTTTCACTTCCATATTAAAGGCTGATGGCCGATCAGGGTAGTAGTTGTTGAAGGTTGGAGTGGCTGTGGCAATTTCTTAAAATAAGGTAACAATAAAGTTTGCTTCATCAATTGACTCTCACAAAAGATTTCTCCACAGCATGTGGTGCTGTTTGATAGTAATTTGCCTACAGTAGAACTTCTTTCAAAATTAGAGTCAATCTTCTCAAACCCTGCTGCTGCTTTATCAACTAAGTTTATGTAATATTCTAAATCCTTTATCAACTAAGTTTATGTAATATTCTAAATCCTTTGTTGTCATTTCAACAACGTTCACAGCATCTTCACCAGAAATAGATTCCATCTCAAGAAACCACATTTTTTGCTCATCTATTCAAGTTTTATCATGAGATTGCAGCAATTTAGCCATATCTTAGGCTCCACTACTAATTCTAGCTCTCTTGCTATCTCACCACATCTGCAGTGACTATCTCCACTGAAGTCTTGAACCCCTCAAAGTCATCCAGGAGGGTTGGAATCAACTTCTCCCAAGCTCCTGCTAATGTTGATATTTTGACCTCCTCCCGTGAATCATGAATGTTCTCAATGGCATCTCAAATGGTGAATCCTTTCCAGAGGTTTTCTATTTATTTTGCCCAGATCCATTGAGGAGTCACTATCTGTGGCAGCTATAGCCTGACAAAATGTATTTCCTAGATGATAAGATTTTAAAGTTGGAATTACTCCTTGATCTGTGGGCTGCAGAATGGATGCTGTGTTAGCAAGCACTAAAACAACAGGAATTTCCTTTACATCACTATCAGTGTCCTTGGGTGACCTTGTGCATTGTCAATGAACAGGATTACTTTGAAAGGAATCTTTTCTTTTTTTCTGAGCAGCAGGTTGTGGGCTTAAAATCTTCAGTAAACCATACTGTAAATAGATGTGCTTAATCCAGGCTTTGTTGTTCAATTCATAGAGCACAGGCAGAGTAGATACAGCACAATTCTGAAGGGCCATAGGATTTTTTAGAATGGTGAATGGGTACTGCATGCAACTTAAAATCATCAGCAGCATTAGCCCCCAGCCGGAGAGTCAGCCTGTTCTTTGAGCCTTTGAAGCCAGGCTTTTACTCCTCTCTAGCTGTGAAAGTCCTGTCTTCTTAAAATAGAAGACTGTTTTATCTACACTGAAAATCTGTTGATTAATGCAGCCATCTTTATCAATTATCTTAGGTAGATCTTGCAGATAACTTGCTGCAACTTCTCCATCAGCACTTGCTGCTTCACCTTGCACTTTTATAGTATGTTATAGAGATGGCTTCTTTCCTTAAACCCCAGGAACCAATCTCTGCTAGCTTCCAACTTTTCCTCTGCAGCTTTCTCACCTTCCTCAGCCTTCATAGAGTTGAAGAGTTAGGGCCTTGCTCTGGATTAGGCTTTGGCTTACGGGAATGTTGTGGCTGGTTTGATCTTCTATCCAGACCACTCAAACTTTCTCCATATCAGCAATGAAACTGTTTTGCTTTCTTATCATTCATGTGTTCACTGAAGTAGCACTTCTAATTTCCTTCAAAAACTTTTAATTGCATCCACCACTTAGCTAATTGTTTAGTACAAGAGACCTAGCTTTTGGCCTATCTCGGCTTTTGACATGCCTTCCTCACTAGGCTTTATCCTTTCTAGCTTTTGATTTAAAGTGAGAGATGTGTGACTTTTCCTTTTGCTTGAACACACAGATGCCACTGTAGGGTTATTAATTGGCCTAATTTCAATTTTTCTGTGTCTCAGGGAATAGGGAGGCCTGTAGAGAGGGAAAGAGATGAGGGAACAGCCAGTTGGTGGAGCATTCAGAACACACACAACATTTATTAAGTCCACCATCTTATATGGGTACAGCTCACGTTACCCCAAAACAATTACAACAGTAACACCAAACATCTGTGATCACAGATCACCATAAAAAAATAATGAAAAAGTTCAAAATATTGTGTGAATTACCAAAATGTGACACAGACACACAAAGTGAGCACATGCTATTGGGAAAATGACACCTACAGACTTGTTCAATGCAAGGTTACCACAAACCTTCAATTTGTAACAAAACACGATATCTGTGAATTGCGATAAACAAGTTTATATATAACTGCAATAAGTAGTTAAAATATAAAATGATAAGGACTTGGACTCCTTTAATAAAATGTGATTATTTAAGATTTTTTAAATGGATACTAATAGCATGCCTTTTCTGGTATCATCTTCATAAACGACGACTAACTCAGATATTGTGGCACAAGATATTTCTGATGCATAAATTCTCTGGTTTTCGTTAGTGACTAAATCAAACATTAAACTTTTCTTTCACCTTCCTTAATTTGAACATCAACCATGTGATTTCAAAAAATTATATTTAAACATATATTTTGAAGTAGGATGCAGTAACTTAAAATTGTGTTTAAACATGTGAATGAAACATCTTTGCTTCAGGATGCATGTATTCCTTAGATACTAGCCTATTCCAGCTCTTTCTTATCTACACACGAAATATGCAGCACACTCCTTCAAAAATCTGTTTTTTATGAGAAACTTGGAACCTAGCACTTAACTAGAAACCACATTCGAAGAAAACATGCCATCTTATCAATAAGAATCATTATTACCTAACCTTTTTATATATGGTGCTTAAAAGTCATCCTAAACGTATAAAAGAAAGAGGCAAAAGGAAACCAAGAGAATAATGGATGATCAGAAAACATGGGATCAAGACTCAATGTTATCATCCTCGAACAACTTCATTTTCAATACCTCCCTTTTCCCCTCCCTGCCATTCCCCTCTCGGCAATGAGTCTGACACCATATAAAGCAAGAACCAACAGAAACCAACTTTAGAACCTGTCTTGCAGGGTGAAATAATAGGGTACCTTGTGGCTTGATTCTGCAGTTCTTATACAAAGCAATATAACTCATCAATTCAAGAGAAGTCTTATTTCAAATCACATTCATTCGATAGAGAAGTTGTCTTCTACTACCGACTTCAGGATGGAGCCCTCCCCATCCTCTCAGGATATCACATACATGCCTCTAGAACACCTCTGCTGTGTTTTAATAGTTAGTTTATTATCAGTCTTTTCCTACATAAACTATGAACTCTCAGAGAGAAAGGTATTTAACATAACACCTGGCACATAGTAAGTACTTCTTAAATTTAATTTAAAATCATTTTACTAAAATGAGAGAAAACTTCTACTCTAAGGAATAAATGCCAAGAGACCTAACTCTAAGGCTAAAGACATATTCACAAAGTATGGAGTCACCAGGAAGGTATATTTATAATGGCTAGAGTCAAAATTTCGGCATAAAAGAGTGGGAAGAGGATAGCCATGGACCTTTAAAATGAATACAAAGCTTTACTTTTTCAATTGCTCAAGAAGATGCATCTGGAGAGTCCTATGGAGTAAGACAATCACACTCTGGGGAGTGTGGTTTAGACTTGACCTGTACATTATAATATGCCCAGTGCTTGGAATGGTTCTAGGCCCATGGTAGGCACATGAGAAATAGTTTTTTAAATGAATGCACAAACGAATTAATTGTCCCAAAGCATTTCTACAGTATTCTCTGCTCTAAAATTGTCACCAGAAGGTTTCGTGTTCCAGCCTATCATAATCACCTGGAGTGCCTGTGATCCTGGCTAACATGGTGAAACCCCGTCTCTACTAAAAAATACAAAAAAATTAGCCAGGCGTGGTGGCAGGCGCCTGTAGTCCTAGCTAATCAGGAGGCTGAGGCAGGAGAATGGCGTGAACCCAGGAGGCAGAGGTTGCAGTGAGCCAAGATCTCACCACTGCACTCCAGCCTGGGCGACAGAGCGAGACTCCGTCTCAAAAAAAAAAAAACAACAAAAAAAAAAATTAGGAATCACCTATCATGGAAACTCACCTAGAAAGTTTATTTAAAATGTTTAAGGTCTGGGGTTGGGGCCAAGGGATCTGCATTTTTAACAAGCACCCCAGATGATTATGTTTCTGCTTCAAGCAGTCCATGAAACTATAGCCAGAAAAAGAGAGCAGTTTATATGCTTCCTGGGTCCCATTCTGGAATTTATCCATTCCAGAATTTGCCTTTAAATTCCAGAATGGAGGTCAGTCTAACATCACATAAGATGGACATCACTGTTCTTTAGGGTGCAGTCAAAAAAGTAGAAACAACATTAGTTGCTGTTTTAACAGAGAGACTTCAATACAGGGAATGGTTTAAACAAATATTAGAGGACTGAAAAGCAAAAGAGAACTCTCTGGTAGCATAGAAATAGTTACTGTAGATGGCAGCAACCACCCTCGGGCAGGGAGAGCAAAGAGAAGCAACTGGAATTATTAGAACCTGGAGACCTGGAATAGTGATCCTGCAGAGTGAGGACCCAGACCTCCAAGGAAATGTGCTGCCGGGCAGGCTCCTTCCTCCAATGTGCAGCACATTTCCTTGGAGATCTGGGTCCTCCCTCTGCAGGGTCGCTATGCCAAGGGAACCTAGATAACACATCACCAGACCACCCCGGATGAAACAACAGCATCCAAGAGAACAGACAACCTGGGCCATGTGTAATAAAGAACCTCTTCTGCTTGAACCAGCAGATCTGTTCACATAACCAGTGGTCCAAAGACATGTATCAGCTTTAGCATTTATCAACAAAAAGACGGGATGAATTTCAGTAAATGTAAAATAGTATGGTTCAGATGTGTAATTTGTAAATAGTAAAGCCTGTAGATTTTCTAGAACAGTGGTTTTCAAAGGGTGGTCCCTGAACCAGTAGCATCAGCATAACTGGGAACTTACTAGAAATTTAAAGTCTTGGGCTCACTCCAAACCTACTAAATCAGAAACTCCAGGGACAGGGCCAAGCAACCTGTGTTTTAACAAGCCAAGCCTGCCAGGTGATTCTCATGCACAGTAAACTTTGAGATCCACTGTCGTGATACATATCAAATTTTGGAACTGCAGCATCTTTACTAGATCCTTGATGCAAGGTTTATCAGGTTTTATGTATCATCAATCATTATCCTGCCACAAACAAAGATTAATAATCAAAGCTAAGCAGAGCACAAATTATAAAAGTTTTCTGCTTCCTTTGGAGCATGCAGATGTCTTCTCCCTCAGTATTTGTAGTTCTTTTCAGACTTGCCCTGTAGTATAAGGGACCCAATTTAAAAAAAAAATACTACTTTTCCATTTTATTTTTAGTAATAAGCTGGGTAATTATGTCCTCCTTTCTGGTTCCTGGAGCAATCCAACTTTTCATAGAACTTTAAGATGAACAAAGAAAATTCAGTTAAAAAGCATGGACATAAGGGAATCAACTTAGTAAAATTAATGTTCTGGAGAAGTCATAGCAAATAACTAGACTTAGGAGGATTAAACACATCATTGTGCTTCTTTTCTCTAACTGTCCATGTTATTTTCCATATTAACATTTTCCTCCATAGTTGTACAGAGAGGATAGAGTTGATATGTGAAAATGCCAGGATAAACCTAATCCCTAAAAGAGGCTTTCTAAATCAGAGTTAGAAACTCACTGGTGCCCAGGGGCCAAATTAGGCCAGCAGATATATTTTATTTGACACATATGCCATTTTGTTTAATTCTTTGTTTGTTATAAATATTTGCCAAAATTTCAAAACTAGGAGATTTCACATAGAAATCCAGAATTCTGGCTTTTCTTGATCCAGCAAATGGGCCCTGGCAAATACAACTGGAGTAAAACAGCAGCCACCCAGCAGAAGGGCACAGGCCTCCCCACCTGCCTCACTTCACGAATACTAGAGCTTGTGATTTCTGCCTTATATCCTATCCAAAGGGCTTCCAGACTGGGAAGAGGGTGTCTGTACTAGTCTGTTCTCATGCTGCTAATAAAGACATACCCGAGACTGGGTAATTTGTAAAGAAAAAGAGGTTTAATGGAGTCACAGTTCCACATGGCTGGGGAGGTCTCACAATCATGGCAGAAGGTGAAAGACATGTCTTACATGGCAGCAGGCAAGAGACATCACATGCGGGGGAACTCCCCTTTATAAAGCCATCAGATTTCATGAAACTTATTCACTATCACAAAAACATCATGGGAAAAACTCACCCCCATGATTCAATTACCTCCCACAAGGTCCCTCCCAAGACACGTGGGGATTATTACAATTCAAGGTGATATTTGGGTGAGGACAAAGAGACAAATCACATCATTCCAACCCAGCCCCTCCTAAATCTCATGTCCTCAGATTTCAAAACCAATCATGCATGATCATGATTTTACTTGAATTTATTTGTCACAAAACAGCATATGTGTCAAATAAAATATATCTGTGGGACTAATTTGGCTCCTGAGCAACTGTTTGTAACCTCTGATCTAGAAAGCCTTTTTTAAGGATTAGGTTTATCCTGGCATTTTCATGTATCAAACCCCCAGAGTCTTAACTCATTTCAGCAAGAACCCAAAAGTCCACAGACCAAAGTCTCATCTGAAACAAGGCAAGTCTCTTCCACCTATGAGCCTGTAAAATCAAAAGCAAGTTAGTTGCTTCCTAGATACAATGGAGGTACAGGTATTGGGTAAATACACCCATTCCAAATGGGAGAAATTGGCCAAAATGAAGGGGCTACAGGCCCCATGCAAGTCTGAAATCCAGCAAGGCAGTCAAAGCTTAAAGCTCCAAAATGATCTCCTTTGACACCATGCCTCACATCCAGGTCACACCAATACAAGAGGTGAGTTCCCATGGTCTTGGGCAGCTCCATCTCTGTGGCTTTGCAGAGTACAACCCCCTACTGGCTCCTTTCATGGGCTGGCATTGAGCATCTGTGGATTTTACAAGGATCATGGTGCAAGCTGTCAATAGATCTACCATTCTGGGGTCTGGAGGATGGTGGCTCCCTTCTCACAGTTCCACTAGGCAGTGCCCCTGTGGGGAGTCTGTGTGGGGGATTCAACCCCACACTTACCTTACACACTGCCCTAGCAGAGGCTCTCCATGAGGGCCCCATCCCTGCAGCAAGTTTCTGCCTGAACATCCAGGCATTTCCATACATCCTCTGAAAACTAGGCAGAGGTTCCCAAATCTCAATTCTTGACTTCTGTGCACTCAAAGACTCAACATCACATAAAAGCCGCCAAGGCTTGGGGCTTGCACCATCTGGAGCCACAGCCCAAGCTGCACCTTGGCCCCTTTTAGCCACAGCTGGAGTGGCTGGGACTCAAGGCACCAAGTACCTAGGCTGCACACAACACGGGGGCCCTGGGCCTGGCCCATGGAACCATTTTTTCCTCCTAGGCCTCCAGGCCTGTGATGGGAGAGGCTGCCACGAAGACATGCCCTGAAGACATTTTCCCCATTTTCTTGGCGATTAACATTCGGCTCTTCATTACCAATGCAAATTTCTGCAGCCTGCTTGAATTTCTCTTCAGAAAATGGGTTTTTCTTTTCTATAACATTATCAGGCTGCAAATTTTCTGAACTTTTATGCTTTGTTTCCTTTATAAAACTGAATTATTTTAAGACCACCCAAGTCACTTCTTGAACACTTTGCTGTTAAGACATTTCTTCTACCAGATACCCTAAATCATCTCTCTCAAGTTTAAAGTTCCACAAATCTCTAGGGCAAGGGAAAATGCTGCCAGTTTCTTTGCTAAAGCAGAACAAGAGTCACCTTTGTTCCAGTTACCAACAAGTTCCTTATCTCCACCTGAGATCACCTCAGCCTGAATTTCATTGTCAGCATCTTGGTCAAAGCCATTCAACAAATCTCTAGGAAGTTCCAAACTTTCCCACATCTTCCTGTCTTCTTCTGAGCACTCTAAACTGTTCCAACCTCTCCCTCATTCCCAGTTCCAAAGTCACTTCCACATTTTCAGGTATCTTTACAGCAGCACCCCACTCCTGGTACCAATTTACTGTATCAGTCTGTTCTCACACTGTTAATAAAGACATACCCAAGACTGGGCAATTTATAAAGAAAAAGAGATTTAATGGACTCACAGTTTTACATGGCTGGGGAGGCTTCACAATCATGGTGGAAGGCAAAAGGCACGTCTTACATGGCAGCAGGCAAGAGAGAGTGTGTGTCAGGGAACTCCCCTTTATAAAACCATCAGATCTCATGAGACTTATTCACTATCACAAGAACAGCATGGGAAAAGCCCACCCCCATGATTCAATTACCCCCCCTACTGGGTCCCTCCCATGACATAGGGGGATTATTACATTTCAAGGTGAGATTTTGGTGGCGACACAGAGCCAAAACATATCAATGCCTCCTGTCCCATTATACCAAACAGGCACCAAAAAGAAAATCTTATTGTACAGACCAGGCAGATCTAAACTTTCTCCGCCAGGGCAACTCCCATTGTGTAAAGCCTTCTCATTCACCTGAACCCTTGGCTCTCACCACTTGCCTGGCTCTCTCCCATACTTCCTGGCCTTTCCTCCTTTACTCTGCTTTTGGAACACTGCACAAATTTTTCAAGCCCTAAAAAATAAAAAATAAAAATAAATACATCCTTGACCCCAAGACTCTCTAGAGGTCACCATCCTTCTTGCCCTCACCCTTTCCCTTTCATCTCCACTTTCTCAGTCCCTGGCCACTCTCCAGTCTGCTACAATCCAGCTTCCTATTGAAAAACCCCACCATTCTATTGAAACTGCTCTGGCTGATGTTACTAATGGTTTCCTAATTCCCAAATCCAGTGGACTTGTTTGAGTCCCTCTCCCCCTACACTTTATTGTCCTTTCTTCAGCCTCCTCATCCTTCATGTGTCAGTTCAGGCCTCATTCTCTCCACTGAGGCTGCCCAGGCCCTCAGCTGGGTTGAGTGGCCCTCTGGGCCAGGTATCCCATGACATCCTGTTCTTGTCTCTACCATCCTCTCCACACATGGTATCACAACTATTGCTTACAATTCTGTCTTCTCCATTGAAAGTTAAAGCCTGTGCCTGTGCCTCATTCACCTTTGTATTACAGTGCCCACTACAGCAACTGGCACACAATAAGTATGTGATAAATATTGATTAATACATGAATGAATGAACCAACAATTAAGCCACCTCTAAGTTTGTTAAGAGTGAGAAGGTCTAAAATTCTTCCAAAAGTCTTTTGTCCCAGAGCAGTAGCTTTTTATCCAGGAGGATGCCTTACATAAAGCAAATTAAATCAGATAGGAGAGAAATGTATGTACTTTTCTCCTTTTCTTGCCGGACATTTAAAAGGGGTTGGATTAATAATGTCCTTCAGTATTTACTGGGATATTTAAAAGACGCCCTCCCAAAATATTTTAAAGCTCCAATTATACAATAATGAAAGTACTCAGAAAGACTTTGCACTTGAAAGGGAGAGGAAAACCGCACTAACAATGTAGTTCAGAGACTTGGAGCAATGGAAAAAACCTAAAAGAATAATTAGGGGGGATAGGAAAAAATGGCAGATAAGAGGCAGGACTAACTTGCAGTTCCCACTCAGACAGACAGAGCAACGTGTGGAGACCCACTTCATGAACTTTTGCTCCAAGAACTACCACAGGAACATACCAGGAAAGCAAGATAATCCATAGACCCTTTGAAGGAGATGGATTGTTGCTGCAGCCTCCGTGGGACAGCCACGAAAATGTAAGCCTGCTTGCTTTCTCAGCTAGGAGGCTTGTAGCTTGGGGCAAGTTCTCAGCCCTGATCACTGGCTGCCTGGAAATAAACTTGGTGCTGTTGGTGGGGCATGGTGGGAGTGAGACTGGCCTTTTGGGCTGTGGGATATGGATTTCTCCCGCTTCCATAGTGACCTGTGTGACACAGCAGAGACAGCCATGATCCCCCTGAGAACATAACTCCATTGGTCTGAGAACCAAACCCCTATCCCCCACAGCAGCCACAGAAAGCCCTGCCCAGGGAGAGTCTGAGCTCAGACACACATAACCCTGCCCCTACCTGATGGGCTTTCTCTACCCACCCTTGTAGCCTAAGACAAAGGACATAATCTCTTGGGAGCTCTATGTTCCCACCCACTGCGTGATCCTCCCTATATGACCAGAACTGCTGCATTCTTGAAAGTACCACCTCCTGGCTGGAGGCCATCCAACTCAAAACCAGCACATTTAACAAAAATACAACCAAGAACCCTCACAAAGTCCACTTCACTCCCCTGCTACCTCTACCAGAGTAGGTGCTGGTATCTACAGCTGAGAGACCTGAAGACAGATCACATCACAGGAATCTTTGTAGGTGGTCCCCAGTACTAGCCCAGAGTCTGGTAGCTCTGCTGGGTCGCGAGATCCAAAAGAGAAATAACTATCACTGCAGTTTGGCTCTCAGGAACCCCCATCCCTAGGGGAAAGAGGAGAGCACCACATCAAGGGAGCACCCTGTGGGGCAAAAGAATCTGAACAGCAGCCCTTGAGTCCCAGATCTTCCCTTTGACATAGTCCAAATGAAAAGGAACCAGAAAAACAATTCTGTTAATATGACAAAACAATGTTCTTTAACACCCCCCAGAAGATCACACTAGCTCACATGCAATGGATCCAAACCAAGATGAAATCTCTGAAATATCATAGAAAGAATTCAGAAGGTCGATTATTAAGCCGATCAAGGAGGCATCAGAGAACGGCGAAATCCAACTTAAAGAAATTTTTTAAAAAAGGATACAGGATATGAATGGGAAAACCTCCAGTGAAATAGATAGCATAAATAAAAAGCAATCACAACTTCTGGAAATCAAGGACACTTAGAGAAATGAAAAATGCACTAGAAAGTCTCATCAATAGAATCAACAAGCAGAAGAAAGAACTTCAGAGCTTGAAGACAAGGTTTTCAAATTAACCCAATCCAACGGAGACAAAGAAAAAAATTTTTTTAATGAACAAAGCCTCCAAGAAGTTTGGGATTATGTTAAATGACCAAACCTAAGAATAATTGGCGTTCCCAAGGAAAAAGAGAAATCTAAAAGTTTAGAAAACATATTTGAGACGATAATTGAGGGAAACTTCCCTGGCCTTGCTAGAGATCTAGACATTCAAATACAAAAAGTTCCAAAAATACCTGGGAAATTCATTGCAAAAAGATCATCACCTAGGCACATAGTCATCAGGTTATGTAAAGTCAAGACAAAGGAATCTTAAGAGATGTGAGGCAAAAGCACCAAGTAACCTGTAAAGGAAAACCTATCAGATAGCAGCCAATTTCTCAGCAGTGATCCTACAAGCTAGAAGGGATTGGGGTCCTATCTTTAGCCTCCTTAAACAAAACGATTATCAGCCAAGAATTTTGTATCCAGTGAAACTAAGCTTCATAAATGAAGGAAAGATACAATCTTTTTCAGATAAACAAATGCTGAGAGAATTCGCCATTACCAAGCCAGCACTACAAGAACTGCTAAAAGGAACTCTAAATGAAATAGCATGATGAATAGAATAGTCCCTCACATATCAATATTAACATTGAATGTATATAATGGCCTAAATGCTCCAGTTAAAAGATACAGAATGGCAGAATGAATAAGAACTCACCAATCAAATATCTGCTGACTTCAAGAGACTCACCTGACACATGAGGACTCACATAAACTTAAGGTAAAGGGGTGGAAAAAGATATTCCAACACCAAAAGCAATCAATCAGGGGTAGCTACTCTTATATCAGACAAAACAAACTTTAAAGCAACAGCAGTTAAAAAAGACAATGAAGGACATTATATAATGATAAAATGACTAGTCCAACAGAAAAATACCACAATCCTAAATATACACACACCTAACACTGAAGTTCCCAAATGTATAAAACAATTACTACTAGACCTAAGAAATGAGATAGACAGCAACACAACAATAGCAGGGGACTTCAATACTCCACTGACAGCACTAGAAAGGTCAGCAAGACAGAAAATCAACGAAGAAACAACGGACTTAAACTATACCCTAGAACAAATGGACTTAACAGATATTTACAGAACATTCTACGCAACAACTGCAGAACATACATTCTATTCGTGAGCACAGGGAACATTCTCCAAGATAGACCATATGATAGGCCACAAAGCAAGTCTCAAAAAATTTAAGAAAATCAAAATTATACCAAGTACTCTCTCAGACCACAGTGGAATAAAATTGAAAATCAACTCCAAAAGGAACCCTCAAAACCATGCAAATGTGTGGAAATTACAAACCTGCTCCTGAACAATCACTGGGTCAACAATGAAATCAAGATGGAAATTAAAAAGTTCTTTGAACTGAACGATAATAGTGGCACAACCTATCAAAACCTCTGGGATCCAGCAAAGTGGTGCTAAGAGGAAATATCATAGGATCGAATGCCTTCATCAAAAAGTGTGAAAGAGGACAAACAGACAATCTTAGGACATACCTCAAGGAACTAGAGAAACAAGAACAAACCAAATCCAAACCCAGCAGAATAAAAGAAATAAGGAAGATCAGGGCAGCACTGAATGAAATGAAATGAAACTGAAACAAACAAACAAAAATACAAAAGATAAATGAAACAAAAACTGTTTCTTTGAAAAGATAAATAAAACTGATAGACCGTTAGCAAAATTAATCAAGAAAAGAAAAGAGAAGTTCCAAATAAGCTCAATTAGAAATGGAACGGGAGATATTACAACCAATACCACAGAAATACAACAGATCATTCAAGGCTACTACCAACACCTTTATGTGCATAAACTAGAAAACCTAGAGGAGATGGATAAATTCCTGAAAATATACAAACCTCCTAGATTAAACCAGGAAGAAACAGAAACTCTGAACAGACCAATAACAAGCAGCAAGGTTGAAATGAAAATTTAAAAGTTACCAAGAAAAAAGGTCCAGGACCAGATGGATTCATACCTGAATTCTATCAGACATTCAAAGAAGAATTGGGACCAATCCTATGGACACTATTCCAAAAGACAGAAAAAGAGGGAATCTTCCCTAAATCATTCTGTGAAGCCAGTATCACCCTAATACCAAATCCTCCCCAAATCATTCTATGAAGCGAGTATCACCCTAGTACCAAAACCAGGAAAGGACATAACAAAAAAAGAAAACTACAGACCAATATCCCTGATAAACATAGATGTAAAAATTCTCAACAAAATACTAGCTAACCAAATCCAACAGCATATCAAAAAGATAATCCACCATGATCAAGTGGCTTTCATCCCAGGGATGCAGGGATGGTTTAATAATCCACAAGTCAATAAATGTGATATAAACAGAATTAAACATATAAACAGAATTTAAAATGAAAATCACATGGTCATCTCAATAGACACAGAAAAAGCATTTGGAAAAAACCCAGCATCCCTTTATGACTAAAACCCTCAGCATAATCGGCATAAAAGGAACAAACTTTAAGGTAATAAAAGTCATCTATGACAAACCCATAGTCAACATCATACTGAACGGGGAAAAGTTGAAAGCATTCTCCTGAGAACTGGAACAAGTCAGGGATGCCCACTTTCACCACTTTTTTTCAACATAGTACTGGAAGTCCTAGCCAGAGCAACAAGACAAGAGAAAGGAATAAAGGGCATCCAAATTGGTAATGAGGAAATTAAACTGTCTCTGCTGATGACATGATCATATACTTGGAAAACCCTAAAGACTCATTCAAAAAGTTCCTCAAACTGGTAAATAAATGCAGCAACATTTCAGGATAAGAAATTAACATGCACAAATCAAAGCCCTGCTATACACCAACAGCAACCAAGCTGAGAATCAAATCAAGAACCCAACCGCTGGCTGGGCATGGTGGCTCACGCCTGTAATCCCAACACTTTGGGAGGCCAAGGCGGGGTGAATCACGAGATCAGGAAATCGAGACCATCCTGGCTAACACGGTGAAACCCCGTCTCTACTAAAAATCAAAAAAAAAAAAAAAATTAGCCAGGCATGGTGGCAGGCACCTGTAGTCCCAGCTACTTGGGAGGCTGAGGCAGGAGAATGGCATGAAGCCGGGAGGCGGAGCTTGCGGTGAGACGAGATCGCACTACTGCACTCCAGCCTGGGTGACAGAGCAAGACTATGTCTCAAAAAAAAAAAAAAAAAAAAAAAGAACCCAACCACTTTTATAATAGCTGCAAAAATTAAAATAGAATACTTAGAAATATACTTAACCGAGGAGGTGAAAGACCTCTACAAGCAAAACTACAAAACACTGCTGAAAGAAATCATAGGTGACAAAAACAAATGGAAACATCCCATGCTCATGGATTGGTAGAATCAATACTGTGAAAATGAACATACTGCTAAAAGCAACCTACAAATTCAATGCAATCCCCATCAAAATACCACCACCATTCTTCACAGAGCTAGAAAAAAAATCTGAAAATTCATAAGGAAACAAAAAAGAGCCCACATAGCCAAAGTAAGACTAAGCAAAAAGAACAAATCTGGAGGCATTACATTACCTGACTTCAAACTACACTATAAGGCCATAGTCACCAAAACAGCATGGTACTGGTATAAAAACAGGCATATAGATCAATGTAACAAAATAGAGAACCCAGAAATAAAGCCAAATACTTAGTCAACTGATCTTCGACAAAGCAAATAAAAACATAAAGTGGAGAAAGGACACCCTATTCAACAAATGGTGCTGGGATAATTGGCAAGCCACATGTAGAAAAATGAAACTGGATCTTTTAAAGTGGCATAGTAATGTGGCTGGCAAGATGGCCAAATACGAACAGTTCCAGTTTGCAGCTTCCAGCGAGATCAATGCAGAAGGCCAGTGATTTCTGCATTTCCAACTGAGGTACCTGGCTCATCTCATTGGGACTGGTTAGACAGTGGGTGTGGCCCACAGAGGGTAAGCCGAAGCAGGGTGAGGCATTGCCTAAGCCGGGAAGCACAAGGTGTCAGGGAACTCCATCCTCTAGCCAAGGGAAGCCATGAGGGACTGTGCTGTAAGGAATGGTGCACTCTGGCCCCAGATACTATGATATTCCAACAGTCTTTACAACCCACAAACCAGGAGATTCTCTCAGGTGCCTATGCCACCAGTGCCCTGGGTATCAAGCACAAAACGGGGCAACCCTTTGAACAGACACCAAGCTAGCTGCAGGAGTTTCATTTCATACCCCAATGGCACCTGGAATGCTAGCGAGACAGAACCGTTCATGCCCTGGAAAGGGAGCTGAAGCCAGGAAGCCAAGTGATCTATCTCAGCAGATCCCACCCCCACGGAGCCAGGCAAGCTAAAATCCACTGGCCTGAAATTCTCGCTGCCAGCACAGCAGTCTGAAGTCAACCTGAGATCCTTAAGCTTGGTGGGGGGAGGGGCATCCGCCATTACTGAGGCTTCAGTAGGCAGTTTTCCCCCCACAGTGTGAACAAAACTACCAGGAAGTTCGAATAGGGTGGAACCCACCACAGCTCAGCAAAGCCACTGTAGCCAGACTGCCTCTCTAGATTCCTCCTCTCTGGGCAGGGCATGTCTGAAAAAAAGGCAGCAGCCCCAGTCAGGGGCTTATAGATAAAACTCCCATCTCCCTGGGACAGAGCACCTGGGGCAAGGGGAGGCTGTGGGTACAGTTTCAGGAGACTCAAACATTCCTGCCTGCCAGCTCTGAAGAGAACAGTGGATCTCCCAGCACAGCACTTGAGTTCTGCTAAGGGACAGACTGCCTCCTCAAGTGGGTCCCTGATCCCTGTGTCTCCTGACTGGGAGATACCTCCCAGCAGGGATTGACAGACACCTCATACAGAAGAGCTCTGACTGGGATCTGGAGGATGCCCCTCCAGGACGAAGCATCCAGAGGAAGGAACAGGGAGCAATCTCTGCTGTTCTGCAGCCTCCGTTGGTGATACCCAGGAAAACAGGGTCTGGAGTGGACCTCCAGCAAACTCCAACAGACCTGCAGCAGAGAGGCCTGACTGGTAGAAGGAAAACTAACAAACTGAAAGGAATAGCATCAACATCAACAAAAAGGACATCCACACAGAAACCCCATCCAAAGATCATCAGCATCAAAGACCAAAGGCAGATAAATCCATGAAGATGAGGAAAAACCAGCACGGAAAGTTTGAAAATTCCAAAAGCCAGAATGCCTCTTCTCCTCCAAAGGATCACAACTCCTCGCCAGCAAAGGAACAAAACTGGACACAGAATTAGTTTGACAAATTGACAGAAGTAGGCTTCAGAAGGTGGGTAATAACAAACTCCTCTGAGCTAAAGGAGCATGTTCTAACCCAATAAAGGGAGCTAAGAACCTCGAAAAAAGGTTAGAGGAATTGCTAACTACAATGACCAGTTTAGAGAAGAACATAAATGACCTGATGGAGCTGAAAAACACAGCACGAGAACTTCATGAAGCATACACAAGTATCAATAGCCGAATCAATCAAGTGGAAGAAATGATATCAGAGATTGAAGATCAACTTAATGAAATAAAGCCTGAAGACAAGATTAGAGAAAAAAGAATGAAAAGGAATGAACAAAGCTTCCAAGAAATATAAGATTATGTGAAAAGACCAAACCTATGTTTCATTGGTGTACCTGAAAGTGATGGGGGGAATGGAACCAACTTGGAAAACCCTCTTCAGGATATTATCCAGGAGAACTTCCCCAATCTAGCAAGACAGACCAACATTCAAATTCATGAAATACAGAGAACACCACAAAGATACTCCTCGAGAATAGCAACCTCAAGACACATAATCATCAGATTCACCAAGGTTGAAATGAAGGAAAAAATGTTAAGGGCAGCCAGAGACAAACATCAGGTTACCCACAAAGGGAAGCCAATCAGACTAACAGCGGATCTCTCGGCAGAAACCCTACAAGCCAGAAGAGAGTGGGGGCCAATATTCAACATTCTTAAAGAAAAGAATTTTCAACCCAGAATTTCATATCCAGCCAAACTAAGCTTCATAAGTGAAGGAGAAATAAAATCCTTTACAGACAAGCAAATGCTGAGAGATTTTGTCATCACCAGGCCTGCCTTACAAGAGCTCCTGAAGGAAGCACTAAACATGGAAAGGAAAAACCAGTACCAGCCACTGCAATAACATGCCAAATTGTAAAGACCATCAACACTATGAAGCAACTGCATCAACTAAAGGGAAAAATAACCAGCTAGCATCATAATGACAGGATCAAATTCACACATAATGATACTAATCTTAAATGTTAATGGGATAAATTCCCCAATTAAAAGACACAGACTGGGAAATTGCAGAGTCAAGACCCATTGGTGTGCTGTATTCAGGAGACCCATCTCATGTGGAAAGACACACATAGGCTCAAAATAAAGGGATGGAGAAATATTTAGCAAGCAAATGGAAAGTAAAAAAAAAAAAAGCAGGGTTTGCAATCCGAGTCTCTGATAAAACAGACTAAAACCAACAAAGAGCAAAAGATACAAAGAAGGGCATTATATAATGGTAAAGGTATCAACGCAACAAGAAGAATGAACTATCCTAAATATATATGCACCCAATATAGGAGCACCCAGATTCATAAAGCAAGTTCTTAGAGACCTACAAAGAGACTTAGATTCCCACACAATAATAGTGGGAGACTTTAGCACCCCACTGTCAATATTAGCAAGATCAATGAGACAGAAAATTAACAAGGATATACAGGACTTGAACTCAGCTCTGGACCAAGCAGACCTAATAGAAATCTACAGAACTCTCCACCCCAAATCAACAGAATATACATTCTTCTCAGCACTACCTCGCACTTATTCTAAAATTGACCACATAATTGGAAGTAAAACACTCTTCAGCAAATGCAAAAGAATGGAAATGATAACAAACAGTCTCTCAGACCACAGTGCAATCAAATTAGAACTCAGGATTAAGAAACTCACTCAAAACCACACAACTCCATGGATACTGAAAAACCTGCTCCTGGTTGACTACTGAGTAAATAACTAAATGAAGGCAGAAATAAATAAGTTCTTTGAAACCAACGAGAACAAAGACACAACATACCAGAATCTCTGGGACACAGCTAAAGTGGTGTTTAGAGGGAAATTTATGGCACTAAATGCCCACAGAATAAAGCAGGAAAGATCTAAAATTGACACCCTAACATCACAATTAAAAGAACTAGAGAAGCAAGAGCAAACAAATTCAAAAGCTAGCAGAAGACAAGAAATAACTAAGATCAGAGCAGAACTGAAGGAGATAGAGAAACGAAAAACCCATCAAAAAATCAATGAATGCAGGAGCTGGTTTCTTCAAAAGATCAACAAGATAGACTGCTAGCCAGACTAATAAACAAGAAAAGAGAGAAGAATAAAATAGATACAATAAAAAATGATAAAGAGGATATCACCACTGATCCCACAGAAATACAAACTGCCATCAGAGAATACTTATAAACACTTCTAAGCAAATAAACCAGAAAACCAAGAAGAAATGGAAAAATTCCAGAAGAAATAGATAAATACACCCTCCCAAGACTAAATCAAGAAAAAGCTGAATCCCTGAATAAACCAATAAGAAGTTCTGAAATCGAGGCAGTAATTAATAGCCTACCAACAACAACAACAAAAAAAAACCAGGACCAGATGGATTCACAGCCGAATTCTACAAGAGGTACAAAGAGGAGCTGGTACCATTCCTTCTGAAACTACTCCAAACAATAGAAAAAGAGGGACTCCTCCCTAATTCATTTTATGAGGCCAGCATCATCCTGATACCAAAACCTGGCAGAGACACAAGAAAAAAAGAAAATTTCAGGCCAATATCCCTGATGAACATCGATGCAAAAATCCTCAATAAAATACTAGCAAATCGAATCCAGAAGCACATCAAAAAGCTTATCCACCATGATCAAGTCAGCTTCATCCCTGGGATGCAAGGCTCGTCCAACAGATGCAAATCAATAAATGTTATCCATCACATAAACAGAACCAACAACAAAATCCACATGATTATCTCAATAGATGCAGAAAAGGCCTTCGATAAAATTCAACAGCCCTTCATGCTAAAAACTCTCAATAAACTAGGTATTGATGGAAAGTATCTCAAAATAATAAAAGCTATTTATGACAAACCCACAGCCAATATCATACTGAATGGGCAAAAATGGGATGCATTCCCTTTGAAAACTGGCACAAGACAATGATGCCCTCTCTTACCACTCCTATTCAACATAGTATTGGAAGTTTTGGCCAGGGCAATCAGGCAAGATAAAGAAATAAAGGATATTCAAAGAGGAAGAGAGGAAGTCAAATTGTCTCTGTTTGCAGATGACATGATTGTATATTTAGAAGACCCCATTGTCTCAGCCCAAAATCTCCTTAAGCTGATAGGCACCTTCAGCAAAGTCTCAGGATACAAAATCAATGTGCAAAAAGCATTCCTACACACCAACAACAGAAAAACAGAACCAAATCATGTGTGAACTCCCATTCACAATTGCTACAAAGAGAATAAAACACCTAGGAATACAACTTACAAGGGATGTGAAGGATCTCTTCAAGGAAAACTACAAACTATTGCTCAAGGAAACCAGAGAGGAAACAAAAAAATGGAAAAACATTCCATGCTCATGGAAAGGAAGAATCGATATCATGAAAATGGCCATACTGCCCAGAGTAATTTATAGATTCAATGCTATCCCCATCAAGCTACCATTGACTTTCTTCACAGAATGAGAAAAATCTACTTGAAATTTCATATGGAACCAAAAAAGAGCCTGTGTAGCCAAGACAATCCTAAGCAAAAAGAACAAAGCTGGAGGCATCAAGCTACCTGACTTCAAACTATACTACAAGGCTACAGTAACCAAAACAGCATGGTACTGGTACCAAAACAGATATATAGACCAATGGAACAGAACAGAAGCCTCATAAATGATGCCACACATCTACAAGCATCAGATCTTTGACAAACCTGACAAAAACAAGCACTGGGGAAAGGATTCCCTATTTAATAAATGGTGTTGGGAAAACTGGCTACCCATATGCAGAAAACTGAAACTAGACTCCTTCCTTACACGTTATACAAAAATTAACTCAAGATGGATTAAAGACTTAAATGTAAGACGTAAAACCATAAAAACCCTAGAAGAAAACCTAGGCAATACCACTCAAGACATAGGCATGGGCAAAGACTTCACGGCTAAAACACCAAAAGCAATGGCAACAGAAGCCAAAATAGACAAATGGGATCTAATTAAACTAAAGAACTTCTTCACAACAAAAGAAACTATCATCAGAGTAAACAGGCAACATACAGGATGGGAGAAAAAATTTGCAATCTATCCATCTGACAAAGGGCTAATATCCAGAATCTATAAAGAACTTAAACAAATTTACAAGAAAAAATCAAACAACCCCACCAAAAAGTGGGTGAAGGATATGAACAGACACTTCTTAAAAGAAGACATTTATACAGCCAAAAAACATATGAAAAAAAGCTCATCATCAATGGTCATTAGAGAAATGCAAATCAAAACCACAATGAGATACTATCTCACACCAGTTAGAATGGCGGTCATTAAAAAGTCAGGAAACAACAGATGCTGGAGAGGATGTGGAGAAATTGGAACACTTTTACACTGTTAGTGGGAGTGTAAATTAGTTCAACCATTGTGGAAGACAATCCCATCAAAAAGTGGACTAATGACATGAATAGACAATTCTCAAAAGAAAATATACAAATAGGCAACAAACATATGAAAAATGCTCAACATTACTAATTATCAGGGAAATGCAAATTAAAGCCACAATGTGATACCACCTCACTCCTGCAAAACGGCCATAATCAAAAAAATCGAAAAACAATAGATGTCGGAGTGGATGTGGTGAAATGGGAACACTTTTACACTGTTGGTGAAAATGTAAACTAGTACAACCACTATGGAAAACAGTGTGGAAATTCCTTAAAGAACTAAAAGTAGATCTACCATTTGATCCAGCAATCCCACTCCTGGGTATCTACCCAGAGGAATGGAAGTCATTATATGAAAAAGATACCTACACACACATGTATATAGCAGCACAATTAGCAATTGCAAAAATATGGAACCAGCCGAAATGCCAATCAATCAATGAGTGAATAAAGAAAATGTGGTAGGCTGGGCGCGGTGGCTCACGCCTGTAATCCCAGCACTTTGGGAGGCCGAGGTGGGTGGATCACGAGGTCAGGAGTTCAAGACCAGCCTGGCCAAGATGGTGAAACCCCATCTCTACTAAAAATACAAAAAATTAGCTGGGCACTATGGCAGGCGCCTGTAGTCCCAGCTACTCAGGAGGCTGAAGAAGGAGAATCATTTGAACCTGGAGGGTGGAGGTTGCAGTGAGCCGAGTTCGTGCCACTGTACTCCAGCCTGGGTGACAGAGTGAAACTCCATCTCAAAAAAAAAAAAAGAAAATGTGGTAGATATAGATATAGATATAGATATAGATATATAGGGATGTGTGTGTGTGTGTGTGTGTGTGTGTGTGTGTGTGTCATGGAATACTATTCAGCCATGAAAAGGAATGAAATAATGGCATTCGCAGAGAACTGAATGGAACTGGAGACCATTATTCTAAGTGAAGTAACTCAGGAATGTAAAACCAAACATTGTATGTTCTCACTTAGAAGTGGGAGCTAAGCTATGAGGATGCAATGGCATAAGAATAATACAATGGACTTTGGGGACTCAGGGGAAAGAGTGGGAAGGGTGAGGGATAAAAGACTACACAATGGATACAGTGTACACTGCTCAGGTGATGGGTACACCAAAATCTCAGAAATCACCACTAAAGAACTTACTCATGTAACCAAACACCACCTGTTCTCCAAAAACCTATTGAAATAAAACAATAAAAATAAAATAAAATAAAAAAGAATAATAAGGCAAGAATAAGATAAGCGTGCCCCCAAAGTCCTTTAGTCATCCATTTGTGACAACATCACACAGAGGCAGCATTTCAGCGTGGCTAGGAAAAAAGCCACTCTGGATGCAATTGCCCTCTACAACTAATAAAACGTGATTATAGATGTGCTATTAGGCATGTCACTGTACATTTAGAAAGCTGCTATCCCTACTTCTGCCTCTTCCCAGAGTTCTGCAATCACAAATTCCACTCTGAACCAGCAGAGAGGTAAAATGGAAAATAAGGAGTGAGGTTGGAGGAAAACAGTCCCAGGCATGATGATCTATCTATGTTGGCAAGAAGGAGAGACACGGTGATGAAATCAGTATTAGCAGGAGAAAAGGGTGAGTCCTAGTGGTCATCTCACACTAAACAAGGGCTGCCTTCCCACATGGTCACTCACACATTGCAGTCATTCCCTAGCCCATGTTGATTACATACATACATATGCACACCTATGATATACTACATATATATGCACACCTATGATATACATACATACATAGAAGGCAAATTAGAATTGCTCTGCAGAAATTCCAACACATGGGTATCTGTCTCTCAAGTCTGGGCTCGAAGAATGGTCCCTGGGAACCTCCCACCTGCTGTCACCCCTTCACCATGTGGCTCCTGGCTTCCAAGTCACAACATGGAAGTTCAACCCTTATCAATGGCTGAAAGGCATTGGTGCTGGGACTAGCTGCCCATCCTAATGCGCAAAAGAGCCAAGCATTTTTCTTTCCCATTAAGCTGCTAGAATCCTTAAAGAGGCTCACCCCTACATCCTTCCTTGTGTATCTAGAAACATCTGAATTGGCTGAAGGTATTCCTCTTAGGCCCATGAGAATCTCTAGGCCCCTCACTGAGCCCCTCTCCAAAATGCAAGGAACAGACATATGGCAGGCATGGAATGCCCATATTTCAGCTCCCATGGTGAAGACGGACCTTGCTTATGCCCTCTGGCACTCTCCTTCTTTTCCCTTTCCTCCACACACTCTCTTTCATTATCAAATGACTGAACATAGTAAGGGAAAGAAGAAGAGGTCTTTAGCATCTCCAAAAAACAGTGAAAAGGAACATATTAATTCCATGCATGCCTTCCTCCCAACTCAAGTGCCTTGCCTCACTCATCCTATAGTAACTCTTCAGACAGATTCCAGTGGAAACTAAACATATTGCACTGATCAATTGATGCACACAACAGGTAATTTCTTTACAATTTCTTTGTAATTGTTGTCAGATGTATTCAAGAAGGTAATTTTAACTATTTCAAATTATTGCCTCATTGGCTCTAAATATAGGCAATCGTTTCTTAAAAACAGCCTTAAAAACACATAATCTATTTTTAGGATGTCTAATATGACAAAATAAATAAATAAAAACAGAAACTATGATAGTGAAAACTGCCATTGTATTTGAAAACCATTTGAAAGCGGATTATGAGTTTTCTACTAGGCATATGAGTAATTTGAGTTTCTGGATAATTTCATTATTAACAATAACATTTTCTGAGCATCTCTTTGTAAAGTACTATGCTCTCTGCTCTCTATTTCATATCTACCTCAGTAATAGGACTATTGCAGCTCAATCCTAATACAATTCTAACATTCACAGATATAGTGTTTGATCTCTAACATCTCTTAGCTCCTAAAAGCCAGTGCTTAAAACAGTTATATTAATCATTAGATCCGTACTCATATAGCTTAGATGAAGAAAGGCATGGCATTCAACATCCCTTCAGAGCTGCATAGGCTGTCTTGAAAGGGCATGTTATGATTATCACTTTGCCAATGGTGCATGCATCAGGGTTGACCTAAACCTCAGCTCTACCAAAACCAGCTGCCTGAGCATCCAGTCCCAAGAATGTAACTGCTTGCCTGGTGTGTTCCAAAGCCATTCCCCTCCCTCAGGACACTTAAGGGCAAAAAGTTGAGAGATTAAAAGATTTGAGAGTCCAGAGAGAATTCAGACATCCTGACTTCTGGCAACTCCCCTTCCCCTGTTTTCCTACAGTCCAGATGGCGCTTAATCAGTGATGAGTGCTAGAAAATCACTTAGCATTATTGAAACTTCTCTACCACATTGTTTTCTCAGAGCAACATATACATTATCTCTGTAGCATGTATTTGCATTAGGAATTTTCTGGATACAATTACCCTTTGCAACTAATAAAATAAGATGTAATTATAGATGGACTGTTAGCAGTGCCACTTTACATTTAGGTTGATATGTTTGTGGCTGTCTGGAATTCCAGCTCTGAGTGCTGTTGATTGCTTTCACCCACACATGTTATTTCTGGAGATGGTGCTGCTCAGGGTGAGAGCTATCTGGGGCAGCACAATCACCCTCCTTTGGGGGCCTCCCTATCTCCTCGGGCTTGCACTTTTGACCTTCTTCTGAATAGCCTACAATGCATAATTCAACCCAAAGAGGGGCCTCAGTTGCTGCCTTGAATCCAAGATCTAGTGGTCTGACTTTAAAGTCAGTTTAGTGTCAGCTGATTTAAATGAAGAACAGAGATTTATGTACAGAGACCTTAATTTAAAATTTCAGAAAAAACCCACCAGACTTGGACAAAGAGCTCTACATAACTTCTCTGCATTTTCTACAGTGAGCATGTATTACTTAAAAAAAAAAAAAAACAGAAAAATCATTTAATACATGTTATATAAAGTCAGAAGGGAAACAGGACTTTTCTTTTCAGATCGTGAAGACTTACCATGGAGACCATGGATTCAGGGAGATTTTAAGGGAATTCACTTCTAAAAACTCAACTCCCTAAACTAGGTCTTACTGAAAACTGTGCCTGAAGACATGTCCACTTACTGTTATACCTCAATATAAAAAAGTAAGAATAAATTGATGTAGAGTGTTCAGAAAATAATAAATAAAAGCTTCACTTTGGGTTTCTCTTGACTCTAACATCTTAAAAGCAGCAGGAGGTATCCTCAGCAACCATTATATGCATGTCTGCGGAGGAGGTGTCCAAGTCTTAAGAATATTCAAAGATGACTATATGAAATCCTCTAGCAATGAGAAAAATATCACTTTAGACACAAGCCAAGCAATGTGATCTGACAGCTGTCCATCAAATGAACGAGGGAGACCTAAGAGCTCAGTGCACACAGGTGAGGAGGAGGCCAGAAAATCTGCCTTGAAGCACGATCCTCTCAATGGCTAATGCCTGGAAATAACTGAGACATCTGAGGGAATCTAACCAGGGGAGGGAAAGATTTCACAGAGCAGCAGGTAGGGGGACTGCCCAGTCTGAAGACTCGGGGACAGATCAGCTGGCCAGGCAGTTAGCACAGTGTCCAGCAAGAACTGTGTGAAAGAATCACTTTAATAAAGAAGCCAGAAGATGTGGGGCTGTGAGCCATGTGGCCGTGAAGTGCCTGGGGGCCAGGTTGTTGGAGGTGTGGAGTCCAGAGACTGAGTCCTGCAGCAGGGAAGCTCTGGAAAAGTTGCAAATAGGGACATGGCATTGGAGAACAGTTTAATGTTTAGGAATATCAGCCTTGACCCCAGAGAGCCCGTGACAAAGATTCCAGCTCTGCTACTCTGCTCCCCTTGCCATGAGACCTAAGGCAAGTCCAGCTCAGGGGCCTCAGTTTCCTCCCCTCTAAACTGGGGTTCTAATAGTAGTTATCTCACCGAGTGTCATGAAAATTAAACAAAATAATTCAAGTAAAGCACTTATTACAGTGCATGGCACAGTATAAGAAGCCAGCTGTCAAAATTATAATTATTTGTTCCCCATTTTTTAAAGCAGAGGAAAATGTCAAATAGAAGCAAATGGTTTGTCTCAATCCCAGTTCAGGGGCAGAATTATAAAATGAAGATAGCTGAGGCTCAGAGGATTGGCTGAGCAGGGGTAGTAGCAAAACATAATGTCAAGTGTTTTCTATGCTTTTCTTTCCCAGCATGCCACATGAGTCAGTCAGCACTCTGCACCCTCACAGATGAGAACAAGTCTAAGAAGGGAGGTCATAGACAAAGGAGACTCTGAGGACTCTACGTGGCTATCAACACCCAGAAGTAGATAAGACAGCTCATGTTGTGTTCAATGTGAATACCTATCATGGCCAATTATGAATGCATTCAGTTATCTTTTCACGCATTTATTCATTCAGTAAGCATGTACTCAGCATCTACCACATGGAAAACACTACCCCACATGTGTGAGGTACCCAGGATACAAAGATTTTTAGAAGTACATGCATATAACTCCTGCTCTCAAGGAGAATAGGGGGTGAGTCTGTCTAACAGGGGGTGAGTCAAGATAGGCATTAACAAATTGACCCTGAGATCTCAGAATTTTAATATACCAAGGATATGTTTCTCACGCATGCTTGCACAGTGGGAGAGGGCTAAGGTGAGGGGAGGGAGGATCTGCTCCACACGGTGACTCAGGGACCAACACTGACAGATGCTTCACATATCAACACTTTCCAAATCACTACAGCAGTGGAAGAAGGAGCTGGAGGGCTTCACATGGATCCTTAAATGCTTGAGTCTGAAAATGACAAGCATTGCTTCTGCTCTGCCCATTGGCCAGTTATCTCATAGCCCTGCCTAGCTACAAAAGGCTAGGAAATGTGAGGGAACATGGAGATTCTCTGAACCATAATCATCTCTGACATAAATGGGAAAGCAGAAAAGCAACAGCAGTTAAATAAAACTTAAACATTGTCTGCTGCCTCAGGCGGCACAAGGAATAGGCAATGCCCTGAAGAACTACAGAAAAAAAGGAATAGAGGTCGTAGAAAAGAGTAGAAGCCTCCTCAGGCCAACAGAGATCAGAACCAGTCTCGTTTCCCTTGAGCAAAACATCATAAAAGATGCTCTACTCAGTCAACCTTAGATCAACACTGAGCAGGCAAGTGTTCTCTTTACCACCAAATTGAAATCCTTACTCCAGAACATCGTGGCACTTCTCATCCAAGACCTTCACGTTACCTCTTCCTGCTTATTGTGTAAAATTATGTACATTCTCCAAAAGCCCTAGGAAACTAATCCCATTTCTAAGTCAAATAATGCTCTTAACTTGCTATGTGAACAATCCCCAAGCTTTAGAGACAGTTAATACCCACCCTGCCCTGCCTACCTCTCAGAAGAAAGTATGGCTAAAGTGAGTCCACTAATGTAGAAAATATAAAATCTTATGAAAACATGTACTACAGTTGTTGATGACAAAATGTTTTGGTTTGTTTACATAAGCTGCAAGTAAGAAAATAATGAAATCTTACTCAGCCAGGAAATGTTATTTCCACAGAGACACATCCATCTTGTCTGGGGGTGGGGGGTTTAAAATATGCATGACATAAAATTTATCATTTTAACCATTTCTGCGTGTGCAGTTCAGTGTCTTTAAGTTCCTACATTCACATTGTTGTGCAACTACCACCCCTGTCCATCTCCAGAACTTTTCATCATCCCAAACTGAAGTTCTGGATTTGTTCATCAATAACTCCCCATTACCGCCTCCTCCAGCCCCTGGTAACCACTATTCTACTTTCTACCTCTATTACTCTGACTATTCCCACCTTCACTCTCTTTATCAAGAAATATTTATTGAGCATGCACTGTGCCAGGCCCTGGAGATACACCTGTGGACCCAATAGACATGACCTTGCCCTCACAGAACTTACATACATGGCCTTTGCAGCTAGGAACGTGGACAAAAGCTTCAAGGAGACTGTTGCAGCATTGCACAGGGACCAATCTGTGGCAACAGCCATATATTTTTGATCTTTTCATTTTTCAGGGAAAAGAGAGTGCTAGTGACTCTCTCCTGCCTCTAAGATTGAGTAGTTTATAGGACCAGCATTAGGATGATACTTGCCTGACATGTAAACCCAAGCTCCTTCCCCCATTCAGTTCTGTGTCTCCAGGAAAGTAGGTGAATCTTAGCAGGTGATTTCTACATCTATAAAAGGGGATCGGGGTATTTGTGCAGGCCCATGGAACGCATAATTCCAGGTAAGTTCATCTTCATCCTGCCCATGTCCCCAGTTCATGCCATCCACTACTTCACCCACCTGTAGCCTAGCTTTGGAATAACTGACCACAGAGCTATTCCATACTCTCCTCCGACCTTTTCTGATCATCTCCTTTCTGCCCCATAGACAGATAACTTTGTCATAAATTGACATGGGAGATCAAGTGTCCCAAGGGATCACAGTTCAAAATAAGATAGCACACCTCCAGTCTACCAAATCCCATTGAGGAATATATTTCCCAGAGCTGTCTCCTAGCAGCCACTGAGGGGCTCTCATGAATTGGGCAGGGTTCTTATGTCCCAGTCCCAATAGCACTAGCAGTCACTGGACTTCTTGATTTTTGTTAGACATCCTTTGAAAACATTCAAGTCATTTTTCAATGAAAGGAAACCAATATGTTCAATCCTGCTAATGTTTAGTGCCCTGCAGAAATAAGGTATTGAATAGTATTCTTCTGAGTCTGAAATGTCCCAGATTGGTTCCTCAAATACAGTCCCTACACTAAGAGATTCTGGATGTTGAGCTAGTGGTATTCATTAGGTTGTTTTGTTTTGTTTTGTTAACCATAAATCTGACCACAAGTAAATGTTTTCTAACAAGCACAAGCCATATAAAAAAGACCTTCCTATTAGGTTGTCCAACGCTTAAACAGATGCCCTCCCATGGCTGGACTAGCAACAAGTCCACAGAGGCCTCCTGGTGGATTCATTTCCACTGGGAAGTATGCACACTTTTGCTGCACTTACACGATGCAAAGACCAAGTTTTAAAGGCCAAAAAAAGGACAATAATACTCAATCGCAGAGAAACCTTAAACCATGTATCATTAACCTTTCTCCATAATTTGAGTTACACACCACCATTTTTTTATAGGTCATTCTTTAAAAGGGGTTAGCAATGTTTTTCCCCTTTGAGTCGTGGGAGCTGAAGGAGTATATACTTTATTCTTTTATGTTCTACCTTGTAGATGTTTTAAAAATGTTCTACACTGACCATGTATCATATTGATAAACAGAAAAAATAAAATGATTATGATTTCTTTCATGAGAATAAGGCATATAGAAAAGAAAAAGATTTTATTCAAAAATTTAAAGTGAGCAAGTAAGTTTGTTAATTCACTCTCTTTTTATTTTTCTCATCTGATAGAGAATGCATGCAATAACCAATAAAATTCTTTTTTATGAACTATGAAAATACACGGAATGCTTAGATGCAAAACAAAATCATCATAAGCACTTCTAGAAGAGCTGACATCAATTTCTCTCCTCTGGCAGATTTTAGCTAAAACTTCATTAATTATTAGCAAAAATAATTTTTTAAAATGAAAAAAATGTCAAACCAAATGCAACTTTAATAATTTAGAATTTAAGGACAAATGCTTCTTATCTTTTAAGAAGCTCTTATAAGATCATCTTATCTCTTACAGTACAAATATTGTTACAGTTGAACACGAAGATGACAATAAACAATGCGAACCCCCTGCCTCAGCACAGCTTTTTGACCTCTTGAATCACCACTAATTTGTACACAGAAACCTCCAAAGAAGAAAGCGAAATCCAGTTGGAGGAGCACCCACTGGCCCTTCTTCCCTCCCACTGCTGTGTGCTGCGCTTCTTCGTTAACTCAGCTTCCGCCATACCCTCAATCTTCACCTAGGGACCACAGCTGCTCTCTGTCCTTGACCTCCCTGCCTTAGGAGAATCCTGCGAGTCGTTGAGGACTTGCTCCCACTCCCAAGTGGAGGCCTCATATTCTTCCACAGCCTTCAAGGGTGCAGCTATCTTTCTTATTCCCTAATACTTCTTCCAGATCATTCCTCTTCCTACTTTCTGGGAAAACCCTACTCTTCTTCATCCCCCTCATCTTTATCTGCCATATGTCCCAGTCACTCCTCGCTTTCATTTAACATGATAGAACCCACTTACTGTCTTCATCCCAACCTGCAAATGCTCCCACACTGTGGGAATCTCAAAACTCCATCCTAGCCTCTCGGTTCCTTCACATGACTGCACCTTAGGGGTTCAGAGGTAATGAAAGATTTTACTAGACAGTTTATCAAGTCTGATCATCTTGAGTAGTTAGTCATACTGATGTAGAGTAAATATCTTATCTATGATCACTCCATCTCTGAAATATTCCATTCAAACTTCCTGATGTCTTCTCACAATCTCCTGCCCTAGGTCTCTCACTGAATTACTCCTGACACACCTATCAATCAGCCCCATCTGTCATATTATACATCCAGCTTGGACTCTGTCATCTGACCACTCTCCTTGCAATATCATCAACTCATTTGCCCACCTGGCCTTCCATCACCTCTGGCCTGGAAAAGCCCAGCTCTGTGTACAAAAAACTCTCTACCTTCTGCATGCCACATCTGTGCTGCTTAGCACTGCTAGGGACTGAACTCATAAGTTAATACAATAGCAATAAAAATGACAACAACAACAATAAGAAGAAGAAGAATATTTATTAAGTGCTTACTACCTACCAGACACTGTACTAAATGCTTTACATGTGTTATCTAAGCTCACAACTACCCCATGAACAACTCAGTGTACTCATTATCCCCATTCTTGGAAGAAACTGATGATCAGAGACATTATATCCTTGCCCACATTAACACACATGGTGTCAGAATAGGGCCTCACAGGGACTGAGCCCAGGCATGTCTTACCTCAGAGCCCGTGCTCACCAGCACAGCGTGGACCACTGTTGTCAGTCTCTAGCACCCTACAGTGCTGTTCCTCTCATAACACAGCAGCTATTCTACATCCTCATTATCCTCGGGCCTCCTTCTTCTAACCCCCACCTCCCAGCTGAAGCTGAGGCCCTCAACTTCTGCTTCACAGAAAAAGTAAGAGCCATACAAAAAGAGAATACCTGCCTTCACTTCCCATCACCAACCCAATTAAATTAGCACCCCATCCTTTCATCCCTCCCTCTTCCTTCCATGCCACCCACTTCTCAGGGACCTTGCCTACTGATTGACCATTCTCCTCTCCTTCTTGTACTGTCTTAACTTCTCACTCCCATTAGCAAGTAAGCAGGCTCATTCTCACCTCCAGTCCTCTACTACACAGAGGAATAATGTTATTCTTCTCTTCATTTGCTGGGATTCACATTCTGCCACTTCCACCAAGAAGTCTCTCATCCTCAACTCCCAAGGGAGGTCATAACACCCATCCTCTAAGCTCACTCCTACTGTGATCTGAGCTTCCTTCTCTCATCCTTGTCTATTCCTCGACTGACCTTCCAGGCTCCCCAGTAGATGGCGAGTTCTGTGAGGGCAGGGACCTTGTTCAATGAAATAGTCTCAACCCTGGCATAGTGCTTGGCACAAAGTAGGTACCCAAAAATATATATTGAATGAATTAATGAATAGACTAATGGATGCAAGGAGAGGCAAGGTGACAGAGAACTTTAAACATGCAGAACATTTAGACTATGAAATAAGAAAAAGGGAGTCATTAATATTTTTGACCAAAAAGGATGAAACAATAAAAGCTAAGCTTGGTTTTGTTTTATAAGATTAGTCTTGTTGTGTCTTTGGAATAAAATGAAGTACAGAGACTAGACTTCTGAGGCCAACCAAAGCAATATTACAAGCACAAAGTAACAAATGCCTAATCTAGGGTTACAGTAATAAAAATGAAATTATATTTCAAAACAAAAATCAGTAAGACTTCCTGATGCATCCATTGTGCGGGCTGAATGCAACTGGACAAATCAAGGTGACTCCATCTACTTCAGGATTCTGCAGTCCACCAGTAGTAGAATATAAAGTTTAAGGCGACATGTGTGCTATAATATGTTTTTGGTTACTTGTCTAAAAGTTATTTAGCCTGTCATATTCATTTAGTATATCCTATGAACTGAGCATGATTCTTAGGATACAGCTAGTGCTGACTGAACCGATGGATGAATTTAAATTCCTCTTTTATTGCCTCAGGTCACTTTTTGGAAGGTAGGGAATATATAAATCTAATATGTAGATATGCATATAGATACAGATATATGTATGGATTCCAAATGTGAATCCCAGGCAGTGAAGAGAAAATATATATATATTTTATATGTATATATATATATATGTTTTCAATATATAATTGTACATTTATTTGTATATATGAGGTGTGTACATGTATGCATATATTATTATACACACATCCCTGTTTCCTCTAATGTCTTTTTTTCAATACACGAAAGCTATAACAACCACACAGAATTAAATCTTTTCCTTGGATTTCTCTAGTCAAATGTTAATCTCCTATTAACAATCCTTGCTCCCAGTCTTTTTATCTGAATTACCAATAACATGCATTTTTTCTTCCTAAAGATATTATTATCATCTGCATATATTTCATTGAAAAAGATATGCAAATGGCAAAAACACATGAAAAGGTACATCATTAGTAATCAGGGAACTGCAATTCAAAACCACGATGAGATACCACTTCACATCCACTAGAACGACTATAATCAAAAAGAAAGATAATAACAAGCATTGACAAGGATGTGGAAAAATTGAAACCTTCTTACACTGCTAGTGGGAATGTAAAATGGTACAGTCACTTTGGAAAACCGGCTGGTAGTTAAACATAAAGTTACCATGTGACCCAGCAATTCTGCTTCTACATATTTACCCAAAAGCAATAAAACACACATCCACAAAAGAAAAAACCTTACATAAACCTGGCCATTAGAGCAAGACCCCATCTCTACAAAATAAAATAAAAAATTATCCAGGTGTGGTGGCACACACCTATAGTCCCAGCTACTTGAGAGGATGACATGTAGCTCCTGCTGACGTGGAAGGATTGCTTGAGCCCAAGAGGTTGAGGCTGCAGTAAGCCATGATTGCACCACTGCACTCCAGCCTGGGCAACAGAGCAAGACCCTGTCTCAAAAAAAAAAGAAAAACTTATAAACAAATGTTCATAGCAGCATTATATGTAATAGTGAAAAAGTATAAATAGCTTAAATGTTCATCAACTGATAAATAGATAAACAAAATGTGGTATATCTATACAATGAAATACTAAGTGGCCTTGAAAAAGAATGAAGTACTAATACATGCTACAACATGGATGAACCTTGAAAGCATTATGCTGAGTGGGGAAAAAAAGCCAGTCACAAAAGACTATATATTGTATTATTTCTTTTCTATGAACTATCTAAAATAGTCAAATCTATAAAAACAGAAAGTAGATTAGTGGTTGGAGGAGGGGGTATTGAGGAGTGGTGATGGAAGGATGCAGGGTTTCTGTGGAAAGTAATAAAAATGTTCTAAAATTGATTGTGGTAACGATTATACAACTTCTTGAATATACTAAAAACCATTGACGTATACACTGTGAATGAGTGAATCATTTGGTATGTGATTTATATCTCAATAAAGGTGTTACAAAATATATTGTCATGGAAGTAGTACACTTGTATAGATAAACTTATTTATTTAGAGAAAAGGAGCAAAAATAAATGGGGGTGCCATTTTCAGTGGTGAGAGGTTGGGCATATTTACACCAAATGACTGCTTTTCAAGAAATAAATCAGGAACGTGACATAGACAGCACTAGTCAAGGGCAGTCTGAATACTGCCAATAACGTTACCTTTTGCCTTTACTTAGGATAAATTCTTGTGCTAAAGAATCTGAATTAGGCCGGGCACAGTGGCTCTCGCCTGCAATCCCAGCACTTTGGGAGGCCGAGGCGGGCAGATCACGAGGTCAGGAGGCCAACACCATCCTGGCTAACACGGTGAAACCCCGTCTCTACTAAAAATACAAAACATTAGCCAGCCGTGGTGGCGGTCGCCTGTAGTCCCAGCTACTCGGGACGCTGAGGCAGGAGAATGGCATGAACCCAGGAGGCAGAGCTTGCAGTGAGCCAAGATCGCGCCACTGCACTCTGGCCTGGGCGACAGAACAAGACTCCGTCTCAAAAAAAAAAAAAGAAAGAAAGAAAAGAATCTGAATTAAATAGCAATATCATTGTCTATCATTTCACTAAATTTTGGCTAACCTACTCTGTCCAAATGGAAATGAGAATGTCAAGGCAAGAAAAATGTGGCTGGTCTAATTTAGAAAATACTGAGATAAGGATTATTTCCTTGGGAGGAAAAGTAAACAAAAAAATACCCCAGTTCATTTTTCTCTAAGATCCCATTCAAACTCCATGTTCTCATCTGTAGAATACGGAGGAGGGTATTTAACTAGATACCCTTAAGCTTCTTTCTGCTTCCAAAATTCTATGACTATGGCACACAATTAAACCAAGGAATATGTATCAGAATTGTGGTGAAACCTATCAGGATTACAGGGAAAACTTCAAGATTTGCCAGGAGCTCAGATAGAAACTTCATCTGGGTTGGAAAACCTTGGAACATTGGAAAACCTCGTCTAAGAGCTCATGCTCTACACTGACTCTTTTACCTGAAATAGATAAGATGGGAAAAATTCAGTTCAGCATAATTGCTCGTCCTACCATCTGTAATAACAACTAATGATCAGGGTGTGTTTTAAGCCTGAATTGCTTCAGTCACTATGTGAAGAGAAACAATCACAAAAAGACTCTCTCTGAAATGGTCTGAACTGTTCAGGCCTAGGAATTGTGACTGGCCGATTTCTTTCAAATATTATTGTTTTCTAATGGAGTGGGACTCAGCAAGAAATTTTTCAGGCCAAAGTAATACATGCTTCTTACCCCTTGATAAATCCAGACAAGATGGGGCATTCAAAATAGGAAAAAGACTTTGGGACAACGATGGAATGTGAATTGGCTTCTTAGCTCTGCAACTGGAAAGCAAAATTCCAAGTACTGGAAACCCAAAGATGTGGCAGCCCACTGGGAAACATAGCTCTGAAACAGAAGAAGCTAGGAAAGAAACAATAATAAAAAAATTGATGAGTTACCCAGGAATTGGAAATATTGATCCATGAATAGAAATTCAGAAAATTTAAATTGGGGTGGAGGAAAAATGTATCTTATCATTCTTTAAAAAACAATTTTTTTGAAAGACCCAGGCTATCTGGGCAAGGTACTAAAATATGCTAATACATTTATAGCTTAGTGTCGGAGGGCCACTCTGTCATTCTTAATCCCCATGAGCTAGTCTCTGCCTTTATCCCCTAAGTAATGAACAAACCAGTCTTAGAAGATGAAATGGGTTGGGTTCACTCAGACTGGTTCAGATAGTTTTCCCTCTAGATTATAGCTGGCTTTTAGGAAGGAGGCACATACAAATTAGGCTTCCCATTTCAATCCATAAATCTAATTTTACTTCAATGTAAGTAGGCCTTGACATCAACTTTATGTGCTCTTCAACTCTATTCCAGCTAAACCTGTAAAGTCTTTCTGTATGGGGGCAACAAAGTACCCAGTTTCATGCTTAAAAAATTACTTTCAGTATAGAAAAAGAAGACTGAAAATACCACTACACAAATTGTACTGTTGTTGAACAAGGAAAGGAAATGTGAGGAGGGAGGGCAGGAGAAATCTAGTTGCCTGTCATTTTAACAAAATGTCAGGCCTTTTTCAAGATTTCTAAGCTGGTCTTTGCTAAGATTTGATTCATGGCGTAGGACTTGTAACTAGAATGAGGATGAACTTTTCTTTGTGATTTATAAGAGACTACTGTGACTCGTTCAAGAAATCTATGTTCAACGCAATACATTAACTAGAAGCCCACCAAAGTATGCAGACTCTTCAATCCAAGTTTCCAGAAACTTCTGCAACTGGGAAAATCAGTTTCGAAATTTTTTCAAATGGTAATGTGAATTCCTTGGAAGCAAAGTTAGTATACCGTCCTACACTCTCCTAATGAGGGCAATTATGTTATACCTGCTTGATTTAAATTATATGTAGTGAGTAGAATTTATGGCAAAGGTACTGCAAAGGAATTCCAACATTCAATGAATTTACAGAAGAGGAAAGAAAGAAAATCATTTTGTGGTTCAAAAAATAATGAAAACCTCTCAGACCCAAAGTGAAATTGTATATTTCTGTTTACCAACATACCAGTAAAATGCATGCCCTGAAAAACACTAAGAGGAAGCCTGCTAAGGTCACGACAAAAACAGGACTCATTGATATCCATGGTGCCTTAAGGAAAAGGGAACCTCCGTGAGGTCCTACTAAGTGTCAGCTACCTTCCATATATCCTATGGCTCAATTCTCCCAACATTGAGACCTAAATGTTACTCTCTATGCACAGCTGAGGACACCAAAGCACAGCGAGGCCAAGCACTTTGTCCAAGATCAACATAGCTGGTCAACTGAGCCAGATTTTGAACATGAATCTATAAGCTACAGAGTCCAGGCCATTAAATCACTCTCCAAGAGGCATTCTGTGCTTTTCTAAGTTGAAAAGAGAATTTTCTCAGCAGTCTTCCTTCTTTATTTCCTATTTTTTTCTGAAAGGGGCTGCCTCACCTGAGGTAGAAATGAATTTAAATTCATTCCCATCCCCTAGACTAAAATAAACTCTGCAACATCCACAAACTGATATCAGAAATATAGCATAGGGAGAGAAGCAGATATGCCCACCACAAGACAAGTTTTCCTTTTGACTTAAGGTATTCAATGGTGCTCCTGAAAGGGAGAATGCATTGAATAGGAGCTCTTTAAGATTCATTTCTTTAAAAAAAAAATACAGCTTCATTAAAAATAATATCTAACCATGGTTTTTAAAGCTTTTGTTTTTTCCCAGAAGTTTTGTGTGTTTAATCTTGAGAACAACCCAAGAGGTAGAACAGGTACTCATCCAAGGTATTTGAGTTGTATGTAGCATTATATTAATTGCTACATACAATTACTTTTAAAGGCAAAAACCACAATTAACTTTTGCACCAAACTAATATTATTACATGGGCAAGTGAGGCTTCATGAGACAAATGTTAATAAATGCTTAATTCGCATATTAACTGCTTGGACACAAATAGTTTACACCAAATACTTGAAGTCGGTTATTTAACATACAAGAGACTCTTAACATTTCCAGTGTGGGATAGCCACTGAGCCAGTTGGCATTCCTTCCCTAAAAATCAACCCTTTTTATTTGTTTTCCATTCTTAAATCTTAACACTTTTTTTCTTTGAAGTTCCACTGAGTATAAAAAACAGTGCTGGCCGGGAGCGGTGGCTCATGCCTGTAATCTCAGCACTTTGGGAGGCAGAGGCAGGTGGATTGCCTGAGGTCAGGAGTTCAAGACCAGTCTGGCCAACATGGTGAAACCCCCGTCTCTACTAAAAATACAAAAAAATTAGCCAGGCCTAGTGGTGTGCACCTGTAATCCCAGCTACTCAGGAGGCTGAGGCAGGAGAATTGCTTGAACCAGGGAGGTGGAGGTTGCAGTAAGTCAAGATCGCACCACTGCACTCCAGCCTGGGCGACAGAGCAAGACTCCGTCTCAAAACAAAACAAACAAACAAACAACAGTGCTAGACATCACAGAGGCTAAAAAACAAAGAATCCCACAAGAACCAAAGTTGGAAAAAAGGAAAAAAACGCAGAGCCATTAAAAATAATCTACAAAAATTCACATAGTAGTAGACATTAATCCTTGGCTGCACAGAGGAGTCACTCAATGAGCCTTAAAAATATGAATCACTGGGTCATGGCCCCACATATTCTGATTTCACTGGTCTGGGGTGGAGCCTGAGCTTTGGTACTTTTTAGAAGCTCCCAGGTGATTCTATTGTGCAGCTGAGGTTGGAAGCACTGCTTACAAGAGCAATGGAGAGACACACAGTACATGGATGGCTGAGAGTGTCAGTGAACAACTGTCAGGACATTGTAGGGATCTCCTTCCTTCCTTCCTTCCTCTCACCTGAATTGGCCCCTTGAGTTAAGTAGCGTTTGGACTGGGTTATGAAGAATAGGCAGTTTTGAAGCGTTGGGGATGGAGAACAGAGAAAGTGAGTCAGAGGAGGAAGAAATGCCATAAACCAAAAAAAAAGATGTGAAAAAGAACAAGGAGCATTTCAGGGATTTTGAGTTTGAGTGGAGCAGAATCTTGTGGGACATTAAGGAGGAGAACAGGCTAGAAATGTGCGGCAGGGCCCAGAGGCAGAGAGTCTGAAGGCAGCTACGTTTGAAGCTGATTTCGGAAGTAATAAGAAACTACTGCTAATTTCTGAGCCAGGAAAGAAGGTGAACAAAATAACTGTCACTCTGTAACTGGAAATGCAGGGAAATTCTTCTAGAGAATGTGCTGCATGGATGGTAGAGGAGAGCCTGGAGAGAGGAAGGTCAGGGAGCAAGTGATAGAGATGAGGAAGGCCAAGGTCAGAGGCAGTGCACCAGGACCATGGCAGTGTGAGGGCAAAGGACACATCCAAGGCACACTGTGATGGAGGAAGTGACAGGACTTAACTGGATGATAGGAGACAAGGAGAGAAAGGGATCAAAGATGGCCCTAAGATTTAGCCCTTGGTGACATAATTAACAGAAATGGGAACTCAGGAGGAAGAAGCAGGCTTCAGAGGGCAGATGATGAATTCCATTTTACACACATTTTGCCTCAGCTGCTGTCATGTCATCAATTTGGAAATGTCCAGTGACAAGTCTGAAATTAGGAGTTTGGCACAGCAGGGTATTTCAAGGTAGAAGTAGAGACTTAGGTGTAATGTTGTCATAATAGTGGATCATTAGAGAAAGCCCTAAGTGAATTCTCTGAGGGACATAAGATAAGAAAGCACCTCTGGATATGGTTGAAGGGGCTTATGAAGGACACAGGGAACAGTCCAACACAGAAAGGGACAAGGACAGGCTGTATTATGGGACTCGATGAGAAAAAGATTCCAAGAGCATGGGATAATCTACAATAGCAAATGTTGCATACAATAATCACATATGAAGGCAAGAAAAAAAAAAAAAACTGTGTATGGCCAATCACAGGTCATTGGAGACCAAACACACAGAAGAATGAGTGCAGCATCCACAGCATGTGATGTCAGAGTAAGACCACAAGAAGTTGAAGGTGGGAGGTAAGAAGCGGAGACAAAAAGTGGAGTCATCTGGTTCAAAACGTTTACAAGAGGAGGAAAGAGGAAAATACTCAGGCAGCTGGAAAGAGTATTAGGATCACCTGAAATCAAGATAAAGTAGTGTCGTGAATGCATACGTGTAGGGATTGGAGTCAATAGAAGAGGCTTTATATGCCAGAGAGGAAGAGGGCACTGGGAAGAGTGAAGGAAATCATTGAGAAGGTAAATCAAAGGCAACCAAGGGGAGGAAGGTAGGATTGCCCCCAGACAAAAGGACAGATCCACTTTTTCCTGAAAACAGAAGGAGAGGAGGTAGGATTAATAAAAGGACAGCTTAGAAAAGATGAAAAAGAGAAGAATGAGGAAGCTAAAAGCCTGATGAGTTAGATTTTCTTAATGAAGCAGAAATCAAAGTTACCTTCAAAAGGTAGGGGAAATGACATGGTCCAGGGGAAGGGACAAAGCCTTCACAATAGGCAGGATGGGAGTACAAGCTAGAGACTTTTATTGACTCATTATTGCCTGGATAGATCACCTAAAGTAATCAAGGAACCTATATGGCATTAACCTCAAAATTATATCTCTATAAGTGCTACCACCCAGAAATAATCTGAGTGTACAAGCTGTCTTTGTGGCATGATTCCCCGCTAGAGGTCTTCAACCAGTAACTCTTTCACACCTTCAATTTAGGGTGTCAGAATTTCTTCAAAAGGATGCAAACTTCAGCCTAGCCCAGTTTAACCCACTCTTCCCAGTTGGGCTTCACTGCTATTGTGTTCACTTGCAAGTCTCCCGTGGCCCAAGCAGACAGATTCTCAACTCAACCTGTGTCCTTGAACAAGTCACATATCGTCCGCCTTCTCAACTGGAAAATGAAGGGTGATGACAATGCCGCACTGCCTCCAGGACAAAGGGCTTGTGAGGATTAAACAACAAATGGCTGAGCAATTTGCAGTTATGAAGCTATAGAAAAGCTTAGTGATCATCTCTGCCTGGCTGGGCACAGTGCAGTTCAGCAAACACAAAAGCCACATTCAGACCTTCCCAGGTGCCAAAGACCCGCAGAGAGCTGGCCAAATGAAGCAGAATCAGAAGACAAAAGAAAATCCCTCAACAAAACAAGGCAAGAGGAAAGAGAGTGCACAGAGGAAAGGGATTGGGAGGTTAGAGGGTCATGGAGTTTTCAGCCTCTGAAATTCTCCTGGACAAAGGAATCATTTCATGTTTCTCTTTGGGTTACAATATGTGAGTGCATTTATCGTAGACTGCACATTGACCCTGCAGCCATCTAGGAAATCTATCTGATGGATAGGGAGAGGTGTCTGATATGCACTGGCACCCCTTCTTTCCAATAAAACCAGCTGTTGCACCATTTCAAGGCTTCTACAAGGAATCTCACTTGTGGGTCACTGTCCTCCAGAAAAGAAGCAAGTAGAGCAACACTTCAAAGCATTTGAGGTACACTTCTTTCCCTTTTTTTTCTCAACCAGAGACTTATTCGATATTAACTTCTTCATGAACATTACAGTTTTTAGTCTTAGATTATAGACTGGGCAAAACTATTTTAAAGCCCACTAAATGTTGAAAGTTGCCACACTTGTCCTCCTTATCAACATCCTACAGTGCTCTCTAATGAGTATCACAGAGGATTTCTAAAGAAATACCCTCCTTGGGGATAGGTGAGTCACACTTGAGTTTGTAGTGTAACCCAGGGGTTCCCAAGGTCCCACGCAGCTTGAGAATCGTAGAAGAGCACTGTGACACTGTATGGCTAGGTGGGCTGAATGAATGGTCCTCATCTACTAAATAGGAATTACCTTCAAGCTCCCAGCCCCAAGGTGTCTGAGAGGCTCCACGAGAGCAGACACGGTGGTGATGGTACTATTTTCAGAGTGGAGCCGTCATCTCTGCTCTCTAACTGCTTTCTCCATCACACAGTTCTGGGGTCCCTGGGTTCCAGTGCCACTGCTGTGGGATTACTGAGGCCACTACATCCTGTGCTCACCTGCTCTTGGCTACAAGGAACCCCAGGCCTCAGCCCTCTCTGCACTGCCAGCCTCAGGCATTGGCCTCCATCTTGTGGTGGCCACTATTGCCGCTCTCCTGCTAACATCTCAGGGCAGCAGCTTCTTTCTTAATGTCCTTCTTGTTCAGAAGAGTCAAGGGCACTCACAACAACGGGGTTGGGGGCTCTTGTGGCATTATTATTTTGCATCTTCCTCATACACAATCCTCTTACACAGAACACATGGTTGTGGGCAGGAGGGCATGGTTGTCCATCTTAGATCCCGTGTGCCATCCTGACATTGGGTCGCAGGCTTGGTCTTCCCCATCCTTTCCAACTCCTTGTTCACTGAGGGTAACTTTCTCCCAGGGACCCTGTTCCTAATCTCCCTTGAACCAGGTTCCCTTGGGGTAAGCATCTGTTACAGCGATAGTCAGATGCATCAGGATAGGTGTGAACATCAGCTTTGGATGAGATTTAAACTCTTTTTTAAGGGGCTTCTGGACCTCAGGCCTGAAGTTTGCCCTCTTAGGCATGTTAAAAGAAAACCTTTAGACAAATTAAATTTGGAGGGTTTGGTTTTGTTTTGTTTTGAGACACAGTTTCACTCTGTTGCCCAGGCTGGAGTGCCAGTGCTGCGATCTTGGCTCACTGCAACCTCTGCCTCCCAGGTTCAAGCAATTCTCATGCCTCAGCCCCAACCCAAGCAGCTGGGATTACAGGCATGAACCACCATGCCCTGCCAATTTTTGTATTTTTAGTAGAGACGGGATTTCACCATGTTGTTCAGGCTGGTCTGGAACTCCTGACCTCAAGTTGACCCACCTGCCTTGGCCTCCCCAGGTGCTGGGATTACAGGTGTGAGCCACCGTGCCTAGCTAATTTGGAGTTTAGTTGAGCAAAGAACAACTTGTGAATCAGACAGCCCCTGAACCAGAAGAGGTTCAGAGAGACTCCAGTGCTGCCATGTGGTTAAAAAAGATTTGTAAACAGAAAAACAAAAATGATGCACAAAAATGGAAGGGAGGTAGAGAAACAGCTGGATTGGTTTCAGTTCCATGTTTGCCTTATTTAAACATAGTTTGAACAGTTGGCCACCTTTGATTGGCAAAACCTCAGTGATTGAACCAAGAGTAGGTTATGGTCTATTTATACATCCAGTTAGGTTACGGTTCACTATGTACAGAGAAACCTTTAGGCTGAACTTAAAATATGTAAGGAGGCAGCTTTAGGCTAGACTTAATTTAATAGTCCATAACAATGACTCCAACCTGGGTTCACTCCTCAATGTCTAGCTGACCTGTGGAAAATTCACATCCTTGCCATTCTTCCCAGTGGGAATACAGGCCCTGCAGCTGCCACCCCTTTGCCAGAGCCAGGCAGCTTCCAGAAAATCTCTATGAGCTCCACTCCAGTACCTGGAGTGAGCTGACAAACTTCTGTGGCTCAGCAAACAGCCAGGTGGGAAAGGAAATGAGATTCTCTCTCTCTTTTAAGAATATGCCAAATCTCTATGAGCAGTTCTCTTGAAGTGCTACCGCCCACCTCCCTGGCCATGTATACGTGCATGCACACACACACGTGCGCACACACACACACACACATGCACTTGCACACATACACGCACACACACAGCCACTATCTCCTGGGCTGACACAACCCTTTTACCTTTAACTGTTTACCTTGATGGCTTTCTCCAACCCATCTTTCAAAGGTCTAACCTTATTTTGGATGGCTTGAAGGTGAGAGACCGGGTTGATCGTTTTGTGACTGGCTCTGCTATCCTCTTATAAATCCAGCAGGGAGGTCACTAATCCACCCGCCTCTGGAATGTAGGAGCTAGTTATTGCTTTGTACTCAGCTTTAGAGCATCAGCTGAAATTAGGACAACAGGATATCATCTGTTTTATATGTGTATTTAGGTTACTAAATACAAATTTTGGTGTGAGTCACAATTGTTTAAAAGCAATGTTTCCTAACCATTTTAATATGTATCAGCTAGTATTATATCTGCTTCATGATGAGATACATTCTAGAGTATACCCACAATTTAGTGCATAAAAGAGAAATTATAAAGATTTACCAGAGCTTCAAAAAAATCAGGAAGAAATCCAATAAGGCAGCACTTAACACTGATTATTCCCCTTATTTGAAATCCAGTGAGACACTTTTGTTTGCCATGCGTGTTTTAGGCAGTAATAGTTCTGATGGCTTTAAGAGATCTCTAGAAATTGAAAATCAGGAAATTAGTTTTTGAAAAATACTCTTTGTTCTCCCACCTTAAAGTAAAAAAGAATAACCCCACATAAGGTCTAGTTGTTGGATTGAATTACCCATTTTTAATGAAATCCTCAACATGAGTTTACCCCTCAAGTAAAAAAAAAATCCAGATAAATTAATATGCTTCCAAACTAAAGATAGTGTGCTATTTTACATCATCCAGAAATGGTCAGACAAGATAAATCTGGCTTGACATTTAATCCCTGCTGTCATATTTTTGGCTCTTTCAGTATCATTGACCAATATATTATATAAACTTCTACTCTGAACCTAGACAGAATAAATCAACTGTATCTTTCTGTTTGGGATCTTTTTTGCAGAGTTGGCAAGTTTTGACACACAGAGAATCAGAAGCAGAGGCATCCCTGATGATCCCGCTGTAACTATATCCCTGCAGCTTTCACTGCTAAAATGGAAGACATCCACCCACATGGCTCCTTGGGCAGCCTTTGCATTTGCCATGGTTTTCTGCATCCTACCTACCTCAGAAACTAGTTCTCTCAAGCTGTGGCATGCTCTCCAGCACTTCCTCAGGGAATAGCCTCCATATATTGCCTGCCCTTTACATTCTCCCCTTTCCTGGTGGCGCTCAAGTCATTGTCCAGAATGCATCACACTCAACCAAAAGGGGAAAATGTGCCTTTGGATCCTCCACCTCTCTCTCTCTGCCTTTTCCTTCTCATTGTTATCTCCAAGTCGTACCCCAGTGCTGCAGGTTTGCTCCCTCCTCCTACCAAAGGGCATTCTCAGGAAAGAATCAGAACAAGTCATTAACACATTAAGAGTGAAGTGTAAAAAACTGATTAGGTTTCACCTTTCCTTAATGCTTTTAACAATCATTAAGTCCCCTATGTGGTTTTAGCTGAAGCTCTGATTGTGGCAGACATTTCTCTGCAATATAGTCTCATTGTCATTTAACTATTTTATATGTTATAGTCTCATTTAACAATTTCCCAATCTCGAGATTTGACCCCATCACACCCCTCCGTCTCCACTCTGACACCCAGCCATTTCATTTCCAAATATCTAAAAAGATTCACCTTTTCTTCTCTGCCAGCTACTCTCCTTGCCCCCATTCCACCATTGTCTCTCAGTCCTAAAATGTTGCATCACCTTCTCCCAATAAACTATACACTACACTCACTCCTCTAAGCAAAACTGATAAACAAACTTTCTAGGAAAACTTTGTTCATAACCTCTTGAAGAAAAAAGAGAAACTATAAGTCCCCTAAGGTGCGTTTATAGCTCATTCCTCCATTACTGAAAAACAGCAAAGGAGAAAAGATAAAGTAGCCAGCAGTTTTTCGTAAATTGAAACCAAGTTTGCGTGTTTTTATACGAGCCTCTAGCATGTGATAAAATGAGTTATCTAAAGGGTTACTAGGCTTAATATATGAAGAGTTCATTTTAAAAATTGATAATTTCCATTAGAAAAAATGTTAAAGTTACATGAACAAACAATATAAAAAGAGGAAATGTAATTTGTTGCAAAAGGGAGGAAATCTCTCCCATGCATAAAGCTTCAGTAAAATAAAAATTCTTCAAGTACAAAATTAAATTAGAAAATAACAATAATAATGCTGTGGGAGAATAAATTGAAAAAGCCTTCTGGAGAGCAATTTGGTAGACGTTAAAATTTTTTAGACTCTTCATTAAGTAATTCTATGTCTAAGGAAAAATTCTAAGTCAAGAAAAATTTAAAATATGTTTTAAGAAGTTTGTAGCAGCAATGCTTATAAAAGCAAAACATTGGAGTCATCTAAAGATCCAATGATCAGGCGATGCTTTAGTAAAATATGATATATATACTTAATAGAATAGCAAAGCAGAAAAAAAAAAGGGAGTGAAGGACTCACAGCTTTGAGGAGAACTGACCAGAAGAGCTCCCCAAACAGGAGCATCAAACTGGACTTCGTGTGAGGCAGAAATACACCTTGATTGTATGAAGCCACTGAGATTTCAGGGTTTGTTTGTTAATGCATCATAATGTGACCGACTCTGACTAATAGACTAAAAACTTACTGAAAGTAAAGAAATCCACAGGAGATAAATTCATAAATACATTTTGAAAGAGAGAAGGCCCAGGGGGGCAATTGATGACAAACAGAGGAGAGACAGCTACAGTTCCAGTATGTGCAGGTTAAGTCTACAGTGGAGGTGGGAAACAGCCTTTGCAGAAGAAACCTACAAATACCATCAAGGAGGAGGACAGGTGTGAGGCACAGAACTGAAAACAAGGAATTAGTTGAATACCTGGCAATAGAAAAGTTGGACCAGTTACCCTGTTCACAGAGAGGTAGGTAAGCCAGTGTTTACCTTCCAGGAACAAAAACAAAATCTTCTCTAAGCAACGGAAAGAAAGGGAGCAGGATGGAGGGAGGGGAGACATGAGGAGGAATGATCCAGTAGGATTTCCTAAAAGGGAGAATAGAGAAAATGAAGAGTGAGAGATTATTAGGGAAATAATAATCAAATATTCTCAGACCTGGAGAAAGTGAGTCTTTTATTTGTATGGGCTCATGGAGTACGCTGCATATAAAGGGAACCACTTGGACACAGAATTGAAATTTCAAAACAGCAAAGAACAAAAAAAGATGAATTCAAAACCAATGGTGTATCCATACTACCTGAAATTATTAAGTGGCCACTGACATAATTGAAAACTGAAGCAGTTCAAAGTGACAACCTCTGAGAAGGACTGTTGTTGGACGGGATGGGTGAGGGGCTTGATTTTCATTAGAAATTCCTTTGTCTGCTTTGTGTTTCTTGCTTTTGTGCATTCCCTGGGTGGATCTTTATTTTAATGTGAAAACAAAAGAAGTAAAAATGCTGCCTACCATATCTCTAATTACACCCATAATTGTGAATTATGAATAAAAGGGAAAAAGTCACCCTACCTATATAGAACTATTATTATTATTAGAACTATTATATTATTATAATCTATTGTTATTATATAGAACTGTGATTATTATTTGCAGATGCAAATTACATCAGTTAGCTTTAAAATATGCATTTTCCCAAGTATCCATAATTGACCTAGCCTCTCGGACTCTCTCCCTAACCCACATTAGGTCATTGGCAGGAGGAAGGATAAAATGCACGTATGTTTGGTACAGGTACAACTGCATTCAGAAATGAAAGTTATTTAAATTTGTCATCATTTAATCACTATCTTATTTTCCTTCCATTAGCAACTATTAATTATGGGTTCAATTTAATACATTTATACTCTGCCACTTTTCAGGGAAAAAAAGAAATTGGAAATCACTTACAAAACAAATAAAAATTAATCAAAATAGGGTTTTAAAAGAAGGTAAAAATGGTGGGAAAAGAAAATCTAACAGGCCAATCATAGTAGTAGATGTGGTAATAGTGATAGAGCATAAAACCTGGCATCACATTTCCTGGAAACTGAGGCAATGGGAGCTCAGGAAGTGGCAACATTTCATCTCATAAATGACACAAACCATCTTCTTGGGAAAGACAAAGGTCTTTCTTGAATCAATTTTGAAAGAAATATAATGGGTGGGGCATTACAGATGGGGCATTGAAGAACATAAAGTCAGTGTTCTTCAACAAACACAGAGTTGGAAATATCCCTTTGACTATGTTATTTAGCATCCATAGCCACCCTTGACACCCATACTCACAAAACCCAACCCTTTTTCAATGCCCGTCTGATTACACTCAGTGAGTGGTTCCAAGACTTACCTGATCATAGCAATCAGCTGGTCAGCTTGTTAAAAATTCTATTTTCTTTATCCAGTCTATCATTGATAGGCATTTGGACTGGTTCCAAGTCTTTGCTATTGTGAACAGTGCTGCCATAAACATACATGTGCATGTGTCTTTATAGTAGAATGATTTATAATCCTTTGGGTATATACGTATATACACAGTAATGGGATTGCTGGGTCAAATGGTATTTCAGGTTCTAGATCTTTGAGGAATTGCCACATTGTCTTCCACAATAGTTGAACTAATTTACACTCCCACCAACAGTGTGAAAGCGTTCCTATTTCTCCACATCCTCTCCAGCATCTGTTTCCTGACTTTTTAATTATCGCCATTCTAACTGGCATGAGATGGTATCTCACTGTGGTTTTGATATGCATTTCTCTAATGACCAGTGATGATGAGCTTTTTTTCATATATTTGTTGGCCACATAAATGTCTTCTTTTGAGAAGTATCTATTCATATCCTTTTCCCACTTTTTGATGGGCAAATCAAAAAGTTTTTTCTTGTAAATTTGTTTAAGTTCTTTGTAGATTTTTGATATTAGCCCTTTGTCAGATGGATAGATTGCAAAAATCCCATTCTGTAGGTTGCCTGCTCACTCTGATGATAGTTTCTTTTGCTGTGAAGAAACTCTTTAGTTTAATTAGATCCCATTTGTCAATTTTGGCTTTTGTTGCAATTGCTTTTGGTGTTTTAGTCATGAAGTCTTTGCCCATGCCTATGTCCTGAATGGTGTTGCCTAGGTTTTCTTCTAGGGTTTTTATGGTTTTAGGTATTAAAGTCTTTAATCCATCTTGAGTTAATTTTTGTATAAGGTGTAAGGAAGGGATCCAGCTTCAGTTTTCTGCCTATGGGTAGCCAGCTTTCCCAACACCATTTGTTAAATAGGGAATCCTTTTTCCATTTCGTGTTTTTGTCAGGTTTGTCAAAGATCAGATGGTTGTAGATGTGTGGTGTTATTTATGAGGCCTCTGTTCTGTTCCATTGGTCTGTTTATCTGTTTTGGTACCAGTACCGTACTGTTCTGGTTACTGTAGCCTTGTAGTATAGTTTGAAGTCAGGTAGTGTGATGCCTCCAGCTTTGTTCTTTTTGCTTAGGATTGTCTTGGCTATACAGGCTCTTTTTTGGTTCATATGAATTTTAAAGTAGATTTTTTCTAATTATTTGAAGAAGGTCAATGGTAGCTTGATGGGGATAGTATTGAATCTGTAAATTACTTTAGAAAGTATGGCCATTTTCATGATATTGATTCTTCCCATCCAGAAGCATGGAATGTTTTTCCATTTGTTTGTGTCCTCTCTTATTTTCTTGAGCAGTGGTTTGTAATTCTCCTTTAAGAGGTCCTTCACATCCCTTGTAAGCTGTATTCCTAGGTATTTTATTCTCTTTGTAGCAATTGGAATATATGCAGCCATAAAAAAGGATGAGTTCATGTCCTTTGCAGGGTCATAGATGAAACTGGAAACCATCATTCTCAGCAAACTAACACAGGAACAGAAAACCAAACACTGCATGTTCTCACTCATAAGTGGGAGTTAAACAATGAGAACACAAGGACACAAGGAGGGGAACATTACACACCAGGGCCTGTTGGAGGGTGGGGGCTAGAGGAGGGATAGCATTAGGAGAAATACCTAATGTATATGATGGGTTGATGGGTGCAGCAAACCACCATGGCACGTGTATACCTATGTAACAAACCTGCACATTCTGCACATGTATCCCAGAACTTAAAGTAAAATTTTAAAAATAAAAATAAATAAAGAAAATCCCAGAATGTGGTAAAAAAAAAAAAAAAAACCTTTCTGTTTTTCAAGGCTGTGTCATCTACATTATTTCAGTGGCATTGCACATCAACCTTGTAGACAGAGAAAGTAAAAAAAAAAAAAAACAATCTATTTTCCAGGTCCTTCCCCTGGAGACTTTGATTTGCTAAGTCTGTAAGAATCTCCATTTTTAACACACTCCCCAGGTAAGCAGGCAAGTTTGGAAAGCAAGGTGATAGGTGATAGTCTACAGCTGCAAGTAAGCTTGCTCCTCTTGCTGCTCATACCCTAGCTGCTTAATCTCCCTCAGCTTGACTCCCTCAGCATCCTAATGCCTGGACTCTCTCCAATCATAATCTCCTCTGATATGCATTTGCAAGACAGCATTTGAGAAAGATAAGGAATGTAACATTTGTTGCTTGATGGTAATAACTCATAACTCCTCTTTCCCTTCCTCCATAACACCAATTTCATCAGCGTTACCATGAGAATTCACTAGAGGATCCACATGAGGTCTATCATGTGCACGATTTCATACAAACACATCTGTGCTGATGTACACATCTTTTTATCTTTACAGATGATATGTCAGCCGCTGCAGAACTTTTATAAAGTCTTAAGAGTTCATCTATTATTTCTAAAATAAGGTAGGAACAAATCTCCCTGGGAAAAGTGCTACATACATTGGGGCATACATTCGTTTTGCTAGACTCCCATGCTGAACTAATTGCACTTCCGAAACTTTCTTGCCTGAGCCATGTTTCAAGAAGGCTCTCAGCTACATAGAACACAAACTACCTTCCATACACATCAAAATCAGAAGAAGTGCCAGATTTCTCCCAGAGCGTCTTGTTTCTCCCCTGCCATTCATGAGAAACCTATTCCAACATGTTGCATTACAGGGAAATTGGAGATGAGACAGTCACAAAAGTAGAGAGATGTTTAGCCTAAGAACAGTTATACGTGTTCCAGAATGAAGCAAAAAAAAGGTCAAACTTAAGTCAAGGAAATGGCTCAGCTTTCTCTAAAACAGAGACAGAGAACTTCTTCTCAGCTGAAAACATAACAAGAACGGGAGAGGAAAGAAACCTGAGATACAGCTTGATAACCTTTCTTGTCTTGGCCAAATATTCATTTGGATTGTCAAAATTCATAGAGAATCAAACTGTGCATGAAGACTAAAGGTGAAGTATAATCTATATATAAATAAAAAGAACTGTAATCATGGCTTAGGAGTAGAGGACCCAAAAAAAATGCATTGCCCATGTACTTTGAAGTTTTAGGATGCTGTGGAAGTCACAAATTCAATAAAGGCCAACTAGAGAGGTCAGACCTGCTCCAGATGTTCCAAATCAGCCTCTCCAGTCAAACCCTGACCATCTAGAAGGAATTAATGATTAGCTATCATGTGAATCCTATTAAAGAATATCTATATTTCTTTTTTAGACACAAAATTCTCTAGAGGATGGTGCTTGCCAAGACTCTGAAAAAATAATCTCTCAAAATTCTTGCAATCCACTGTGTTATGATTTCATCTCATGAAATACAACACCTTTACATTAAAACTCATAAAACTAAATCCCACTGGATCTCTTCCAGACTCAGATTAAGCAGCTCTGTTGGTGATGCTTAGAGAAGGGAAATACAGCCTCATCTCCTCAAACTGGTTCCCACCACTGGGTCCATTTTGCAGGGAGCAAATTTGCTTTACATCTACAAAATATTTACATGTGAGTAATTTCATACATAATAGATCTTGCAAATGCCTTGTGAATGAAAGAATATCTTCCAACATCACAGTGATAATTCCCCTGAAAGGAATCTTTTAAACTGAAATACACACAATTTCATCCTGGTTTTCCAGTCTATGGAAGTTATCTCTGGTTCTCCTGGATTCGCCTGTGGGTGGTCAAAAGTATGAATATAAGGGCCAGAAAGGACAAAATAAAATGCTCTTCTCACTAAAGAGAAATTCACTTGAGTTTACATTATATTCTTGACTCAAGAAGAAAGAACGCCTTGCTAAATAAAGTGACAATATCTACATGTAACATAAACACACACTGACAAAAAGCAAATCTGCACATGCTCCTATCAGTAGCTATACATTTTCCCAATACTTGGTAATTTTTGGCAACAAGGTCATCCTGTGATAAAGATCTCACCAAGAAATAAATCAATGATCAGTAACGCAAAGATTGATACCTCATACATTCATATTATTGTTATTATTAGAAACACTTTCCTTCGTTTACATTTGTCTTCAGTCTTTCCATTTATATCAAAAATGAAACAAACATCATTAAGGAATTGTCTTTGTCAGCCTCATCAAGAATGTTTTACAGGAATTCCACATGTCATCTGAAATGTCTCTGATGCCATCCTTTTTATGTAATACATGAAATGACAGAATATAGACTCTTTTGGTGTCACCACAGGATAGATTTCCATTCACCTCAGCAAATATTACATGAAATAGAGGTAAGTTTCTTGGTCTGGGAAGGCTTTTCTCTAGCTAGGCATTCATATGATAGAATGGAGGTCCTATTTCATTCAACAAGTAACTGTTGAATGCCTTCGTTGAACTGGCATGGTGAAATAAAGCATATTACCAGGTAGTAATAATTGTCCACTTCATAAGAATCCAATCCCATTTCTAATGCATCTTCTAAAGGTCATTAGTATACATTTGACATCCCCTTTTCACCTTTTCTACATTCATGTATTTTCAAGATTCAACCCACCATTCCTGAATTAAAACTCTAAGGTGATTAGCCAGTGGCATTTGGCTGCGGCCTGGGAATTCCAATGTTCCACAAAGGAGCTTCTGCTGGTCTCCTATAGCATTGAAGTTCACAAGGTGCTCACGTCTCTAGTCAATTTCAGGAATATATTTATAATTTACCCATAAGGCACTCATACATGCAAATCCATCCTTTCCACTATTTCCACATTAGTGGGAGTGACATTGTTATCCCCATGTTTCTAGTAGTAAGAAATGACCAGATTAAGGGGTCTGTATTAATCTGTGTCCCATCAAATGATCCTATGTGCCACAAAAGCTTAAGAACCATGGACCTAGGCCTCCCTTATCTTATTCAGGTTGTCAATCATTTATATTATAAATTCATAGAGAGAAAGTATTTTAGTCTTCAAAGCATGAAAATTTTTCTCTCATTGGTTGTTAGCATCAGCTGGACCTATAAGACATCTTACATCAACCGTTTCTGGCTGGCCCCTGGAATACAAATGAAGATAGTGTTTGTGTTACTACAGGGCCAGTGAGGGGGTGTGAGCCCTTATTATCAATTCCAGTGAGCTCTTCTCATATGTAAAAATGCCTTTGCTCTAAACCAATACACAAAAAATACAAAAGAATCACATATTCTCTCATTCACTTCATGTGCCATAAAACATTTACTGATCTCTGCAAGTCTGGCTGTATGGACAACAAATAACCCAGGGCCCACATTTGTAATACAGTGATCATAGAGTATCAGACTTTAAGATGTTTAACCTCTCTGATCTTCCTCAGTTTTTTTCATCTATATGATAGAAATAATACCTTTTTAGTAGGAGTTTTTAAATTATTAAATGAAAATAATACCTATGAAAACACCTTAAACTAATACTAGTTTTTGCTGCTGCTGCCATTATTAAGCCCAAACTGAACCTCCCAAGGCCATTCTTGCCCAAGATCATTTATTCATTCTACAAATATGTCCCAAGCACCTATTAAGTGCCAAGCACTGCATGATTCAGTGATTACTAAAAGCTTTATAGAGCTTATTATGGTCTGTCTAGTGAAGGGGAAATACATTGATTTAATAATCACACTCCAAAAAAATGGAAAGTTGTTACTGTAACAAGTACTGTGAAAGAACGATACGTAATGTTACGAGAATTTATCATAGAGGATTTTGACCAGAGGGGGCCATTATGGTTCATTTATTCAACAACATTAATTGGGCACATTAATTGCCACACACTGTGAAGGTGCCAGGGATTCAAAGATGAAGGCATGATGCCAATCTCCAATAGATTAGCAATGCAGAGAAGAACCAGGAATTCTAGCATCTACTCTCATTCCCTCACTACTACAACCCCTGTCTTCCTCTACACCCACTGCATCTCCGCTCCACCATCAGCATCATTCTCAGTGATTTGGCTAAGTCGCTTGGCCTTCTTGGGGCCTCAGGTACCTCACCTGTAAAACAGCAGAAATGTCTTCCCAGCCTAGGACTGGATCCTGGATCAACTGACCTCTTGGGATTCTTTCCCCTGTAAAGCCAGTGATACGGCAGACGGACTGCCACTTTGGCTGAGGAGTTAGCCTTCTGGTCAGAAAGATTTTTCTCCTAACATCATGGAGAAGAAAAATAAGTCAAGCAAGCAGTATTCCCCATGGGAGGTTCCAATATCCATCCTCCCACAAAGTCAAAGCAACCACAAAAGATAAACTTCCGCCAGGCGTGGCGGCTCACCCCTGTAATCCCAGCACTTTGGGAGGCTGAGGTGGGCGGATCACCTGAGGTCAGGAGTTCAAGACCAGTGTGGCCAACATGGCGAAACCCCGTCTCTACTAAAACTACAAAAATTAGCTGGGTGTGGTAGCTCATGCCTGTAATCCCAGCTACTTGGGAGGCTGAGGCAGGAGAATCACTTGAACGCAGGAGGCAGAGGTTGCAGTGAGCCGAGATGGTGCCACTGCACTCCAGCCTGGGCAACGACAAAAAAAGCAAGACTCCGTCTCAAAAAAAAAAAAAAAAAAAAGATAGCCTTCCACTCTGAGGTCAATATGAATTTCAGTGTGGGCCAATACTAATGTTAACCAACACTGGGATTCATCAATTTTTTTTTTTTTTTTTTTTTAGTTCCAGGGTACTTGTGCAGGATGTGCAGGTTTGTTGCACAGGTAAACATGTGCCATGGTGGTTTACTGCACCTATCAACCCATCAGCTAACTATTAAGGCCAGCATGCATTAGCTATTTTTCCTGATGCTCTCCCTCCCCCAACCCCACAACAGGCCCCACTGTGTGTTGTTCCCCTCCCTATGTGTTCTCATTGTTCAGCTCCCACTTACAAGTGAGAACATGTGGCGTTTGGTTTTCTGTTCCTGCATTAGTTTGCTGAAGATAAAGGCTTCCAGCTCCAACCATGTCCCTGCAAAAAACTTGATCTCATTCGTTTTTATGGCTGCATAGTATTCTGTGGTGTATATGTACCACATTTTCTTTATCCAGTCTATCATTGATGGGCATTTGGGTTGATTTCATGTCTTGCTATTGCGAATATTGCTGCAATGAACATATGCATGCATGTATCTCTGTAATAGAATGATTTATATTCTTTTGGGTACATAGTAATGGGATTGCTGGGTCAAATGGTATTTCTGGTTCTTGGTCTTTGAGGAATCGTCACACTGTCTTCCACAATGATTGAACTAATTTACATTCCCACCAACAGTGTAAAAGTTTTCCTATTTCTCCACAGCCTTGCCAACATCTGTTGTTTCTTGACTTTTTAACTGGCATGAGATGGTGTCTTGTTGTTGTGATTTGCATTTCTCTAATTATCCGTGATGTTGAGCTTTTTTTCATATGTTTTTTGGCCACGTAAATGTCTTCTTTCAAAAAGTGTCTATTCATGTCTTTTGCCCACTTTTTACTGGAGTTGTTTGGTTTTTTTGTGTGTAAATTTGTTTAAGTTCCTTGTAGATTCTGGATATTAGACCTTTGTCAGATGGATAGATTGCAAAAATTTTCTCCTATTTACTCAAGTCTTGGAGGAAAAAAAAATAGGGTTTTTCTTTGATATTTTATTATCAGATGGTCTGTTCACTCTGATGATAGTTTATTTTGCTGTGCAGAAGCTCTTTAGTTTAATTAGGTCCCATTTCTCAATTTTTGCTTTTGGTGTTTTCGTCATGAAATCTTTGCCCATGCCTATGTCCTGAATGGTGTTGCCTAGATTTTCTTCTAGGGTTTCTGTGGTTTCAGGTTTTACATTTAAGTCTTTAATCCATCTTGAGTTAATTTTTATATAAGGTGTAAGGAAAGAGTCCGGTTTCAATTTTCTGCATATGGCTAGCCAGTTCTCCCAACACCATTTATTAAATAGGGAATCCTTTCCCCATTGCTTGTTTTTGTCAGGTTTTTGAAGATCAGATTGTTGTACAAGTGTGGTCTTATTTCTGAGTTCTCTATTCTGTTCTATTGGTCTTTGTGTCTGTTTTTGTACCAGTACCATGCTGTTTTGGTTACTGTAGCCTTGGAGTATAGTTTGAAGTCAGGTAGTGTGGTGCCTCCAGCTTTGTTCTTTTTGCTTAAGATTGTCTTGGCTATATGGGCTCTTTTTTGGTTCCATGTTAATTTTAAAGTAGTTTTTTCTAATTCTGTGAAAAATGTCAATGGTAGTTTAATGGGAATAGCATTGAATCTATAAATTACTTTGGGCAGTATGGCCATTTTGATTCTTCCTATCCAGGAGCATGGAATATTTTTCCGTTTTTTTGTTTCCTCTCAGATTTCCTTAAGCAGTGGCTTGTGGTTCTCCTTGAAAAGGTCATTTACTTCCCTTGATAGCTGTATTCCTAGGTATTTTATTCTCTCTGTAGCAATTGTGAATGGGAGTTCATTCATGATTTGGCTCTCTGCTTGTCTGTTGCTGGTATATAGGAATGCTTGTGATTTTTGAACATTGATTTTGTATCCTCAGACTTTCCTGAATTTGCTTATCAGCTTAAGAAGGCTTTGGCCTGAGATGATGGGGTTTTCTTGATATAGGATCATGCCATCTGCAAACAGAGGCAGGTTGACTTCCCCTCTTCCTATTTGAATAGCTTTTATTTCTTTCTCTTGCCTGACTGTCCTGGCCAGAACTTCCAATACTATGTTGAATAGGAGTGATGAGAGAGGGCATCCTTGTTTTGTGCTGGTTTTCAAGGGGAATATTTCCAGCTTTTGCCCATTCTGTATGATATTGGCTGTGGGCTTGTCATAAATGCCTATTATTTTGAGGTATGTTCTTTCAATACCTAGTTTATTGAGAGTTTTTAATATGAAGGGATGGTGAATTTTATCGAAGGCCTTTTCTGAATCTATTGAGATAATCATGTGGTTTTTGTCTTTAGTTCTATTTATGTGATGAATTGCATGTATTGTTTTGTGTATGTTGAACCAGCCTTGCATCCCATTGATGAAGCCAACTTGATCGTGGTGGATAAGCTTTTTGATGTTCTGCTGGATTCGGTTTGCCAGTATTTTATTGAGAATTTTTGCATTGATGTTTATTAAGGATATTGACCTACAAGTTTTCTTTTTTTGTTGTATCTCTGCCAGCTTTTGGTATCAGGATGATGCTGGCCTCATAAAATGAGTTATGGAGAAATCCCTCCTTTTCAATTGTTTGGAACAGTTTCAGAAGAAATGGTACCAGCTCCTCTTTGTACCTCTGGTAGAATTCAGCTGTAAATCTGTCTGGCCCCAGGCTTTTTTTGGTTGGTAGACTATTTATTACTGCCTCAATTTCAGAACTTGTTATTGATCTATTCAGGGATTCAGCTTCTTCCTGATTTAGTCTTGGGAGGGTGTATGTGCCCAGGAATTTGTCCATTTCTTCTATATTTTCTAGTTTATTTGCATAAAGATGTTTATAGTATTCTCTGATGGCTGTTTGTATTTCTGTGGGCTAAGTGGTGATATACCCTTAACCATTTTTTATTTTGTCTATCTGGTTCTTCTCTCTTTTCTTCTCTATTAGTCTAGCTAGTGGTCTATTTTATTAATTTTTTCAAAAAAAGCTCCTGGATTCATTGATTTTTTAAGGGTTTTTCATATCTCTATCTCCTTCAGTTCTGCTCTGATCTTGATGTTTTTTTTTTTGTCTTCTGCTAGCTTTGGGGTTTGTTTGCTCTTGGTTCTCTAGTTCTTTTAGTTGTGATGTTATGGTGTTGATTTGAGATCTTTCTAACTTTTTGATGTGGGTACTCGGTGCTATAAATTTCCCTCAACACTGCTTTAACTGCATCCCAAAGATTCTGGTACATTGTCTCTTTGTCCTCACTGGTTTCAAAGAACTTCTTGATTTCTACCTTAATTTCATTATTTACCCAGAAGTCGTTCAGGAGCAGGTTGTTCAATTTCCATGTAGGTGTGTGGTTTTGAGTGAGTTTCTTAATCTTGTGTTCCAATTTGATTGCACTGTGGTCTGCTTCCAAGATGGTATGTTGTTGCTGCATGCTCCAGAGGGAGTAAATGCCATGTCCTCACGTGGAGGAAGGGATAGAAGGTAATGAACCCACTCCCTTAAGCCCATTTGTAAGAGCCTTAATTCCTTCCATGAAGGCTCTACCCTCATAACTTAATTATCTCTTAAAGCTTACAAAGATATAATCTGATTTATTGCATTACTACCACATTGGCAATTAAGTCTCAACATATGAATTTTGGGAGAATACATTCAGACCATTGCAAAGAGCAAAAATATTTTGAGCTCTTGAAATGCACAAGCAAGGAATTAGTCACCATGAGAGATACCAGGATAAAACACACACACACTCCCAGGAGTTTACATCCTAATCCTGACCCTTGGCTGTAAGCAGGTTTTTTTCCTGCATTCTTGCTGCCTGCTGAGGATGGTAACACAAAATGACAGCAGGCTGTTTATTTCTTTCAAAGCCACATCAGTGGAAGAGGGACATCCTGTGTCTATAACAGGTAGATGGAATTCCTTGTTGAAATTTTTTATGGATTGCTTTGTAGCAGAAAACATGCCTTTAGACATCTCATACTACAAAATAGTCCTGATGTAACTGAGCTGAGCCATGTGGCCAGAGTATGTAGTATGAGTATGTCAATATTGGTTATCACTCATACTATCACTCATACTACATACTGATATCTCATACTACAAAATAGTCCTGATGTAACCTTCAGAGCACATAGCATGTGTTCCCAGGACAAAGTGATGCACAAAGATGTCCATGTAATACCCAAACTGCCACAATGAATCCCACATGCTTGTAAAAGATTATCTGATAAAACTTGGGGCCAAATGTTGGTACATAAACTATCTCTTACTGTGGTCATGTCTTATTCCTCCTATTATAAATTAAACTCCATATACACAATGTACATGTTCCATCTTCTTCTTTCCCTTCCTCTGTTCAATCCTCCATCACTTCACTAACATACATCCATTACTGTAATGTTTTCAGTGATAACAATATTGAACAAATGAAGGAATGAGGTATCAAAGCTATATCAGGTATGCATATGTTTGGCTATAAAAAATAAAAACCTTCACTGCAAGAACTTAAAAAAATACAGGTTTATTTTGTTTCTGGCAACAAGAAGTCTAAGGTAGAAACACGAGGGCTGTCAGAGTAGCTCAGAATTCCACAAGTCACTGTCCTTAGTATCTCAAGATGGCCTCTGCACTTCCAGACCCCACATCCAATTTTCAGGAAGGAAGAAGGTGAGAGGGCTAAAGACCTTTTCCCAGGCAGCTTTTGTCTTTTTGTATGGAAAGGAATGTTGTCCATTTGCATCACTGGCTAGAGCTGAGCCAAGTGGTCACCTCAGGCAGGAGGTGCCTAAGAAAACGGAGTGTTTCACTTTTAGCCTTTACAAAAGGGAAGGCAAGGGAAAAGTCAGTTGGGAATGGAGCTGAGTAAGCCATGTCCTGATGCTATATGCAAACAGCTCTTTTTCCAATAACAAATGGTTTTCACATACATACCACCTTGCACTCCATTAATATTGTTTCATTCAACTGATTTAATTCAGTGTTTTTATTTAGGCTCTCGGAGTTAGTATTATTAAAGGTTCTCTTCATTTCATTCCCATACTTTCAGAACCCAGTGAAGAACCTCATATTCCACCCCTTCCAACTATTTGAAATTGATGTGGATACGCTATATTTCTATCCCAAACTTTTGCCCAATAATATTTATTTCAGTTCCAACTTTTGCAAATCAATTCATTCTGTTAATATCCTTTTTACCCTGCTTGGTTTGTAAATGAGAGAGTTGGAACTCAAACTCAATCAGATCTGTATTCCTCATCTCTAGCTGCTTCTGGAACACCCAGACTACAGGGATATGCACACACTCTTTGCCATTGAGAGGATTTCCATAGTTTTGCTCACTGGAACCTGTATAACTTGCCAGGCATGTGATGCATACATAACAAAAATAAAATAGAAAAAGAATTATTTATGAGCTTGGAGAGTTGGCCAATCTTTTGGGAAAAAAATGCTACAACCCTTCCTCACACCATAGACAAAAATCAATTCCAAGCCAAGTAAAGATTTGATTATGAAAAAGCAAAAATTCTGCAAAGAATGGTAGAACATTCTCTTTAGAAAATACGTTAGGAAAGAATTTCTTAAGCAAGTCATACAAAGCATAAACTATAAAGAAAAAGATTGATAATTTTATCTAAATTACAATTACTTCTGGATGAGAGAAAAGACCATAATAACATTTTTTAAAACAAGACTAAGAAGAAGTGGAGATATTTGTATTCACTTAATAGATTTCTAAAAACCATGACATCAAGAATATGTATTTTTAAAAACATGACATCAAGAATTTATAAAGACCTACAAATCAATAAAGAAAATGACAAAAAATAGAAAATAGAGAAAAACAATGTGCTCAAGAAGAAATTGAATGAGCCATAAATATGTGAAAAATATTGCAAATCTCACCTGTAATGAGGGAACTGAAAAAACGATTATGATATTCATTCACACCTATGAAATTGATAAAAATGTGTGTGTCTGCCGATACCAAGTATAAGGATGTGGGAAAATAAGAACTCTCAAACACTGCCAGTGGTAGTTTTAATTGGCACAGGCACTTTAGTGCATGCCCCATAGCTCAGCACTTCTATTCCTCAGCGTACATCCAGGAAAAAAAAATCTCTCAAATGTGCACAAGAAGACAAATACAAAGATGTTCACAAAACAGCTTTGTTTGCAATAAAAATTTGGAAGCAACATAATTGTCTACCAGAAGGGGAATGAGTAAATAAATTATTATATATTCATCCAATGGAATGCTATAAAAACATTAAAATGAATGGGATAAATCTCCAAAACATGCTGGAGTGAAAAAGTACTACCCTTAATCAAGCTCTCTGCTTTGCCATTTTTACCTTCCATCTGTTTTAATTTTATTCCTCCTTCAAATCTTCCTGAAGCACTAATCCCTCCAGAAATTTTCTCTGCTGTTTCCAATCTCGATCTTTCCCCCCGGGATTTTTATTTGGATCTCTCTTATGACATTCACTCCAACAGCAGTACAACAAATTGTCCCTAGCATCATAGTCTCACCAACAGGCTTTTTTAAAAACCTTAGTTAATCTGATGGTGGGGGGGACTCATTTTAATACACATTCATTACATTCATTTGATGACTCCTGAGGTTGAAATTTTTCTATGTGCTAATTCTTCATTTATATTTCTTCTGTCTTACTCATTTACAGCATCCTAGCACATATTAAAAATAGAAAATAAGGCCGGGGTGGTGGCTCACACCTGTAATCCCAGCACCTTGGGAGGCCAAAGAGGGTGGATCATTGGAGTCTAAGTTTGACACCAGCCTGGGCAACACGGTGAGACCACGGTCTCTACCAAAAACACCAAAAAAAAATTAGCTGGGTGTGGTGGCATGCACCTGTAGTCCCAGCTACTTAGGAGCCTAAAACCAAACGAACAAACAAAAGAACACAGAAGGCCAGGTGTGGTGGCTCACGCCTGTAATCCCAACACTTTGGGAGGCCAAGGCAAGAGGATCACTTGAGCCAGGAGTTCAAGACCAGCCTAGGTGACACAGCAAGACCTTGTCTCAAAAGAGGGAAAAAAAAAAAAAAAACAGAAAATAAACTTTTGAACCAAATTAAAATTTATAAATTCAAAGCGAACTAACAAAAACACTCAGACCAAAAAAACATTACTCCAAAATAGGTAGTGTGCTAACATATAGAAGTGTATTACTAACGCTACAAACTTACTTGCTAGGACCCTTTCTTGTATCTTTACAGAACATGTATGTTTATGGTTTACATGATGCTGAATGGAGGGAGAATCACTTAAGGCTTAAATAGTTTCTACTGGTTTGAGGAACAAAAAGCACTTTGTGCAGGCAGAAAGAACACAGAAGGCAAGAGAGTATGTGCCAGAAGCCAATATTCCCTACGAAGACTCTATCTAACATATGAGACAGATACTCATCCCAATAAATCTTGAATTCTGCAAATGTGTAACTTTATTCCCTAATTTTAACACGTCTTTTTTAAAGATTCCTATTAAATTTGTGATTCTGGGGTTTGCAGCTAATAAGCAGAGTCATAATTGAAACGATTAAATAAATATAGTCATCTATTCTCCAGAAAATGCAAGTTATTTGTACTCTGCAGTTCACATGGCTTTTGGTGGTCCCTAGATTGTTGTTTTTTGTTTTTTGTTTCTTGTTTTTTGTTTTTGAGATGGAGTCTCTGTTGCCCAGGCTGGAGTGCAGTGGTGTGATCTCCACTCACTGCAACTTCTGCCTCCCGGGTTCAAGCAATTCTCCTGCCTCAGCCTCCCGAGTAGCTGGGGCTACAGGCACCTGCCATCACGCCTGACTAATTTTTTGTATTTTTAGTAGAGATGGGGTTTCACCGTGTTAGCCAGGATGCTCTCGATCTCCTGACCTCGTGATCCACTGGCCTCAGCCTCCCAAAATGCTGGGATTACCGGTGTGAGCCACTGCGCCCGGCCAGTCCCTAGGTTTTCTTTTTTTTTTCTTTTTTTTTTTTTTTTTTGCAGGATTCTTGAGATTCCAAGGATCATTTGTAGGCAGCACAGTTTTTGCTAACAGCTTCCAGCAACTTCTTCTGCCATTCAAATTCAGAGGTTCTAATTGGGAATCAAATGTTCCATATGAAAATGATTTGTATCTAAAAGTAGAGCTATAGAACTGGAATTACCAAGATCATAGCCAGTGACCATCACTGCAATAGTTTCCTCTGTTTTTATTTATGAGTAATTTATCACTCTGTCTGGATTTTGACATGAGCATCAGACAATCCAGATTTTAAAAGAATATTTGGCTCCCAAAATGCTGAACAAACAGAATCTCTTCCTTTGAGGATAGTCAGGACATCATCAGATAGTTACTTATGAGATTTACTCCAGAATGCTACTTACCCAGGCTTTAACCTGGACTAAATCCCAACTGAGTCAGTTGGTTAACTGATTATCAGATTTTATGGTTGTCGCAGGACACAAGAACAGTCAGAATGGGTAAGTGTGTCATATTTCCACTACTTTATCTCTTCAGGGGTGCATATTACAAGAAAGTAAAAACATTCCATTAGAATGCAAAACAATGATGATAGCATTGCCCATAAATATTGTGCTTCCTCTGAATATCCTATCTACTTCCAAACTATATTTTCATAAATTTAAGTTTATAAGGAATTTGATCATGTGTCATAAGGTGTTTGAAGTATGTTTCCACTTTTGCTCATCTGGAGTTTTTTGTTTTAGTTTTTAGTGTCATGTAAAATAAATAAGACTTTGTTTTAAATCTGCAATTATCATGAGTAAATACATTTCACAAAGTTTTTTCTTTTTAAATCACCCTAAACCAGACTTTGGTTTATATTAAAAAGTTCCCCAGGGAACTAGATTTTACATTTGAGACCCTGATTTAGCTAAAATATTTATAAGGGCACATGTAGAAATACAGGTCCCCACTGGGCGATGAACCAGGGCTGAGACATAATTATGATTCTCTCTGCTCTCCATTCCAGTGGAAACTGCTCCCAGGAGCCCAGAGGTGAGTTGGTTGTCAAAGGAGAACATAAATGTTCTATGCAATGTGACAAGCTGCATCACCTTCCCAACCTCCAAGGCCAATCTAAGAACATTAGAAGATGATACACAAATCTTTTCAGATATTAAATTAATGGGAATACTTGCTTCACTTGTAATCAATGTCAGTGATGTCTGAGGACCTTGAAGCCAAATTTAGTTGGATTGATTTGTGCATTATCATTCCAGGCTGTTGCTCAGTTCAGCCTATCATAAGTGTAGTGGCACTCATAAGCCTAAATGAAAAATTATGTCTCCAAGTAACATCTATAAAACAGTCCAGGACTGGAAAATTGAAATTTTCCTTGTAAAAAAATACAATTGCTTAATAACTTGCTGAAATGTCTTAAGAGTGAGGTAACACACTGGGAGGACTGGTCTTGATGGCCTATCCCCTTTGAAAATGTCCCCAAGTCATCACGTTATGGGACAAAGTGGGGGAATTAGCCTATTCACCAGTCCACAGGGGGCACCACAAGTTTCTTACAAGGCTCAATGGGTGGCAGTGTTGTTGCAGGTGTCTGGGTTGCCATTGTTGCTGCTGTCATTTAGCTATCACAGCAAAAAACTGGGCCACCAAAAAGACTGCTCACAGGAGTCTGTTAATCAACAGCCAGGGTCTCAAGAACTCTAAGGTTGAATGTCAGTCTTCAGTTATATAACAAAAACAGGATTTAGCAAGGAGATTTTAGGAAAGAAAATATCTGTTGATGACATCCTCCCTACTCCTCAACCACATACCCTCTCCTCCGCTTAACAGAGAGTTACACAGCTAACTGCAGCAGAATCCCAATCTTGCAATAACCATCCTTCACATATGAAAACTACCATGTTATTAGTTCTCACCGAAAGAAATATACACACTTTGCATACATGTTTTGTACATTCAGAGTTGGTAAAAACATAAAAACTCAGAAATGTGCAAATCTGTACAAGAATATTAGCAAGGTATTGTTCAGGGTATTTCCTGGAAGTCTGACAATCAAGTGATTTCCATATAGAGAAACAATTTTAAGTTTTTTAAACTTTTTTTTTTTTTGACACAGAGTCTCACTCTGTAGCCCAGGCTGGAGGGTAGTGGTGAGATCATAGCTCACTGTAACCTTGAACTCCTGGGCTCAAGCGATCCTCCTCCCTCAGCCTCCAGAGTAGCTGGGATAACAGGTGCATGCCACTATGTCTGACTAGTTTTTTTTTTTAGAGATGGAAGTCTTACTATGTTGCCCAGGCTAGTCTCAAACTCCTGGCCTCAAATGATCCTTCCACCTCAGTCTCTCAAAGTGCTAGGATTAGGCTAGGTGACTAGGAGCCACCACGCCTAGCCTAAATTATTATTTTAATCCTATTCAGTTCTGTTGAATAAAATGTTGATAACATTAATTCTTTATTCCCTAAAGAAATATTATTTACACGCTTTTCTAATATTTCTATTGAGTTTTTCCCATTCCTTTGACAAAAGGATTTCATTGTTGTGGATTTATCAGCATGTCACCATTTTAATTTTTCATAATTATGTTATTCTATTTTATCAAACTTAATGTGAGGTTTGTCTCACATTAAAATACACATGGTATTTTAAACTCATAAAGTGTTTATGAAAATTAATATCATTTTTTGATACCCCCCACCCCACATCAGGCTTTTTCTACTGTCCATTTTCTAGAAACAGTCTGTTTGCCTGTGGCCCTTACCTCAGGAACTGGCCAATGGATTTACAGATGTCCCTTGTGGTTCCCGGGATTAGGCAGTCTGATTCATGAACCACAAGCCACACAGGCTATGCTACTGAACCTGCACTATGCCTTTGCGTAAATAACAGGTGAAGTGTCCTGTGACTGCCAGCATTCTCTTGACTGTCAACATAATTTCCTATGGCTTTAGGCAACAGTGCAGCATGTGAACTTATTTATGCTTCATTCTCAGTTCTAGAACACTACTTCCCTATTCTTCGGTGCACGATATTCAAAGGTCAAGGAGAATAATCACCACTATACTCTGAGCAATATGAACAAATTTTATCCTCCATATTCGCTAACTAGGTCCAAATGAAAAAAAATGGATAGTGAAGGTGAAAATAATATGTTGGTTTTGAAATATTTATTTTATGGAATTAAAAGTATTTTTTAAGAATTGACTTTTCAAAATTCATAGTAACATGAAAAAAATAGGAAGGGACACCAGAACAGAAGCAGAAGCAAATAAAGAAAATGAAAGTGCGCATCACATAAGGGCATCTGTGACATTAGAAAGTAGTGTACATAACAAGAAACAGGGAAGTCGGGTGGATGCAGGCTCCACCAACTGAACAATCAATGATGGCTGAAACCGAGCAGTGCATCGTTAGGCAAAGCAGGATGATTCTTCTGCTGCTATAGAAGAACCTATTGCACTGAAGAGTTTGTAGAAGTCATTAAATGAGAAGGGCAAAGAAATAAGAATAATAAAAGAGTATGCCTCATTGAATATAAGTAATCTAGGATATAACAACCTGCTCACAGGTCATAAATAAACGATAACAACATTTGTCTACACAGAATGAAAAGAGCAGTTCACTGAACCATATAGAGCGAATCTGTATGGCTTTATCAATACCTGCAATTATCTCTCCCTAGCTGGTTGGAAATAAGAAATCATCACACTACAGCTGGCACCCGTTTCCAATATAAATGCCTTTCAGTTGCAATGGAAACTCACTGCATTACTGATTAAGTATGAAATCCCAGAAGACTTGCTTAAAACCTACCTGATGGTATCATGTGCTCAACCCATGGAAAATCAATGGCTCATCTCAATTTCAAGCTGCAAGAGTACTGATGTGCCCAGGCACCATCATGAGGTGGTTTTCTCACTTTCTTGCAACCTTTTTGACCACATCCTGCTTCTCATAGAACATCTAGTGAATAAAGACATGAATTTCAGATCATGTCACTTTGATGTATTTGAGTATAGAGTACTTACTCTGTGCTAAGCACTTTGCTGGACTCACAGCCTATGATAGAGAAGCAGGATATCTGTATTTCAGTCACAAATTTTAAAAGCTTTAAGTGATGCCATTTTTTATATACAAAAAATGTATTTTTAAAAACATCACAGATAGCCAGGTGCAGTGACTCATGCCTGTAATCCCAGCACTTTGGGAGGACAAGATGGGTGGATCACTTGAACCCAAGAATTCAAGACCAGCCTGGGCAGCATAGTGAAATCCTATCTCAAAAAAAAAAAAAAAAAAAAAAAAAAAACACCACACAAAAATTAGCACACGCCTGTAGTCCCAGATATGCAGGAGGTTGAGGTGGGAGGATTGCTTGAGCCCAGGAGATCAAGGCTGCCATGAACCATGATCGTGCCACTGCACCCCAGCCTGGGAAACAGAGTGAGACCCTGTCTCAAATAAACAAAGAAAAAAAAACAAATAGCACAGACAGAGGGAAGGAGGGAAGGAGGGAAGGAGGGAAGGAGGGAAGGAGGGAGGGAGGGAAGGAGGGAGGGAGAGAGGGAGGGAGGGAAGGAGGAAAGGAGGGAGGGAGGGAGGGAGGGAAGGAGGGAGGGAGGGAAGGAGGAAAGGAGGGAAGGAAGGAAGGAAGGAGGGAAGGAAATCCATTTTAAGTTAGATCCTCAGGGCCTTAACTCCAGGGCTTTTTAGAGAATGCATTTTTTAAAAACAGAAGAAGGGATAAACTGAAGTCCAAGAGAGGTGACCATGGTTCCTACTTGTCTTTTTTTTTTTTTTTCCTGAAGAAAATTATGTCCATTCTAAGGGGGACAGGAAGGTCAGAAACACGGAGATTTCTTGTTGTTGCAGTTTCAGTCTTCCATTATTTTCTTTTACTTTCTCCCCTGTTAAATTTGATTCTCTCTTTCTGACTGGCATGATGATGGCCAGAAAGGCTTTAACTCAACACTTTTGTGTACACAACTCAAGGTGAAGTGCAGCTTCAGTAACTATGCAGTCAGCCTGATTAACGCAGAAGATCAGAGTGGATTTTTGTTGTGCTATCTAACCCCAGACTACACCATAAAACATGACTCACCAAGGCTGTTGAGAATAGCCATGAACCAGGAGTTCTCTCACAAACTCTCTGCATGACTTTGGTCAAGTATTTCAACTTTTCTGAGCCTCAGCTTCCTTTACTGTAAAGAGAAGGGTTATTATAAACAATACCAAAAGCCTTTTCTAGCTTTAAAATTATGTGATTTTTTTTTTTTTTTTTTTTTTTTTTTGAGACAGAGTCTTGCTCTGTCTCCAGGCTGGAGTGCAGTAGCACAATCTAGGCTCACTACAACCTCCACCTCCCAGGTTCAAGCCATTCTCCTGCCCCAGCCTCCCGAGTAGCTGGGACTGTGGGCACCCGCCACCACGCCCAGATAATTTTTGTATTTTTGGTAGAGACGAGGTTTCACATTGTTGGTCAGAATGATCTCAATCTCCTGACCTCGTGATCCACCCACCTCAGCCCCCCAAAGTGCTGGGATTATAGGTTTGAGCCACCGTGCCCGGCCAATTTTTCTTTTTTAAATCTAAATTATATAGTTGTGTGTATCCCTAAGAAGTTTCACTCCTATTCTGGTTTCTATGTGTTAGAATTCAGATTTTCATAATCTGATATTTGGTTTTCTTGCATAATATGGACCAAGCCATGACCTAAAGAGTGTAATTTGTCTTGTGATCCCAAAATGTTAACTTTTTCCTAACTAAACCCTGCCTGGTTTAAGTAGGTAGTCTAAATGTCATTTATTCAATATTCATGAATGACTTCTATCCTAAGAAGAGTGGTTTCTGGCTCTGAAAGCCCCAGTGGGCTTTACTTTGTACACTGCATGTGAAAATCAAACCTGCCCCATGCTATAGACGTTCTAAGGCCACAGACTCCATAACTTGACAGCACCTGTTAGCTGTGTGACCCTAGGCAAGATCTTTAACATCTTCATGCCTTGCTTCTTCTTTCATAAAATGGAGACAATCATACCTACTCCATAGAATAGCATGAGCTGCATAAATAAATGCAAAGGACTTAAACAGGTCCTCGTAGTGTAAGCATTATACAAGGACTTGGTACTGTAAGTTATTTTTTATTTTAAATTAAAATCCTCTACAATGAAATTGTGTCCAGACTTTGCAGGTTCTTGGTCTCACTGATTTCAAGACTAAAGCTGTGGACCCTGACGGTGTGTGTTACAGTTCTTGAAGACGGTGTATCTGAAGTTTGTTCCTTCTGATGTTCGGACCCGTCCGGAGTTTCTTCCACCAGTAGAAGAAACTCCTAGTGGTGGGTTCGTGGACTCACTGACTTCAGGAGTGAAGTTGCAGACCCTCGCTGTGAGTGTTACAGCTCTTACAGGTGGTGCATCTGAAGTTGCTCGTTCCTTCCAGTGGGTTTATGGTCTCACCGGCTTTGGGAGTGAAGCCGCAGACCTTCACAATGAGCGTTACATCTTACAAACGCAGCATGGACCCAAAAAGTGAGCAGCAGCAAGTTTTATTGCTAAGAGCAAAAGAACAAAACTTCCACCATTAGGAAAGAAATCCGCGTGGGCTTCCGCTGCTAACTCAGGTGGCCTACTTTTATTCCCTTATCTGGCCCCACCCACATCCTGCTGATTGGTCCATTTTACAGAGAGCTGATTGGTCCATTTAACAGAGAGCTGATTGGTCCATTTTACAGAGAGCTGATTGGTCCGTTTTACAGACAGCTGACTGGTCTGTTTTGACAGAGTGCTGATTGGTGCATTTACAAACCTTTAGCTAGACACAGAGGGCTGAATGGTGCATTTACAATCCTTTAGCTAGACCCAAAAGTTCTCCAAGTCCCCACCCGTGGGAGAAACCCAGCCAGCTTCACCTCTCACTGGTACCCTGGCTGGATTTTGCAGTGCCTATCCCAGGCACCCTGGCAGCCCAGAGGGAGCTCATCCCAGACAACCAAGAGGAAAAGAGGGGAAGCGAGAAAGAGATGGAGACCCGCCATCGTGGCCAATGACCCCACGAAGAGGGAGCGGTGGTCCACGCACAAGACCCAGCCTTCGATCAAGCCCAGCAGGCGCCAGCTGGCCACGCCGAGTGCGGGGCCACAGCCATCCGGAACCGCACCGTCTGGCTCCCGCCCATGCCTTTCCTTCCACACCTCCCCGCGAGCAGAGGGAGCCGGTTGCGGCCTCGGCCAGCCCCAGAGAGGGGACCCCACAGTGCAGCGGAGGAATGAAGGGCTCCTCGAGCACGGCCGGAGCGGACGCCAAGGCCGAGGAGGCGCTGAGAGCGAGCCAGGGCTGCTAGCACGTTGTCACCTCTCAAAATGTACACACCCATGAAATAAGTCAACTCAGCTTCATTAATGCACAAACATAATTAAGCATTTGTTTCCTATGTGTTTTATTTCATTACACATGATTTTCATTTCATAGAGAAAGAAAGCAAGACAAAGAGGTAAAGTAACTTTCTCAAGGTCACCTGGCTGTCTTCATCTGTACGCTTGAGGAGATATTCCATCTTTTTTCTCCTTCAATTTTCAGGCCACTTAACGTTCCTCGAAGAAATAGGGATTACACCTGAAGTGGCTTTGAAATCCTGCACAAACTGGCACATGGAGACCTATCTTGAATTTTCATCTGTCTTTCCAGTTGGAGATAACAATTTGGGAAGGAAGAGGGCATAGAAAATGAGCAACTTGCTATGTAAATAAGGTCAAAGAATAAGTTCACTTGTCTAGATCCTGGTTTATGATGCCTAAATACTGGACCACTGATAGGTGAAGAGTGGAAAGTCAGGTGGAAATGCACTTCAAAGGCAGTTTCCTCATCGGAAAAAGAGCAAGACATCAAATGAAAATCTGAGAAGGAGGGATGAATCATCCAAATGCAGCCATACTACCAAATTCCATGGTCAAAAAACAATTAAGACAGAAACTATTATCAGCAGCTTCTAACAATTCTTGGGAGTAAATAGAAAAATGTTTGAGAACACTACTTATTACCCGCACACACACAAATTGAGTAACAAGGATGTTTAAAATGATAATTAAAAAGATAAAGGAGATAAGTACGGTGTCAAAGATAGCATCAAGGCTCATGACTGAAACAGGGCAAAGGAAACTGTTAAATTAATCAGATCCTGTAGAAAATGAGAAAAAAGAAAATACTGTGTGTCAAGTATTTCCTGATGGAAAGATGTCAGAAAGTGTGGCTGGGTGGACGGTCAGCTGCTCAAAAGGTGGCAGTAGTTTCCTGTGTCACCATAGACCAGAGCATGGTCTTCAGTATTGCAGATCCAGAAACACAATCTGTCAGTGCATAGAGAATTGATCGGAGGCTTATCACATACTAAAGAAATTGATAATAGGCCTAAAGGATAGTATGTGAGGAGAAATAAAGCTGGACAACCCTGAAGGCTCACTTCTTCCAACGTTTGTTAGCTTAGAAGCTGACTCAGCAAATCTGAGTTAGCTCCGAGGAATCCAAGCTGACAGCAGCTGCTGAGCCTCAAAGACTTTCTTTCCTAATGAGGCCACTTCCCCCACCAGAGGCCTCCATTAATGCTTTCTGCTCATAAGTCCCTATGCTCAAAGGACAGACTGGAACTGTTTGATATGGGCCTGAAAGTTGTATCACACTGTAAATCAACACACTACTGTCTTCATCAAGGAAGCCTTGCTACAAGAAAATAAAATGCCTGCTGAACTACACATTGTGCTTAGGGACATAGCAGATTTACATACTGGTGCCATCTCCTTGTGTCCCTCATGGACTGGCAACTAACTGCCAGCCAATGGAGTACACCGTGAGCAGCACTGACATGGAGCATTGTACAGGTGTGCTATGGTTTGAATGTGTGCCCCAAAGTCCACTTCTGGAAACTGTAATCCCCAATGCAATAGTGTTAAGAAGTGGGACCTTTAAGGGGTGATTAGGTCCTGAGGGTTCTGCTCTCATGAATAGATTAATGTTGCTATCGCAGGAATGGATTCATTATTGCAAGAGTGAGTTTTTTATCAAATGGAGTTCAGCCCTCTCTTGCTTGCTGTCTTCCCCTTTCTCCCTCTCTCACCCTCCACCTTGGGATGACACAGCAAGAAGACCCTTGCCAGATGCCACCATCTTGATACTGGACTTCCCAGCCTCCAGAACAATAAGGAATAAGCTTCTTTTCTTTATAAACTACCCAGTCTGTGGTATACTGTTATAGTGATACAAATGGACTAAGACAGGGTGGGTCCATTCATGATACAACCATTCCAGCTGGGCCTAGCCTAAGTGTGTCTCTGTGTGGGATCATGAGAGCTTGGAGGTTCCTATGCACTTCTCTGCTTTAAGTTTTGTCCTCCAAATAAATCCTATCTTACATTTACACTGCATAACAGTGGTGATGAGTGTTCATGTCCGCTTTGCGAGACAACATATTAATTTAGAATAATAAACATAATCGTTATAGTTGCTGGAATATATGGGTCTTCCACCAGTGCTTCACAGTATTTTTTGCATTGTGCCACTAATAGAAATGTTGATCTTTGAAAGATACACTGGAGTAAATTTGGCAGCTCCTCTTGGTGCCCAGTAGCCCCTCACCCTAAACAGCCACCTCAAAGACTAAAGGAATCGATATCTCAGCACATCTGCAAGATTTCTGTGGCTCACTGGAGTGTCCTGGTATGACTCCATCCAGAGCATCTCTTAGGGGCTGAATTGTGTCCTCTACCTCCCAAAATTTGTATATTGAAATCCCAACTCCCAGTACCTCAGAATGTAACCATGTTTGAAGATAAACTCTTTCAGGAGGTGATTAAATTAAAATTAGGTCATTGAGGTTGGGTCCTAATCCAATATGACTGGTGTGCTAATAAGAAGAGGGAGAGATACCAGGGATGTGCTTATACAGAGGAACAACCCTGTGATGAGGCAACAAGAGGCAGCCATCTGCAAGCCAAGGAGAAAGGACTCAGAGGAAACTAACCCTGCCAGCACTCTGATCTTGGACTTCTACCCTCAAGATTTGTGAGAAAATTAATTTCTGCTGTTTAAGCCACACTGTCTGTAGTTATTGTCTTATGGCAGCCTTAGCAAATTAATACAGTATCTTTCCCTAGATCAGGGTTGCTTGGTGAATGCAGGAGACAGTGAAGGGAGTTAGGTAATCTTGAGAATAGCTCAAGAGGGAGCTCCCCATCCCTGTGTGCGTCCAGGAGAAATTTGGATTCCCCATCAGGGACATAACACTGGGTGGAGAATAGACCAGCTGGCTTCCAACATTTAGATTCTATCATTTTTCTCTACAAACTTTGATTTCCTCACGGAAGAGAATTATCACTTCCATCATCAAATATACTCTCCTATCTAGAAATTAAAATGAAAACAAAAGCATATTTAAAGACTTTCACTTGACTCCCTCTGTCCCCTCCTTCCTTTGGCTCCTAAATTTCTCAAGCGCATGCTGTCTTACTGCTGCCATCATCTTTGCCCTACTTTTTGGACACAAATGTTTGAAATAGGCCTTAAAGCACAGATTGGCTCCTACCAAACGAGAGAAAAAGGACTGAGGACTGTCTTTCCAGGTAGGAAGGAAGGTGATGTCGCCCTGTCTCTACCGTCAGAGTCACGGAAAGGTGAGGTGGTCTTTCAAAAACTGCAGTTACCACAGGAAAACAGTATTCCAGAATTTTCCACCTGGCTTAAAGGTCTACAGATCCACTTCTAACTGTGTTCATTTTAAAGAATCACTCAGCTTAGAGAGCTGTGATCTCTGTGAAGTTATTAGCAAGTCTAACCAATTCTGTTGAGAGAAAAGAATAGCAAGAATAATGGCTATGGTTGGCTTCAGGGATGCTACATGGCTCTTGCACCTTTTACTCCTCTGCTTTATGAAGTTTGAGTTGTATTCATCCATCTTAAAGTAGATTAAGGCCTGAGGCCAGGCTTTCGGTTTTTTTGTGTTTGTTTGTTTGTTTTTAATGTACTTAAACCTGCTTGCTTCCTACCACAGATTCTTTATTTTCCCAAACAAAAAACTTTTAAACTTTGCCATTTCATCTGTTTACACTCTTTGCCACTGATTAGCAGTATTTAAATCTTGCAAGAATATTTTGTGCTTCCTTTAGAAACACAAGAGTATAGATTTTTCTCACTGAAAAGTGAGAGTTACGCATTGCAGCCATGAAGGGATGCTAGGATCAATTATGGCAGTACCTTTTTTCCCCTCCTGTTCTTGAGCCAGTTGCCTCTTTTGTTTTGGGTCCCACTTAGGATTAACGGATGTAAGGTATTTTTCCTGTGCCTTTATTTTGTGTCATTCTATTGGAAGGAGGTGTAACGGCAGAATAGCATAGTGTTAGGGGTTTTCTTTCAAACACTGCAAGTGGTATCGCCACCATGTGAACCTCAAATATGCAATCCAGTTGTGTTGGTTTCTCGGTGACTTAGAGTGTTCATCTCTTCATGAATTGTGAGCACTGACCATGTTCTTCAGTTCTTATTTATGGTGAGTTGACAAATACCAACTACTGCTTTTCTTCAGATGGCTATAAATTTCTTATTGTCAGGGGGAAATGACACTATATTCTGTTCCACTGAGCGTCTGAGATCAGCAGGCACTGTACTGGGTAGAGAAGTGCCTATACTTCTCTACCTAAGAGGGCAGGAGGGAAACCCTACAGCTCCTTGTGAGCCTATATATTAGTATATCGGCCTGGAGAGGACAAGGGAATAAGACCACTCATAGTGAGGCTGGCCAAACTGCACTGGTTGGACCAGGCAGTGGCTGACCTAAGGAAGACAACTTGCTTTGCTTAAAAGTAGATTTTTTAAGCAATGCTTAACACAGGCAGTATTAACTTCACCTTTCGTTCAGGCCATCAACATGTATTGTTAAAATTACTGCACATCCCCCTCAGATATCGAGTATACACTGTTCATGTTGGGGTGTGTGTGTGTGTGTGTGTGTGTATGTATGTACGCACGCATGTGTCCCAAATCTTGTTTTAATTTTTTTTTTCTGAATGTGATCATGTTTTGGGTGATACCTGAGCAAGGTTGCCTTTTTTTTATTACCATTGTATATTATATTATATTATATTATATTATATTATATTATATTATATTATATATTTTTTGCTTTCTTATAACTTTGGAGGAAAGTCAAATCTTGGTATTATTAAAATTGTTTTAAAAAGGAGTAAATTTTCCAGTTGATAAATGAAAATCAATGGTCTAGCTTTAAAATAATGAGTTTTTCTTTAATTACTGTGGAATAACGTGCCAGCTATCATCAACACAATGATTTTGTACATAGGGTAGGGAAGCAGTGATGCTCTCAATGGGAAGATGTGCAACACAAATTAAGGGGAACTCCATGTATTTTACCTGCTTCAGCAATGGAACTGCAACTTGGGGCTTTGTGAATAAAGTGTAGCTGCCTTGTATAGTCGTTTGAAAGAGAATATGTGATCTGTGAGAGAATTATAGTTGTTTTAGAAGAAAAATCTGCAAAAGATCTTTCCAAAGACAATGTGCCACAGATCTTTTGTTCTCTGTAATAAGGATTAATTGCCGTTTAAACAAAAATGTAATTGTTCATCTTTAAATTCTTTCCTTTTCATAAGAGGATCAAGCTGTAAAAAAACAAAATAATTAATAAAAATGTCGAGAAATCAAAAAAAAAGAATAATGGCTACGGCTAACACAACATTTCTGCTTTAGTCAATAAATTCTAATTCCTACTCTACCAACTCATTTTACAATCAGCTGCTGCTGAGAGAACTCATTATGTGATAAGGGTGTCCCTGCTCTTCTGTGCCAGGTTTTCCTTTGGTAAAAGTGTTAATAAGTAGTAAATGCCCCAAAATGTGAATAATATTTTGATTTTTAAAGTGGACACATATACTTAATGCCACTGAACTGTACACTTTAAAATGATTAAAATGGGGCCAGGCACAATGGCTTATGCCTGTAATCCCAGCACTTCGGAAGGCTGAGGCAAGCAGATCCCCTGAGCCCAGAAGTTTGAGGCTGCAGTGAGCTATGATCATGCCACTGCACTCCAGCCTGGGTGACAGAACAAGACCCTGTCTCTTTAAAAAATAAAAAATTTAAAAAAAATTTAAAAAGGTTAAAATGGTAAATTTTATGTTAACATACAGTGTATTTTACCACAATAAAAAAAAAGTAACACAAAGTCTGAATCACATTAAGAGAGCACCTGTAAGCATGCCAGCCTTCTAAGAGAGTAGGAAGGGGCATGGTTAATAAAACCGTGTCGGTCAGCAAAGTAGAGCAGGTAGGAATGGGAAGCTGAGAATTATATCATCTGCACCCAAAGCACAGAAGCCTCTTCTGATAACTTATCAAGTAAAGACTGTAAATGCCTTTATGCTAAGAATGATACTCAGTATGAACTTATCTGTAAAACACTAGTCATGTTGCCCTCGTGGATTTTACAAGGTTGCATCTTTTTGCTGATTAAATCATTTCTCTACAGGCACTATTTATCTACTGTTTCTGACTGAGAAGGTCAAGGCCTGGGGTGGAGGGCCAGACTCCAGATGTTGTGGCTCACACTGTCAGAACCAAATCACTCTTTCCACATAGATGGTCTCTCAACAACAGCACGTGATTGGAAAAGAGAATAGCTCCATCCCAGGAAAAGCCTTCTGTTCTGTGTTTGCCTTAAGTGTATGATGTTATGTTTAGCCCTCAGTGCAAAGTAGTAACAAACTTCATTGATTATACATTTGCTGTATGCAAAGCATACTACTCAGTCTTGGGGCTATGGCAGTACAAAAAAATATACTCCTACCATCACCAGGCTTAAAGTCTGGATGGGTTGACAAAACATGTTTCTAATTAGTAATGGTTAGCCTGAGGAGATTACCAGTGAAGATTAATTACAAGGGTTTTTCTTGGAGTGCCAAAACTGTTTCCCTCAGTTAATATTTCAACTACTTGTCATCTATTTTGCAATATAATTTTGATTTAAAATTCAAATTCCAACAACAGTAACAACATTTTTTAAATAATTAGATCTCTTTTTAATTTAGTGAGCCTGATTTTCTTTTGAACATGCAACAAAATGTGAGTCAGATTTGTTTTCCCTGCCTGGGATGATGCTGTGGAGTTCATTCCCAGCCCCATCCTTAACATCCTTCCCTGCCTGGGATGATACTGGGAGTTCATTCCCAGCCCCATCCTTAACATCCTTCCCTGCCTGGGATGATACTGGGAGTTCATTCCCAGCCCCATCCTTAACAGCAGAGCAGCACTCCAACTCTGCTAATGATTTGGGACTTTATTTATGACCTGGGTAAGTCTCCTAACACCGCATTACATCTGCACGATAAGTTCCCAGAGGAAGCTTCTGTGGGTGGAGTTGGCTACACTACTGTATACCTGATGAAATAAAAATAACACACACAGAAAACACTATGTACTTCTCCTAAGTGCTTTTTCTTTTTTAATCCTCGCTAGGTGCTATTATTAACCCCATTTTATGGATGAGGAAACTAAGGCATGAAGAGTTTACATGATTTGTTCAGGATCTCACAGCTGGAAAGTAGTGAAACCAGATTTGAACACAATTTGAGTTCTTCCTATCAGCCTGTCCCAGATATCAGCCTAAGGGACACTGATATGTCCCAGCACCAAATATATATCTGAAATTAAATCACAGGATTTGCTTTCTTTGGTTGTAACAATGCTGAAGAAGAGAATTTAAGAAAACATCTGCAATCCTCATTTCCCCCTCTCTGACGATAAGACTCTGACTGCCCTCCCCTGGGGAGTGTTGAAGCATGTTCTTCCTCTTTTTGCCATTCCTTGTTCCACAGAAAACAAGAGCAACAAAATATCTTGGAGGGTTCCTTTATCTTCCTTCCCTCAATCTATGGTATTTATCTAATCTCCTGGCAGTTTACATTTCATGAACATATTTTCATAGCTGGATCACCGCGAAATGCAAAAAGAAAATTTAATTCATGAGGACCAGTAATGCATGCTATACAAATATATCATAAATGTGTATCCCTAGCTACAGCCCCATCACATTTCAGTTGGCTCAAGGATTTTATTTGATTAAAGAAAGTTAATTCAGAAAGTACTTTTCTTTCTTAAAAGTGCTTTACTCCCCCAGGTTACATTTTTGTAAGCATTCTCTTTCTCAGATCTATAATATAAGAAGATTTTTAAAGCACATTTTCTGTGCTATGTCTTCTTGGTAATGCTTTGATTTCCTATAGTTGTTCCTATGGGAAACTCCTATAGGAGTTAATTAAAATTATCCATTAGAAATGTAGGAAAACTTTCATAGGACCATCAGCATAGGCATTCTAGTTCTAGGGAGTTACATTATATTTCTCTAGCTCTCCTAACAGTAGCCTATTTTTATTTCTTCATGTCAGTTGACATTGCTAGTTACAAATGCAGTGGAACTGGATCATAACCTATAGATTCTGCTCTGATAGAAACCAAAGCATAACTATAGAAAAAGTTTCATGTAATATTTCCCAATTGTCAGTCTGTTCACTAGCCCCAACTTTTCAGCACGTCAATCTATAAATCTCAACATTTATTCATCACTTGACAGGTACTGATCAATAGTGTCTTAAGCACTATTCAAAGCAATACATTTGAAATGTCAACATATATGTGGTAAGCATCAGTCCCTAATAGCCAGTTCTTCTCCACTTCTAGCCACTGGCAGGACTACATGTTCCACTCTTCTGAAGCTAGGGCTGGCCTTCTTGCTGATTTGGCTAATAGAATATGAGTGAAAGTGACGTGTCACTTCTGAAGGAAACTATTTAACTTCCAGTGATGGATTCACCAGCCTTCTCTTTGCCTATTCAGTGATTACAGGAGCATATCTTGATATGGGAATACCATGATATCAAGCAGCTAAGAATGCTGAACTGGGAAAACTGCTGCCCTAGAAGGCCCCTCTCCTCAACAGAAAACTTTGCATTAGTGAGAGACAAACTTTAGTTGTTTGGTGGTGATTATAATACAGTACTGTGTGTGATCCATGATTTGCATCATACTGAAGCCCAGAGCCATAGGTACAATTTCTGAGTAAACTAGTCAACTTGCTCTATAAATAGCCAAACATCATTTTAACCCTACTGCACTAAAAAAAATGAGTACTAATGTGTGCTTCTAAGGAGAATTGGGAAAGATGATTTGCATAAATCAGTATACATTTTCTTTATTTCTATAAAAGCAAGTAATGGCATATATCTTAGTGATCAATGTTCACAGGACCATCCTTGTGCATAAAGGATAGCCCTGTATATCTTGTAAATCAAAAATCTATTTGAGCTAAATTAATTCTGGAAAACTATAGATAGACACAACATAAAAATCAGTTTCCAGCTATTTCATGCCAACATAAAGATCCTTATTAGAGGACTTGTAAGCACACACTCTGTGAACAAAAGGAACACCACACCTCTGACAGTGTCAGAATAGATCTGACACTGTCCCCTTCCAAAGCTACACTTAACAGTGAACACCTTCATCCCCCAGACTACGTTGCCTCAACTTCCCCACACCTTCCCTGTCAATCACCCTCATGGAAGGCAGAATTGGGCCTTCCAAGCATGTTCTCCAGGAACCAGAAAATTCTGCTTCCCAAAGTACATTCTCTGCACAAAGCGATATTTGAAATACATGGATGGGAAAAATTGATTCAGAAAAGTAAGAGCTAACCCTTCCCAAATTCTAACCATGTCATTTTTGAGGTTAAGAGAACAGCTCTTTTTTTCCTTGCAAATCTAAAATTCCTCTTTTCAAATAAGTTGATACAGGAAATATCATACTGAAAAGTAGAAGAAAAACAGTTTCTGAGTTCTGGCCAATCTACCCAAGTGTCAGAGGTATTATAATCAAACTTGCATATTGGCAGAAATCTGGACAGTAAGATGCTCACCCAGAGCCATCCTGATCACGATGCATAATTCAGCCACTGTGCAAGCAGCACCACCTGAGAACGGGAGGAAACTAGAGAGGAGCCATCAATAACACGCATCCACTCCCGAAACTGAATATGACTTGAATAGTATATTCAAAGGTAACTTATTAGAGCTTAGATCTCCATTTTGACATGTGGAAAGTTGTTATAAATAGTATGTGCCATGTTACTGCATTTTTATGCTGCTTCATGTATGTTTATTTTCTTAAGTTAAAGAATATAACTTTTTTGTGTGGATCCAAGCAGTGACATTAGAGATTTCCACTTTTCTCTTGATAACTTTCTGTCTTGTCTGAAATTTTTACATGGAGTTGTATAACTTTTATACACAAAAAGAAGCATTTGGGGTGGGGGAAGCAAGCTGTGAGTGAAAAGCTTCATATGAACTCAGTTTAATTTTCAATTCATTCCTGTTGATTTGGGAAACACAATATGACTATCAGCATATTTCTTAGCTGTTTTTTGGGGAAATGCAATTGTTCAAGATCCATCATTCATCTGGTAGGTCATGAGAATTTCCCAAGTATCTACTACAATTTAGGGTTTTTAAGATGGAATGCAATTCTCTGAAAGTAAATTTATAAACTGAACAGAGTATAATCTCCCTTTGTTCATTTAAGCTGGTCTTATGGGAGGGCAAGGAACAAATTTCTCAAGATCTTTTCCAGAATTTTTCTCTAGTAGTCTGCTTTCTAATAAAGCTTATTCTATCACAATTCAAAAAGCAACTGAAGTCCTCAGACATGACCAGCAAATGAATTGTTAGCCTTTGCTTGGTTACTCCTTTACTGAGCAACACCGATTATTTCACTGTATGAGGATCTTCATAAGCCTTCACCCTTTATCCAAGTATACTGGGAATAAGGCTTTACTCTCAGAAATATGTACCTTTTTTACGTTTAAGCTAAATGCAGACAAGCAGAAATTTTACTTTTACCTGCAAATACTAAGAAAAATCCCTCAAAGGCGTAGATCTTTTTTATTACCCTCATAGCTCATGGTAGAGGCCCAACAGTCTTTTGACTGGATGAATGAAATTAAACCCCAAGGAACTTGGGGAATTCCATCTTTAAGGTTTCAGGTTCCTAATTATATCATCTATGGTTACAGAGAAGAGCAGAGCTGAATATTGTCCTGCCTGTGGTGATATGGTGACATCCCATGAAAATCATTCCAGTGACTACCTATGGAATCATTCAGACACCATGGGAATATCCTGGGGAATAATGTACCCTTTCCCAAAAAAATTCAAAATGCAAGGAATCTGATTTTGAAGCTGGGTACAAGCAAGAGTGACTCCCTCCTTCTTCTTCCCTACCCCATCCCTACTATCCCTAATTCCTCTGAATGGAACAATAACTAGCATAACAAGCAAAGGGTTTCAACTTATTAATACCAATGGAAAGGAATGAAAGACAGGTTTTCAGTATGTGTTCCAGACAAGAATTGATAACAGAAAAACCTCAGATAATCTTGCTCATCTTCAAACTCTAGACAAACTGGGACATAAAGAATAATAACAAATCAACTATACTCACAAAAGCACTCTCTTATTTTCTTCCAGAGCAGAACTTAATCATGAATTTCTTTAATTCATTAAGATTTCCAGGAAACTAAGGGAAAACAGCAAAACTCTGGACAACATAGCTAAGATGATCACTAGACATTTCACAGACTACCAAGGAACCAAATCCACCAGGAACCAAATTTAACATTTGGAAATATTATTTCTATATAGCATGTCACTCCCCATTGTACCTCCAGAGATTTACAAAGTATTCGGAAATATTAGGCCTACTAATGAAACTTTGTTGGTAGTGCCAATGAATTCAGTCAGAGTGCTAAATCTGCATATGCTGGATACTATGGTTTGAAATTACAGATTACACACTTAGCTCTAAATCAGCCAAAAACACACGCTTTTCTGATTAACAGATTTAATTGTGTTGCTGTGAATCCTGTGACTTACTAAAGCTGAGTATATGTCATAAAAGGATAAACTGCTTTAATGATTCTGACAAATGTCTCAGTTTAAGCAGCATAAAAACCTATCGTTATAGAGAAAGACCCAAACAGACACACACACGCAGGGTATGGAAAAGTTTTCCTAAAAGTCACTTCAGTAAGAATGACAAAGGGCTTTTTATTCTGTGATTTGTCTCTGGAAAGATCATACGTGTGTGCAGGAACTCAGATTCCATCTGTTGCTTTAGAGCCTACAGGCTTTATTGTATTGACTTTGTGCTCTTATCTGATGGCAATAAATTCTCACCAGAGTGAAACACCAGCTTAGCCAGTGTTTGAACCTGCTGTTCAAATCAGACAATGGAACGGGTCTTTTTGGAGACACTCTGTGGCTTGTGGACCACCCTGCGTGAATGGCCTTGGGTTTTTGCTGTTTCCATTCAGGATTTTCTAATGTGAGCAATTAAGAGATACTTCATTTCAAGGGTCTCATCAGCAGTTGCAACACATCAGTGAGCAATAACCTACTAGGACCCCAAAAAGAGACAGGGAAAGTTGGGAAGAAAGGGACAGGGGAGAGAAAAGAAGTGCCAATAAATATTTCTGTATTTAAGATTGTAACATAGATGTACACCGGTAACATCAATCTCAAATTTTGGAATGCAAAGACTAAAGAATTTCTACTGGTCCAGCAAATTTGAGACCTTATGCTATAAATAAAAGGCTAGAGTAAGGACGTGTGCACTAAACAGAAATGGAATTTCCTCCCCACAAGTCGAGCTCGCCGAACTGCCCTCGAGGATTTTTGTGTGTGTGGTTTTTTTTGTTTTTTTTTTTTTTTTTGGTTGTTGTTTTTTAATCAGAAGCAGCCCAGAGATACAAAAAAGACATGCCATGCCTTCGCCCCATTCATTCTCCCAAAATTTCTAGGGCTATTTTCTTATTGAAGGAACAACAGAAGAAACAGAAACTGGTCTCTGCCAAGGCACCAACCCACGGCCAGCCTCCATGATATGCCTCTATCTTCCTGAGAGAAGCATAGTACAAAATAGCGTTCAGTCTATTCCCAGTCAGCTGTGGACTAAAACACTCATGGGGTGGGGAAGAACAAGAAAATGTTCTGTTGCAGAAGATTATCCTTGTAGGTGTACTTGTTTTTATCATTTTGGAGTTTGGACTGTTTTTTAGTCATTTTCTACTGAGCTTCAAAACTTCGCTGTACTTGGTTGGGGCAAAGAGGTCTCGGGAACGTGGGGTTCACACTGGCTTTGAACCCACAGACCAGATTGCTTACACAGACCTGGGCAATTACAGTTCTCTCCAGGACAGAATCCCTCAGGGCGAGAAGGGGTAGGCCCCAGACTGGCTCCTGCTTTGCCCCCAAGGAACCGCCTTCTGCGTCTCCGCCGCGCCCTTCCTCCTCCAGCGCGCCCCTTCAGGCAAGAAGGGGGCGCTGAGCTCCGCGTTGGCCTCGGCCTCCCTGGACCCTTCGTTTGCTTTCCGAGCACCCATCTGGGGCCCAGACCCTTGAAATATTTAAGGAGATACGCGCAAGAGCTCGGGGTAGGAGTTGGCAAACTGTTTGTTCTCAGACTAGACTCTTCCTAAGATGAGGGGCAAAGGCTCTCCAGACGCAGACTCTGGTCTCGTTCTCGGAAATCCGCGTCTGAACCGATGGGGTCCGAGGAGCAGAAGCGTACACGGAGGTGCACGGCCGCGGGCACAGGTCCCCCCGCGTGGCAAGAGGAAGCGGCCCAGCCAGCTGCAGGGGCGTCCTCGTTGTGGGGCCGGGTAGAGGGAGGGCCAAAGGCGAAGGAATGAGGTCATCCCCCCACCCCTCGAAAAAACCTTCCTAAAAGTAAAAATGTAAGGGATCTCAGCGTAAAGGAACCTGACTTGCAACCTCAAAGGGACAATCTCTGTTTTGGGAAATGGCGCCCCCAGATGGCTGAATCCCATGAAAAAATACTCACCCGGAGCAGGGAAGGCCTGGGTGCACGGACCCGGGGAGAGGTGACGTCACCCGCCCGGCTGGCCAGCGCACGGCTGAAAGCCAGGCGGCAACGCGGTTGGAGACACCCGACAAGTCGCGACAGGTCCCCAAGGCTAGCCCGGTAGTCACTTCACCTCACCGAGGCACATGTAACGTCAGCAGCTGTACCACTTACGGTGTGGCCCGGTTCGTTACTTAACCTCTCCATGCCTCAGTTTCCCAGTGACTGCTTGTGTGCAAAATGATCATCCGGGAGCCGGTGCTGGATTGTGTGAATTAAGGAACTAGCATTTTACACGCATCGTTCTTCTCGCTTTCACTCCTCAGAAATAAGGGTCCATCCGCTTTGATTTTACTACTTGAGAGTGGGGGTGGGAGGCTCGCTTTTCCCAGCTCTTCGCGGAGGCCAAGCGGACTCCCTGACAGGACAGAATCTGAACGTGAGAGTGAAGGTCTTGCCTGTCCAGAAACTCTTGTAGCCAGCACAGGTTTAAACAAGAAGCCAAATTGTTCTGGAGAGATTGCTGGGGGCTTTCTTTGTGCCTCAAGCTTCTTCAGTGCCCTGAGCACAGGAAACACTCAAGCAGAGAAGCAGAGCCAAACCCAGGATACGGGAGGTCGAGGCTCTTCCGTAGACCTGCAGCATTGGGGTGGGATGATGTTCATTCTGTGTGTGTTCTGGACCAAGCCCCTCTCCAGGGACCTATGGGCAGCCCCCTTTAAGCAAGATGCCCGGTGGAGTGGGCATCCACCATCACTTACCCTGGGCTTGGGTGAATAGATTTTCCGTGCCTTAAATGGGCAGGGAGGGGGTAAACATGGACGGTCCATTGGTACAAATAAAAGCCTTTGGTGGGTTTTGATCAATTGCAAGGATCGAAGGAGACCTGTGGACCTGAGGTCAACTGGCAGCAGAGAAGAGTCTGGGTTCGTGAAGGCGCCGCCGCGGTGCCGCGCCACGTGTGAGCATCCCAGGGACCAGTCTGGGGAGGCGCGCTGGGATGGGCACCCAGTGTCCCATCCCTGCGCTGCTCATATGGGCAGAGCTCCGTGCCCGCGTCCCAGCCTCCGCGGGAGGTTATTGCCCTGTTCCCCAGTGATCAATTGGACCGGTCTTAGCCCAAAAGCAGAAGGGAGTGGGGAGAGCGACTTGAGGTGGGAAAGGCAGCAGCAGCGAGTGCAGGGTCGGGACCAGACTAAGTGGCGTGGGTTCCGGGAGGAGCAGCGATGGGCCGCAGGGGACGCCGCGGGCCGGGCAAACAAGCTGGCCAGAGGTGGACACTGCGCACGGCAGGGATGGAGACTCAGGCGCGACTCCCAGCACCTCCTGGCGGCAAGCCGGGCAGCGAGGGCTCCCAAAACAATGCAGCCGGCGCGCGGAGCGCGGGGGCCGCCAGCCACTTCCGGGCGTGCGGCAGCGCGGGGCTCAAACCAGCCAGACCAGCTTCGGGCTCCTTGAACTCCCAACAAGGGGCTCTGCGGGGAGGAGGCGACCCCAGCGGAGGGCGTTGGGGATTTAGGGGTTGGCCGGGGCCGGCGGGGGGTTGGGGGGGCGTGAAAGCGAGAGGGCCCTTATCCCACTCCCAGGCCCAAGTCGTAGCATCTCTCAGAGCTCACGCTCTTTATTAGCTCTTTCTTTTGGTGTGCTTCTGTTTCCTTTGTGGTTTCATTGCAAAGTAGTTTATGTTGGGAAGGGGGCTTTTAGGCCTCTTGGTGCTTTCGTTAGAGACGAAAAGGCCCTGAACCAATTTGGGGAAAGAGAGGCCTTTTGCAGCTACCCCGGGCCCTTCCCCAGCAGAGCACCCGGAAGCTGGGCTCTTAGGGACGCAGATTCTTGGAGTTCAGAATGTGCATTCTCTCCAGATGACGATTTTCCTGGCGTGTTTACGGTCAGCAGATAACACTGAGTGGGCTTTTGCCACCCATTCATTCATTACCCGGCTCCTCTAAGCAGCTGGACCGCAAAGTGTGCCTGATAACTTGGGCCTGGGAGCCGCCAAGGCCAACGCATCTTCCGGAAGGAGGGAAATTAGGAAGCCGGGGTCTGAGCCTGTGAATGACTCTTAAGTGGTCGGGAAGTAATAACAATGCGCCCACCTTACATATGAAAGAACTTCGCCCTCCGGGGATTATCTCTTTGGATCTTCACAGCCACCCGGAGACAGCGGCTGAGGAGAGCGAAGGCCTCCTGTCCCCATAGGGAGACTAGGGACAATTAGGCAAAAGGAGCCCACCCCCCAACCCAGAACTTACTGTTTGCAGTCAGAGACACTAGATCCCAGGCTCCACGAGAGCAGAGGCCGGCCTGTTTGTTCATTTCTGCACATCCAGCGCCCAGCATGGTGCCCCCTGGTACGTAGGGGATGAATGAGCTAATTCTAGCCCTCGTGGATCTCTAGGCAGGACTCCTTCCTCTACCTCGCTCCCTCCCAGCCTGCCCATCTTTTGTGCCCGTCTTTTGTGCCGGCCACCAGTCTTTACAAACAGTGCCCTGGGGGCCCATACTCCAGCTTTCCAGAGCGCACAGCTGCAAGGGCGGCTGTGTGTTAGAGCCCGTGATGCCTTCGAGTATTGAGTCATGCCATTCATTTAAGAAGGAAAAATCTCTCCAAAACGGGGAAATGGTGGGCAGTCCTGTGTGACTGGTGAGACTCTTGTAGGGGCGTTTCTACAACGACGAAACCCTTCCTAGGCACTCACTCCAACAGAATAACAAGCCCATTTTATTAGTATTTCGTTTTCCATGTAAAGTTCTGCTCATACGAATATATTTATAATTCTGATTTTTTTACGGCATTGGGGAGCACACCGACAGGCTGCTGAACGGTGGCTGGAGATTCGAGGGAAAACGAAGTTCGCCGAGGCGGCCTCGGGCGGGCAGGTCCCGGGCTCCATCACAGGGCACACGCGGCTACCAGGGACGCAGCCCCCCAACACACACACACACACACACACACACACACACACACACACACACACCCTCTCCCACTCATGCCTGGCAACCCAGCAGAAACTTCGGACTGGGGCAAAACAAGCCCGGGCCCCGGCGGCACGCGGGGCTAGGCGCGTTCCCGCCAGTACCTGGTCGCGAGGCCGCTCGCGGGGTGCCCTGCGTGCCCCCCACTCCCGCAGCCCGCGCCCTGCTCGCTCACTGTGGGGGCGCAGCGGCCAGGCTTCTCTGTTTGTTGTTTAAAGAAATCCTAGGGCGGGCGAGCGGCGGCATCTAGGGGAGGGGGCGCAGCCAGAATTCCCTTCCAGCAAGCGCGTGAGGGGCATTCTCAACGCAAAACCAGACCCAGAAAGTAGTGACCAGCCCTCCTCGGATTACCCTTCATTGGCTCCTCCCTTGCTCCCCCCACCCTCCAGATTTGCATAAAAAAGGCCAAGAAAACTCTGGCTGTGCCCCAGCAACGGCTCATTCTGCTCCCCCGGGTCGGAGCCCCCCGGAGCTGCGCGCGGGCTTGCAGCGCCTCGCCCGCGCTGTCCTCCCGGTGTCCCGCTTCTCCGCGCCCCAGCCGCCGGCTGCCAGCTTTTCGGGGCCCCGAGTCGCACCCAGCGAAGAGAGCGGGCCCGGGACAAGCTCGAACTCCGGCCGCCTCGCCCTTCCCCGGCTCCGCTCCCTCTGCCCCCTCGGGGTCGCGCGCCCACGATGCTGCAGGGCCCTGGCTCGCTGCTGCTGCTCTTCCTCGCCTCGCACTGCTGCCTGGGCTCGGCGCGCGGGCTCTTCCTCTTTGGCCAGCCCGACTTCTCCTACAAGCGCAGCAATTGCAAGCCCATCCCTGCCAACCTGCAGCTGTGCCACGGCATCGAATACCAGAACATGCGGCTGCCCAACCTGCTGGGCCACGAGACCATGAAGGAGGTGCTGGAGCAGGCCGGCGCTTGGATCCCGCTGGTCATGAAGCAGTGCCACCCGGACACCAAGAAGTTCCTGTGCTCGCTCTTCGCCCCCGTCTGCCTCGATGACCTAGACGAGACCATCCAGCCATGCCACTCGCTCTGCGTGCAGGTGAAGGACCGCTGCGCCCCGGTCATGTCCGCCTTCGGCTTCCCCTGGCCCGACATGCTTGAGTGCGACCGTTTCCCCCAGGACAACGACCTTTGCATCCCCCTCGCTAGCAGCGACCACCTCCTGCCAGCCACCGAGGAAGGTAAGCCTTCCCTCTTGCTTCCCCACTCCCTGCTGGGCTGAGACGCTCCCAGGAGATCCCGCCCCTGCCACGCATCCCAGTGCATCCCTGCTTGGGGTGCCAGTAGCGGGAAGGGCAGAAGTTCTGCCTGACCTGGTCTGTCATCACAACAAGCCTGTATCAAATTTGAGGCACCCCTCCCACGCCGCCCAAGTCTCGCGCATTCTCCTCCCGAGTTGTACCAGCTATACTTAAGGGCAGTTTAAAAATAAAACAAACAAACAAAAACAACAAAACTAAAAAAACGAAGAACTGAACGGCGGTTTAAAAAAAAATAGATACACGATTATTGTTAAAGATGCTAGCACTGGAGCTGCGCAGAGCGTTGGAAGTGGTGTTTGGTGGAGGAGTTTGTGGTGAGCATTCTGGCCAGAGGCCCCTCGCTCAGCCTCATTCTGCACCTTCCTACCACTGGGCAGGATTCTAGTCACAGGAACATTTCCTGTACAGAAAGGAAAACCAGGATGCACAAGTAGATAACCTTTTAAGGGTCTTTTTGTCCTTTGTCAATTTAGATTTTGGAAATAAAACCGGGACTGGCACGGAGTGTGTGGAAAATTGAACATTGGTTGTAACTGCTCAGATACTTGAGGAAGAGGGCATAAAGGGAATCTCTGGAAATCACTTTTCTATTGCTATCAGTTTTTAACTTAGGAGTGGTTTTGATTAGCTGGAGAAAATCATGCAAAAGAGATTCCCAAGTTTTTAGAAAACGGAGGGAGAGTTCCTGTGCAAAAACCATCAAAGCAATGAAAACCTCATGGGCTCTCAATATTTTTTCTGAAAGGAAAACATATACAATGCCTCTGAGCTGATTTGGGTCCCCTGGGTTGGAAAAGGGAGCTTCCTAATCCCTTTCAGGGCTTCAGCAGCCTCTCCCTTTCAATCTCTAGTAGTTTTCCTACAGACATCATTAGTTAAAGCAAATGCAAAGTTCTTTAGCAATCTTTCCTGGCAGGGACCATGAGTTTGCAATCATCTTATTGGTTAGATTTCTAATTTATTGCAAATGTTTGGCATTTTTCAAACATTTGTCCAACATGTACCATAGACCAACCAATACAGGTTAGTAATATTTTATATACATCCTGAGAGCTCCTAATTGGAAATGTTTGATTTTGTTTGGGTGAGGGGACTTAAGGGCAGTTTTATGTATGTTGCTTTTATTTCTTCCCACTATCAGCAGCAACATTACGCATCTTACATTTCTCCAAAAAGCCACTTTTCTCCTTCAAAATAAAAGTTTATGTTCTTCAAAATTCCAGCTTTGTGATTTTTCTAATTTGATAAATAACGCTTCTATTAAGTCACATAGTTTTCTATGAACATTAAATTTCACATTAGTGAAAATCTCATTTCACCTAAATTTTAAAGACATAATTAACACATTTATAAATGAGAGAAGGGCAATATAATTGTTCTTTTTTTTTTTTTTTTACTTCTCCCAAGAAATCAAACTCTTAGAAGAGCTTTTAGCAGGTCTTCTGATAATTGTGCTAGTATACAATCCCTAAGTTTGATCAGACCACTAAACCATTTTTGCTTCGTCTTTGATTAGCTTCAGAAACAGGTTTATTTATTTGTTTGTTTTGAGAGTTTGAAACAGGCACAGAAGGGCAAGAAGAACCTGTACCAGGGAGCTTGCAGATAACAATGAAATGAATGCTGCCTAACTCAAGCACAATCTTGGCAGAGGCACAAGGTGACACAGAACCACTTAGAGCAGGCTGTTGTAATTAGTGAGATGTGTTTTCAAGGTGGAAACAGCCCACATGTGGAACGCTAGCCAGTCACCCCTCCCAGTCCAGACTTGGCCCCCCTGAGATACAGAGCTCTGCCGAGTAGAGCCAACTACACTGGTGTCCTGTGGCTGAGAAAGACAATCTTTTGTCTATATTTTCTAGTTACCAGTTTTCCCAAATTCCTCAAGTATCTTTGGTTCTTTGGGTGCTTTCTCCTTCAAAAGGCCTTGGGAATAACTTTTTCAGACTGAATTTCCCAGAGGTTGGGAGGATGAGCTGAAAAGCTGCACCCTGTCTCAGTTAACTATAACTACATACACTTGTATACTCTGCCCACAACTCCCTTTTGAGAGTCATAATTTATTAAACACAACAACATATAGGCATTCTCATTTTGCTCCCACCACCCCTCCCCCCCAAAAAAATTGGGAAGCATGGGAAAACTTTCTTAGGATTGAGTGTTCCTGCTTTTATAGAGGAGGCAGAAGCTGAGGTTAAATAGGACAATTGCTACTTTTGTCTGGATAAGTCCCTTTGAGTTGTTTACAAACGCCACCTACTGTTCTCTTTTAAGCAAACTTACTAAAGACTGTTTTTCACATTTCTAGCTCCAAAGGTATGTGAAGCCTGCAAAAATAAAAATGATGATGACAACGACATAATGGAAACGCTTTGTAAAAATGATTTTGGTAAGTAATACAACAACAACAACAGATTTCACATTCAGAAGTTTTATTTACCAGTAAAACTTCAAGGTGCAAATCATTATGATGTTGCTAGATAAAGGTTGGGTAAAACACCATTATAGCTCATGTATCCCAAAATCATCTAACTTGATCTATCCTAGTTTCCTCCTTATGTAACTGTCTAGCATTGAGTTGTATCTTGTTAGGTGAGACTCATTGTTCTGTTAAGCCAATAATCAAATAATGAAAATTATTCAGATTATCAATTTCCAGTGGCACATTTTAAATCCCTTTTTTTTTTTTTTTTTTTTTGCCGACAGGCATAATCCCGAGTTCTATTTTCTTTTGATTACTTAACATGTGCACCAGGGATGGAAGTGTAAATATTAGCCCCAGCCAAACAGATTCAAGGCTTTAAATTGGCCACAAATAAAAATATTTTTACTTTCTTTATAACCCATAATGATTTTAAACCTCTGTGTTCTACCATTAGTGAATATATCCAAGGCACTGATTAATAATTTGTCAAGGAGGGGTTCCTTAAGTTGAAAAAGAAGAGTGGCTTACTGAGAAGACACCTAACATGGAACACCTAACAACCTTAAAACACCATCTTAAAATCCCTTTTAAAAGGTTTTTGTAAATTTTGTATGACTAAGTCTAGACACATTTGCCACAGTTTCGAAAATAGTTTTAAAAAGGAAAAAAAAAGCTTAGAAATTTACTTTAGCAAGATACATGATAGATCACATGGTGTTTGGGGACAATAAAAAACACATGTGATATGTTCCATAAGTTGCAAGTCACTCCCCTGAAGACAGGATTATAAGGGGAAAGAGAGCTGGGGCTTTGTCTACATGGAACTCTACCAGCACCTCATCTGCTGACTTCAGGGCTCTCAGGTCAGAAGAGGAGCCCAGCTAGACACAGGATCAATGCTAAATTCAGAGTTGGGAATGACCAGGAACTTCACCCAGAGGCATTCTTGCTTTTATCCTTTTCCAAGGGCAGGTACCTTTTGGTGTGTTGGAATTATTGGTACCTTTTAAAAAAGTATTTATTCAGGCACAAGGCTGAACTTACTCATAAGCAGATATGTTCCCTGCTCTGTCAATCAATAATGGAGTCTAATAGACCCATATTAACACTTCTACATATTCAACATAGTCCTCGAGACTGAGGGAAATCACTCCAGCTCTCACTCTCCTTACCTTGCCATCCCAGAAATCTCAGGCCTGGTCAGGTCCCTAAAACTCTGGAACCATCCAATCCCTGCTCTTTGACAACTCCAGGTCTCTTCCAGAAAGTGTCCTGGGTTTAACTCTGACTGGTCCCAGAACTACCATAGTCCCGGTGTTGGGAAAGGCTTCACACTGCTGAGGAAAGAGAAAGAAGGGAGGTAGCTCAAAGTCCTTAGCAACTTTTCCCCTCAGGAGGAGCCACAAATGGGGCTGACGGGGTTTCATATGCCTGTTTTCAAATGTATACAACCCTCAAACTGGCTAAGAGCCAGGCATGTTAGCAGCAGATAATTCCAAATCACCAGAGCCTTACCAAAACACAGTTCTCAGCCCCCATGCTACATCACTTCATTAAGGGCAAGATAGAAAAATATCATTTTATAAAATTTCTATTAAAAAGCCTATAAAATATCATGTTCTTCTGGCAGTTTATATCCTTTGCACTGCACATAAAACAGATCCTTCCTGACTTCCATGAAAAGTTGATTGTTACACTGTGGAGCTCCATAACAATTGGCTTTGGGAAACATGCACACACACCTATTACTTGCTTGCTTTGTGGCTGACCTTACAGAAGACCCCCTTTCTAAGGATGCCCTATCAAGACATGAGCCAAAACATGGATGCCTGTGTGCCTTAGTGTGCTCCCTCCTTACAGAGAGAAAGCCTTTCAAAACAACACAGAAGTTATCACACTTAAGGTATCACATGCATAGATACCTCACAAGCTTTGTTTTCTATTTCTTCACTCTTTTTGACCCATAGAGGGATAATGAAGCAGAATTTTAAGAACTGCATCATAAGATTATTGGTTTATAAGCACTATTCCATCTTGCCTCTGTTCTTTGTGAATAATGGAAAAGTAGGAGGAACAAGCATAGAAATCTGATTTATTTGACTTGACTACTCTGGGAAGGCATCACCTCTTCCCTACTGTGCTCCTGAAGTACAAGGGAAATTCAGTGGTGCAAGTACTGGTGAATAAAAAATGGTTCAGAACTACCTTCCTATATATACAACCTATTGTAGGACCAGAAAGTATCATCACCTCTGCCTGCGATCACATCCTGCATCCTCAGTCACATCCTCCAGGACAGGAAAGGTTATGTGGGGGATTCAATTCTCTCTGTTTGGGCCTAGCTGAAAATCCAGGGAGAAAATCCCTAATGTTTTCTCATGATAAACATTTGCAAAATTAGTTATTTTAGAGCTAGACAAAGATGACTAAAAAATCTTCCTCCTGGTTAAAAGTGATGGTTTTTTCTGATGTTTGGAGCTTGAGAATGTTTCATTTGGCCAGGTGAAATCTTATATATGCCCTACCTGTACTACAGACAAGGCTCCCAGGTAAAGTGTAATCAGTCCATTTCTCCCACCATGGTGAGGTCTATCCAACACCCTACTCCCAATGCAGAGGACACAAAAGCATGAAACATTTCCACAAGTATGGCTTATTCCACGACTTGAGTCTCAAAAACTGAGAATTCAGTACCACAGTTCAGATGCATATCATACCAGACAAAACCATGGTTGGCCAAGTCATAGCATTTTTGATTTACCTGCTAGAGATTCTATAATTTCCTGGTTGACTAGAAAGCCATACTCAGTCAAATTCCCATTCTGATATTTAAAAAAAAAAAAAAGAAAATCTCAAAAACAGTTGTACGCAACACAGAAAAATCTTCCTCTATTACTAATTTAAACATAGATTAAACTCCATCAAAGTCAGGAAGTCATACTTACACATCATCTATACAGAATAGCTGTCAGGGGCACACAGGGTCTTAGGACACATTGCAGCTGGGCAAGTTTATGCTGCAACCACTACAAAAACATGGACATTGCCTCAAGACACCACAGTGGTATTACAGGAGGAGGTTTGGCAACTGGAGTTCTAGCAAACAACCTAAACTGGGTGACCTCATGCAAGTCACTAAACTTCTCTGGATTTAAGATTCTTTGTGTATTAACAAGCAATTTTAATGGGATGATCCCTTCTAACCTTAAAATTCTATTCTTTTCCTGCTTTCATGGAGTCTTGAAATTTAATTCCAGCATACACGTTTGTAGGGCTTTCTTTCCCAGAGCATACTGTTCATGACTATAAAACGTGTCCTTTATAGTAAACCACTTACTTTTGGTCTTCGCATTCTAACGAGTCTACATATACATTTTGGAAACAGTACATATATGATCCGTAAACGCCTTGGCCTTGGACTGGCAAATGAGAGCATATAAGGATGAGGTCTTCAGAAAAACACTTTTATGACTAACCACGTTGTGCTGTTAAAAAGAGACTTGCATATTGTTTCTCCTGCTTTACCAAATCAAATGCAGCTGTAAGATCAATTCTCCTTCCCTGTAATCTGATCTTTAGAAAACAATGATTGCGTGACACAGTTTCCTTACAGGTTTGTCCAAAAACCTCTTGCATAATAAATTGAGTTTAAACTTTACGGCCACAGAGGGATCATATTTCACCTAAAAGTCAGGCATTTCTTTTCATGCTTAAGTTTCCAACAGAGGAAGTCATTTGTTGGAGAGAGCACACACCACATGCAACTTTCTTACAAACACAAGGGTGAGTGAGGAAAGGAGAAGAAAAGTTAATTGAGTCCCGCAAAGAGAGAGTTTTGAAAAAATGGCTGATTGGAAACCAAGTGCCTGGCAAATGCTTTGAGGCTTTAGCAGTGGAGCCACCTGCTGCCCCTAGCTCCCAACCCCCGATCTGCAGCCTCTGAGGGTCCCATTAGCTCTAGGAAGCCTCTCTTTCCTCATCCAGGCCAAGTCACACGAGTTGGCAGAATGGGGGGAGGTATACTGTATTCCCTCATTATAACTGGCATGACTCTTTCTGCCCTCCCTCATAGCACTGAAAATAAAAGTGAAGGAGATAACCTACATCAACCGAGATACCAAAATCATCCTGGAGACCAAGAGCAAGACCATTTACAAGCTGAACGGTGTGTCCGAAAGGGACCTGAAGAAATCGGTGCTGTGGCTCAAAGACAGCTTGCAGTGCACCTGTGAGGAGATGAACGACATCAACGCGCCCTATCTGGTCATGGGACAGAAACAGGGTGGGGAGCTGGTGATCACCTCGGTGAAGCGGTGGCAGAAGGGGCAGAGAGAGTTCAAGCGCATCTCCCGCAGCATCCGCAAGCTGCAGTGCTAGTCCCGGCATCCTGATGGCTCCGACAGGCCTGCTCCAGAGCACGGCTGACCATTTCTGCTCCGGGATCTCAGCTCCCGTTCCCCAAGCACACTCCTAGCTGCTCCAGTCTCAGCCTGGGCAGCTTCCCCCTGCCTTTTGCACGTTTGCATCCCCAGCATTTCCTGAGTTATAAGGCCACAGGAGTGGATAGCTGTTTTCACCTAAAGGAAAAGCCCACCCGAATCTTGTAGAAATATTCAAACTAATAAAATCATGAATATTTTTATGAAGTTTAAAAATAGCTCACTTTAAAGCTAGTTTTGAATAGGTGCAACTGTGACTTGGGTCTGGTTGGTTGTTGTTTGTTGTTTTGAGTCAGCTGATTTTCACTTCCCACTGAGGTTGTCATAACATGCAAATTGCTTCAATTTTCTCTGTGGCCCAAACTTGTGGGTCACAAACCCTGTTGAGATAAAGCTGGCTGTTATCTCAACATCTTCATCAGCTCCAGACTGAGACTCAGTGTCTAAGTCTTACAACAATTCATCATTTTATACCTTCAATGGGAACTTAAACTGTTACATGTATCACATTCCAGCTACAATACTTCCATTTATTAGAAGCACATTAACCATTTCTATAGCATGATTTCTTCAAGTAAAAGGCAAAAGATATAAATTTTATAATTGACTTGAGTACTTTAAGCCTTGTTTAAAACATTTCTTACTTAACTTTTGCAAATTAAACCCATTGTAGCTTACCTGTAATATACATAGTAGTTTACCTTTAAAAGTTGTAAAAATATTGCTTTAACCAACACTGTAAATATTTCAGATAAACATTATATTCTTGTATATAAACTTTACATCCTGTTTTACCTATTCTTTGTCTTCTGTCTTGTCTTCTTAGTAAAAGGAACTGGGAATGGAGCTATGTATGGGTGGTCACTTCCTTCCATGAGCCCAGCCCTCCAGCAGTTTAAAGTGATCTACTTCTCAAGTGACTCAGAAAGTGTCTCCCCCTCCACCACCATGCCCCACATCTCACAGATTTCACCACTTTCACCCTGTGGAAGCAGCGACTTGCAGCCTCTAGAAAGGGGTTGCCTTCTTTTGACCCTTCTGAGCAGTCCAGCTGCAGCTATGTGGAAACATTACCCTAAACTTAAGGTTTATGAGCTTTACAGTTGTGCTTTTCATTTCCTGAGATTTTTCATACCGAAAAAGAATCACCACTGCAAAAATGTTAATTCCTTCCCCGACTCAAATCTAACCCTCAGATAGAGAGAGCCATGATTTGGAGAGTATCCACTGGAATGCAAGGAGGAGGAAGGGGATGGTGAAAACTTGAACTAGGGTAAAAAAGGAGAGACAGACATCTGTCCATTAAATGTCTCTTAGTCCTTTCCAACTGCTATAACAAAATACCATATACTGGGTAGTTTATAAACAACAGAAATTTACTTCTGACAGTTCCAGAGGCTGCAAAGTCCAAGATCAAGGTGGCGGCAGATTTTGGTGTCTAATGAGGGCTTTCTGCTTCACAGATGGTGCCTTCTTGCTGTGTCCTCACGTGGCAGAAAGGGTGAACAAACTCCCTCTAGCCTATTTTAAAAGGGCACTAATCCTATTCATGGGGCTCAACCTTTGGTCATGTTTTGAGGAGTTAGCAGCTCTGGCATCACCCAAATGTCTGCCTCTTGTCATATATAGTCATGTTTCACTTAAAAACAGGGGAGTGTTCTGAGAAACACATTGTGAAACCATTTTGTCATTCAGTGAACATCGTAGAGTGTACACACACAGTCCTAGATGGTATAGCCTACTACACATCTAGGCTATAGAGTAGAGTCTATTGCTCCTAGGCTACAGACCTGTACAGCATGTTACTGTACTTAATACTGTAGTCAACTGTAACACAATGGTAAGTACTTGTGTTTCTAAACATATCTAAATATAGAAAAGGTACGGAAAAATATGGTATAAAAGATAAAATATGGTACACCTGTATAGGGCAGCTCCATTATAATTCTATGGGACCACTACTGTATACACAGTCTATCACTGACCAAAATGTTCTTAGTGGTGCATGACTATATGTCTCTCCATACGCTTTCCAACTCTTCTACCTCATGCCTCTTGTTCCTGTCTTTGACAAGGGCACAAGCCAATGAGACATGCTCATTGGGGCAGAGCAGGTAGGTTTTTGTTTGATCATGATTATATTATATCAATAATCATGATTATATTCTTACTTTTTCAACTATCAGATTTCTTTTGTAGGCAGATGAAAACGTGAATGTCCATCCACTATTGGAAGAAGAAAGCAAGTAATCAAGGATATTGGATTTCTGAGTTTCCTGAGATGACTCATGACCCATTAATAAACTTAAAATGCCCAAAGTGGGGATTAGCCTAAATAACCAGGTATAGTGGCTCATATCTGTAATCCCAACTACATGGGAGGCTGATGTGAGAGGATCATTTGAGGCCAGGAGTTTGAGACCAGCCTGGGCAACATAGCAAGACCCTGTCTCTCAAAAAAAGTTTTTTAAAACTACATATCTGCTATGCATTTAATTCCTCTTCCCTTTAATAAATAGCTTGAGAAATGAGTTGTTCTACAAGAGATATTTATAAAAGGTTTTAGGGCAGCATTTTCTAAGTGAACAAAGGATGAAGGCAGTGTCTACATGCACAAACCAGTATATTGAAATTCACAGGATTAAAAAAGATCAATTTTGTCTAAAAACACCCTTTATTTCTGTCTTAGTTTGTTTTCTGCTGCTGTAGCAAAATATCACAGACTGGGTAATTTACAAACAATAGAAATTTATGTGCCTCATGGTTCTGGAGGTTGGGAAGTTCAAGAGCATGGTGCTGGCATCTGATAAAGGCCTTCATGCTGTGTCATCCCATAGTGAAAGGAGAAAGAGTAAGAGAGTGTGCAAGACACAGAATGGAAAGGGACTAAACTTATTATTTTTATCAGGAACACACTCCCACAATAAACCCACACCTGCAATAATGGCATTCATTTATTCACAGGGCAGAATCGTCATGACTTAATCACCTCTTAAAGGTCTCACCTCTCAACACTGTTGCACCAGAGATTAACTTCCCAACACATGAATTTTAGGGGATACATTCAAACTATAGCAATTCCTGATTCCCTATTCTCTAATTAGATGATAATTTGGCCAGCCTTTTTATCTTTCAACTCTTATTTACTATCAAGTTTTCAATGCTCTTAATGGATGGGGTTACCTTGAAAAGCAAATCCTGGCATATGTATCCCTCATGTAGTCACTGAATCTGGATTATTGAACAGTTTGATTTTTGCCTATGAAACACATTGCACAAATACAAATTAATTTATTAACTCAGCAACTATTTATTGAGCACAAACTATTGACATTGGCTTATTCATTCAATAAATATGCATTGAGTGCTTACCACATGCCAGACACTGGTCTAGATGGTGGGTACACAATGATTCTGCCATCCTTCAGCTTGTATTCCACAGGGATTGTGTTAGGCACTGGTAATACAGCAATGAATCATTCCCAAAAGGAACTCATAATCCAATAAGGAAGAGAGGCATGCAAACAACTCCAATGCTCTATGTTAAGAGGGAGATGTGTACATGCACCAGGGATGACTTAGAAGAGAGAGTGGTTCACTTGAGTTGAAAATAGAATGTTGGGTTTAAGTTGAGATTAGGATCTGGGTAAAGGTACTTATAAGAAGAGAATTTTTAATAAGTTGAACCAGAATATCTTCTATTAAGACAGAGCCTTAGAAATTAAGTATCATCAGTTTTACATATTGACCAATCAACAATGATATTGTGCAATATTATGCTGAAGCTATTGCCCTAGATGCTACAAATAAATCTAGCATAAGACCCACAGATTTTAGAGTAAATAACATTAAAAAATTCTCAACTTGCAAAATGATTAAATACATTATTGCTCAGAAACAAATAGTAACTAAACATAATAAAACAAAATACTTTAAAATGCACTCCATTACTGTCCAGAGAGTGATACAGAGAGGTAAGTGCTAAAAAAGTTCAATTAATAAAGGTATCAGTTAATGCAGATAGTGTTAGAAGGACAAATCAAAGAATCTGTCTCAAGATGTTCCAATTCAGAGTAGTAATAACCATTAATTTGTCATTTTATGTTATGAAATGAGAAAAGCACTAGAGCTTGGTGTAACTGGTACAAAATTTTCTACAGCTGTATCATCTAAAGTATATCAAGATAAACCACTTAACAGACTAGAAGCTGCAGTAAAAGTGTCAAGTTCATTGGCGTAGCTTTCGAAATTCAGAGAGACCTAGGCAAGTCAATAGTTTCTTCAAGCCTCAGTCTTCTCATCTATAAATAATTAAGAACTATTACTCAGTAAGTTATGCCTAAGCTTGATACATTCTCATCTCCTTTCCATCTTCTATGTTGAAGCATAATTCTCAGAGCTTGTTTCTGTGTTTGAAGACACACACAGCAGGAAGGGGCGCTAGTCTGCATCTGTTCTTCCCCACTACCAGTGCTCCACACACCGTCTTCTTGGTACACTGGGTTTTTCAAGGCCTGAATGGTAGCAGTTCAAGCAGGCAAGAGGAAGAATGAGATCACAAATATTATCTACTTCTCTCTTCTCCCAAAGAGACTTTTCCACCCCCAAAAGAAGACTCAGGCATTTTTGTGCTGCCCTCTTCTCCCTTGGCTTCCCTAAGAAGCATCAGGGTTCCAGTCTGCAACAATCAAAGTGCTGAGAGTCAGTTCCATTACTCAGCAACCTTACACTGAGTACTCAGTATGTGCAAGGCACTGTCCCAGGTGCCGGGATTCCAATGATGACCAACACACCACGGCTAGCCTTCAAGAAGCTCATGATCTAATGTAACAAACACATGTGATGGACAATAGTAACTGAGACCCAAACCTCCCCAGACACCCCTAAACACAGTCTTCCTGGGCCCCATTTGTTCTTACGGGTACCAGTAAGTTCACATTTAAAATAACACTAAAAATCAAAATCTCCAGGCCCAGAAAGTTTCACTGGAGAATTTTACCAAACATTTAAAAAAGAACTAATGCCAATTTTACACAATCTCTTCCAGAAAATAGAAGAGGAAGGGACGCCTCCCAACTCGTCTTATAAGACTAGTATAGCCCTAACACTTAAACCAGACAAAGACAGCACACGCAAAAAAGAAAACTACAAATCAGTATCTCCTGTTAACTTAGACATGAAAATCTTCAACAAAATGTTAGCAAACCAAATCCAGCAATACATAAAAAGAATAATATACTATAACCATGCTGGTTTATTTAAGGTATGCAAGCCTGGTACAATATTCAAAAATTAATTCATGTAATCTACTATATCAACAGGCTAAAGAAAAAAATCATGATCATATTAATTGATGTGATAAAAAAGCATATAAAATTCAATATTCATTCATGATAAAATCTGTCAGCAAACTAAGAATATAGGGGAACTTCCTTAACCTCAAAGAGCATCTACCAACAATCCTACAGTTAATATCATACTTAATGGTAAATGACTGAGTGCTTTCATTCTAAGATCAAGAACAAGGCAAGGGTGTCCACTCTCTCCATTCTTATTCAACATCATATTGGAAGTTCTAGACAGTCAAATGAGGCAAGGAAAAGAAACAACTGACATACAAACTGGGTTAAAAAAATAAAACATTGTCTATTTACAAATACAATTATCTACATTTTAAAAATCCCAACGAATCTACAAAACACTGAGAACTAATAAGTGAGTTGGGTAAGGTCACAGGATACAAGATTGACACTCGAAAGTGACTGCATTTACACATACCAACAAGTTGTTTTGTTGTTAGTATAAAACACTATAACCATTTAGAATTGCTCCAAAGAAAATAAAATACTTAGGTATAAATCTAACAGTGTATGTACAGGTTCTATATTTTGATAAATCCAAAATGCTGATGAAAGACATCAAGGACGACCTAAATAATTGGAGAGATATGCTATCTTCATAGATTTGAAGACTTAATATAGTAAAGATATCAATTCTCCCCAAACTGACTGACAGATTTAAAGCAATTCCTATCAAAATCTCAGCAAGCTTTTTGTAAACATGGGTAATCTTATTGTAAAATATATATTAAAATAAAAATGCTCTAAACTAGCCAAAATTATTTTGAAAAATAATATAGTGGGAGAAATCATTCCTCCCATGTTAAGGCTTACTATATAGCTACAGTAATCAGGACAGTGTGGAGGACAGACACAGATCAGTGGAATAGAACAGAGAATCCAGAAATGAATCCAGACAAATATACTCGAATAACTTTTGACAAAGATGTGAATGCAATTCAATGAAGTAGAAATCCTCTTTTCAACAAATGGTGCTGGAGCAATTGGCTATCCCACAGGCAAATAAAAAAATTAAAAATCTAAATCTAACATTGCACACAAAAGTTAACTCAAATGAACCATTAACTTAAGTGTAAAATAGAAAACTATAAAAGTTTTTGAAAAATAAGACAAACTTATCTTTTCAAGACCTAGAACGTGGCAAAGAGTTCTTAGATTTGATACCAAAAGTACAATCCACAAAAGGAAAAATGAATAAATTGAACCTCATAAAAAGGTAAAACTTTGGCTATGTAAAAGGCCCTGTTAAGAGGGTAAAAAAACAAGTTACAGATTAGGAATAAAAGACTTGTATCTAGAATATATAAAGAACCCACAAAACTTAACAGTAAAAAAATCAAACAAAGCACTTAGAAAATGAGCAAAGCATGTACAGACATTTCATGGAAGAGGATGTACGTATGGTTGTGATGGTGTCTGCCATAGGCATGGGAGGAGGAAGTGGTAGCTATATCCTGGATACTTGCCATCCAGGTCCTATGGGACAAAGGAGGTTTTCTTATAGTGCCTCCATAATGGACAAAGCTTTGTGTTTAGGGTGCCATTAAAGTGGGAATTCCAAAAACAGGAAAAGAAAAAAGCACTTAATTTTTTGTTTTCTCAAAAAAATCATCAAAATAGTCATCATGAGACAAAACCAGATAATTGTGTACTTCTTTATATTTTTAAAACTAAGTTAATGGGTTTTGGTGTTTTTGTTTGTTTATGGAATAAAAATATGGGAATGGTGTGGGGAGGTCATAATAATCTTTTGAGTGTTTTGAACTTCTAACAATTTTAACACTCATTGATGAAAGTGAAAAGCAGGGCAGGGCTCCGAGTAAAGCATGGTCTCTATTACATTTCCTGGTCTAACACCATTAAACACTTGTCCTACAGAGGATTAGAATGTGTGCATTGGCTCACAGAGATGCAAGGCTAGAAAAGAAAAATTAAACAAAACTATCCCCAAACCAGTAAAGTTACCCTCTGCCCATCAAAGCCAGACAGATGACCAATATGAATCCTTTATGATATAAGGAGTTATGTGGGCAAAGAAGAAGGTAGGATGGATGTGCTGATAAAGGACAAAGTAGAGAAAATAGACAATTCAACAATAATAGTTGGAGACTTCAAGACCATACTTTCAATAATGGAAAGAACAAATGAGAGCAGAAGATCAATGAGGAAATAGAAGACTCGAATGATACTATCAGCCAACTTTTCTCAAGTTGTTATATAAATGGGCCAAAGATGGTCTCTGTATATTGGCCCTCATGTTGTTTACTTCTTCACAAGAGGCTGGGACCAGTAGTTGAAAGCCCACCAGGACCACACTAAATTCTTACATCTAATTGCCTTAAATATATCCTAAATAAGTATACTTTTTACCATTTAGTGCCTATCCTGTTTTGCATGCCCTGCAGTTTTGCAAAACAGGATAGGCTCTAAATGTAGGCCCACATCTGCTTGTCATAGATAAGACAAACTCTGTGGCTAGAAAAGACCCCACCCAATACTGCCCTTCAAAGCCATCTGATCCGAAACTCTCCACCTTGCTGCTGAGTGACATCACCTAGACACATGAGCCCCGCCTCCAATTCCCCTCTCCTCTAGGAGTTCCCTTACCCTTTTCCCCTTTTGGATGGTGGCCCTGTCTCTGGAAGGTCTCCTGCTGTGAGAGACTTCCCCTCTCCTGCAACCCTGTTCAAATACCACCAAAAAAGCTTACTGTACAACACTGCCATCTTGTGCTCCTGTCTTTCCTTGATTAGCCCCCAAATCCTTGAACTTACCACACAAGTGCAACTGGAGAATTCCCCAGGATACACCACATTAGGCTGTATAACAAGCCTCAATAAACTTAGAAGGACTTTATAAACCCACACAAAGTATGCTCTCCAATCACGACGAAATGGAATTAGAAATAAATAACAGAAGGAAATTTGAAGAACTCACAAAGATACAGAAATTAAACAACACATTCCTAAATGTGTTTGACATTTACGTGAATGAAAACAAAAACCCAACAAAGCCAAAATGTATAGGATGCAGCTAAAGCAATGCTCAGAGGGAAATAGCTGCAAATGCCTATATTTAAAAAGAAAAAAGATCTTAAAGCAATAATCTCACCTTCTACCTTAAAAAATAAGAGTAAACTAAGCCCAAAGCAAGCAGAGGAAATGAAATTGTAAAGATTATAACAGATGTAAATAAAATTGAGAATAGGAAAATAATAGACAAAATCAATGAAAAGTTTATTCTTTTAAAAGATCAATAAAATTGACAAAACTTTAGCTAGTTTGACCAAAATAAAAAGAGAGAAAACCCAAATTACTAAAATCAGGGATGAAAGTGGACTATTACTACCAACCTTTCAGAAATAAAAGAGATTATAAGACAATACAATAAACAATTATATGCCAAAAAATTGGATAACCTAGACAAAATTGACAAATTCTTAGAAAGACACAAAATTTCAAAACTGACTCAAGAGCAAGTAGAAAATCTTTATAGACCTACAACAATGAAAGAGATTGAATCAGTAATCAAAAAACTTCCCACAAAGAAAAGTTCAGGCCCAGATGGTTTCACTGGTGAATTCCAAACATTTAAGGAAGAATTAACATCAGTCATTCACAAATTTTGCAAAAAAAAAAAAAAAAACAGAAGAGGAGGGAACACTTCCCAAGTTATTCTATGAGGCCAAAATTAACCTGATACCAAAACCAGAAAAAGAAATCACAAGGAAGGAAAACTGTAGACCAATATTCCTTATGAACATAGATGCAAATATCCTTAACAATGAAGCTGCATATTAAAAGAATTATACAACATGATCAAGTGGCATTCATCCCAGGAATGCCAGGTTGATTTATCATATAAAGAACAATCAATGTAAGACACTATATTCATGGAATAAGAGAGCAAAATCACATGACTATATCAACGGATGCTGAAAAGCACTTGAAAAAATCCAGTATCTTTTCAGATAATAACACTCAGTAAACTAGCAATAAAAAGGAACTTCCTCAACCGGATAAAGCCATCTACATAAATCTCATAGTTAACATCATACTTAATGGTGAATGGCTGAATACTTTCCCTTTACGATCAGGAAGATACAAGTAGGTACACTCTCACCACTCTTATTCAATATAGTACTAGAAGTTCTGGGCAACACAGTATGGAAAAAAGAGAAACGAAAAAAATGAAAGAAGGAGGCAGAAGAGAGGAAAGAGAGAGAGCATGAGAATCCAGATTGGAAAGGAAGAAGTAAAACAACTACTTCTATTCACAGAAAACATGATTTATATATAAAAAATTCTAAGGAAGCCACTGAAAATCTACTACAACTAATAGGAGTTCAGCAAGTTTACAAGATACATAATCAATATGCAAAAATCAAATGTATTTCTATAGCAATCAACAATACAAAAATAAAATTAAGAAAACAACTCTACTCTAGCATTAAAAAGAATAAAATAATTAGGAATAAGTTTAACAAATGAAAAGTGTAAACTTGCAAACTGAAAACTACAAAACATAATTGAAATAAATTTTAAAACTAAATAAATAGAAAAGCATCCCACATTCCTGAATTGGAAGACTTAGTATTAATACAGTGATATTCCCAAATTGGTCCATAGATTCAAAATAATCTTATCAATATTCTAGCTGCCTTTTTGGCAGAAACTGACAAACTGATTCTAAAATTCTTATGATAACTCAAGGCACCAGGAATAGCTAAGAAAATCTTGCAAAAGAAGAACAAAGTTGGTGGGAGGGGAGGAGAAAGAGCAAAGTTGGATGACTCACACTTTCCTTTTTTAACATTTAATACAAAGCCACAATAATCAACACACTGTGGTACTGACATAAGGATTGGCATATAAACTGATAAAATTGAATTGAGAGTTCCAAAATAAACCATTATATTATGATCAATTGATTTTTCACAAGGGTGCCAAGACAGGAATTCAATGGGGAAAGAATAGTCTTTACAACAAATAACAAATGGTGCCAGGACAACTGGATAGCCACATGAGGGAAAAAAAAAAAAAAAAGAAAGAAAGAAACTAAAATGAACTTGGACCCCTACCTCACACCAAATATAAAAACTGATCCAAACTCGGCCAGGCACGGTGACTCATGCCTGTAGTCCCAGCACTTTGGGAGGCTGAGGTGGGTGGATCACCTGAGGTCAGGAGATCGAGACCATCCTGGCCAAGATGGTGAAACCCCATCTCTACTAAAAAAATACAAAAATGAGCCAGGCATCACGGCAGCTGCCTGTAATCCTAGCTACTTGGGAGGCTGAGGCATAAGAATCCCTTGAACCCAGGAGGCAGAGGTTGCAGTGAGCTGAGATCACGCCACTGCACTCCAGCCTGCGTGACAGAGTGAGACTTTGTCTCAAAAACAAAAAAAATTGATTCAAACTCAATCAAAGACCTAAATCTAAGAACTAAAATTATAAACTCTTAGAAGAAACACAGGAATAATTCTTCATGACCCCGGATTAGGCAATGGTTTTTTAGACATGACACCAAAAGAACACATGAGTAAATTTCAAATTTTCATGTTTTGAAAGTTTTATCAAAAAAATGAAAAGACAACCCAAAGAATGAGAAAAAAATTTGCAAAGCATATATCTAACAAAAGACTGTCACATAGAATATATAAAGAACACTTAAAATTCAACAATAAAATAACTAATAACTCAATTTAAAAATGGACAAAGGAACTGAATAGACTCTTCTCCAGAGATATTCAAACGGTCAACCTGGGCAACACAGCAAGACCTCGTCTCTATAAAAAAACTAAGAATTAGCCAGGCATGGTGGCACATGCCTGTAGTCCTAGCTACTGGGGAGGCTGAGGCAAGAGAAATCACTGTCACACCCTGCACTCCAGCCCGGGCAACAAAGTGAGACCTTGTCTCAAAAAACAAAAACAAAAAAAAAAGATATTCAAATGGCCAATAATCACACAAAAAGATGCTTGGTATTATTAGTCTCTAGGAAAATATTTAATACAAATCAAAGCCACAATGAGATATGACTTTATGCCCACCAGAATGGCCAGAGTCAAAAAGTCAGATCATAACTGTTGGTGAGAATGTGAAGTAATCAGAACCCACATACATTGCTAGTGGGTTTGTAAAATGATGCAGCTACACCGG